>NC_000001.11:59856865-60159895 GCF_000001405.40 Homo sapiens | reverse complement strand
ACAGAAGAAGGATACATCATAGATATATGAAAAATTATAAACAACATAAAATGAAAAGCAGGGCAAAAAGCAGAGCATATTGATGATGTGAGCCTCACAAAGTTCCCACACCTTTCTGAGTCCCATTTCCTCATCACAAAATGATTATAACATTTAACATTTTAAACAATGTAACATTTAACATTATAAACAATGTCCACGTCATTGGATTTTTGCAAAAATGAAAGATTAAAAACCAACCAAGTACCCAAAATTGTGCTTATATCAGAAATTTCAAAGTGGGTAAGATATTTCACAAAAACACTTGCTCTATGGGATGCTAATGTATGCTTTATTTTAGGTTCTATGGTTAGTTATGATTCGGGAGACTGGAGTTGAACTGAGTACAAACTCTGAGCAGATTTCTTTAGAACTAAAGCTTTTAATATACTGTTTCACCGTGAACCTTTAAGGACATGAGAGAGAATATTTAGCTCTTCCAAAGCTTTTTTTCTTTTTTTCTCTAACTGAGCACCCCAAGGGACTCATGTTCCATAATCACACTGGGAAATATTGGCCAAGACTGGACCAGCATATAGGATGCTTCGGTCCATCTGACTCTTAGCTTCGGTCCATCTGACTCTTACCTTTAGAGGAATACTGTTTTATCAGTTCATATCAGTTCATCATTTTATTTGATGGCCAGAGTTTTTTCTAACCCATGACAAGTCTAAGTCTATGTCAACAATAATTCATATTAATGAAGGGTTCTATGTGTTGAGGTCTTTGGAGAGTTCCCTTTCAATCCTTTAAACAGCTGGTTCATGAGAAGGGCCACACTTTAATCCTTGACCCCTTAAGTAATTGAACTACCATCTAGATCATAACCTACCACATTATAAGTAAGGAGGCAGACTGATGTGATGGCTCTGAGTTTCGCAGTGATGGAGAAAATCACTTAGATGCTCTTCTGGGCCTCAGTTTCCAATACTTAAAAGAGGATGTTTGTTACTGGTAATCAGCAACCCTCTAGGATTCTACAACAGTGTCATATCATAGGTCAACCTAGAGACTATCAATCTGAAACACTGAATTTTATAAGGTAGGAAGCCATGGCTTAGAAAACAGAATTTCATAGTTCCACGTGGATTCTATATTCTGTAATACCTGGGCAGGAATGGAAGGAGTCCAAGCAAGAGTGGATGAGCCAAGTGGAAGAACAGTATTTCCAGCTAGCCTAAGATTCTCTGAAAGAAAATAGGGCCTAACAGTCGGCATGTGTTAAATTGAGTTGACGAAGGGAAGTGGGACTGGGAATACCTGGAAGAAAGTTATTTGCTTGAGTGAAATTCATTCAATTCAGACGACTTCCTAATCTCCACCCAGAGTTCTTCCAAAGCTATAGACCTGTATATCCAACCCAGAAGACATCTCCACCTACCGATTCAACAGACACCTCCAACTTAATGTGTTTGAAAGAGAACTTGTGTGTTTCCTCCTCTACATATCTCTGATATGGAGTTCAAGACAGTTCCCAGAGATGCTGGCAAGTCTAGGAAGGCAATTTCTTCCATCAGATTGGGCAGTCCTGAGAGCCTTCATCTAAAAGTGAACAGGAAATATTTACCAGGGACTTGGCATTTCCTTCGTCTTCAGAGCTTTCACTTGTGCTGTCTTATTTAACCCCCAATAAAAAACAACATTAATAATTAGGTGGCATTATTCTTATTTTTACAAATTATAAAAGTGAAACTTTGATGGAGTAAATGGTTACTCAAGCTTACACAGCTAGTTAAGTCTGGGAGCTGAAATTCCTACCTACACTTGACTCCTTGACTCCAAACCCTGCATTCCTTTGAGTAGGCTGTCTCCAGCACTGAGAACATCAAAGAATTGGTGCAGATGATGCTAGAGCATAGGGTTGCTGAGCTCTGTTCCTGGGGAGAGGCTGTTTCATGCTCTGTGTTGTGCTGTCTGTCATTAGTAAGCATCGTAGAAATGTTCATTGTCACTAGGAGAGAGTCATGGAACTATTGGGCAGGGAAAGAGATGTTAGGATACAGGTTCAGCAGCTGTCACATGTAATATATTAGGAGGATTTTACTTCCTGTACACATCACTTGAGCAACACACACACAAACACATACACACACACTCCCCACTGTAGTGCTTTCTCTCTCTCTCCCTCTCTGACTGGTTTCTGTGGAAAAAATGTAGAAGATATATTTTAAACGTAAAATAGAGAGCAGCTCACATTTTATTGATAACTCTCATTCACTGAGCACCTATGGTAAGCTTGTGCTCTATAAGCCAACCCAACCTAATTCTCACAGCATTCCTCTGAAATGGGTATTATAAATGGTATTTTGGAGACGAAGAAACTGAGGCACAGAAAGTTTAAAAATTGCTTGAGGTCACACAGCTAGCCAGGGTGCAGGGCTAGGAGAATGAGAATGCAAACACAGGTCTGTCAGGCTCCAAAGCCCAGGATTTCACCAGGATACTTGGCTGCCTCAGCAGGCTCACTCAGTGTGGTGCTGGGTGGACAATCTTGCCAAGAAGGCTCCTGGTGAAGAAAATTATTTTTTAAAATTACTGTTCCTTCCATTGTGTAAAAGTTACCATACACACAGCTCAGCTAGGAAAGTATATATATATATATATATATATATATATATATATATATATATCTCAAAGAGAGCTCCTATCCCTTCCCCCTGGAGCAGACAAAACCTCTAACAAATGCTATTTCATCCTGGTTCACGTGAGAGTTGTATGGGGGAAGCATGGAACATTTCTTGCTGCCAAAGACAAGTCCCAGAATTCTCACATCAGTGCTGCAAGACTGACACCATGTGGCCAAGTCAGCCTCCCGAGGCCCTCCCTTAACCACCTCCCACAGGTTGGAGGCTCACCAGCCTTCTCAGACTTTCTAAGGAAGGCACCTGAGAGGATAGGACAGCAAAGAAAGAACCAACCACCAGGGTGGGGAGCTGCTGGTAGAGTCTATTAGCTCTCTACAGAAGGCAAATACTATGCAAGTAGCCAACTACAAAACTAGGCTGTGGCACAGGAGAACAAGAAACTAGACTTTTTTTTCCCCTAACTTCTGTATTTATTTATCCCTTACCTTGTTCCAAATATACACAGGCAACTAAAAAGATGCTTTGAAGTTCCACTAGGTAATCCATTTTATAATTTGGTGGGCAAGATGAAGCAAGGAGAAACAAAATGGTAGAAATAAAAAAACCCCACACATTTGAAATGAAACAATCTAAAACATGCATAACTAGAAATGCAATACAAGGATTGTCTCTACATCTTCTACATGCCAGTGGGAAGGATGGAGGCCTCATGGTTAGTCTGAGATAAAAACAAACCATGAGGCAATGAAGAGCACAACTGTTCCTCATACTACTAGCAGAAAAAAAAATCCTGAAGTCGTTTTAGAGAGGGCAGGATGTAAAGGTCATGAATAATGTCAGTTCACAGATAAGCATAATTGGCCCAAATGATCTTTTGAGCTCAGCAAATCAGAAAGCCTGAACACTTCAACTCATCCTCTACTTTTGCATTCTTAAAATAATACAAGCTTTTTTTCTCATTATTTGCTTTGACTTTGTGTGTGTGTGTATAGAATGTTTTGTGCTTCCCCTTTAAATGATTGTCGCCAATTAGTTTTGTTTGTCTAAAATGCGATAAGATTCCATTTTAAGAAGTCGATGCTGGGCTTTTACTGAGGAACACAATAAATTAATCATTAAATCAATTGTATTGATTGAAGCTTGCAAGACATGAAAAATTGCAGAGCAAGGAATATTTCCACGAAGAGGTAGGAAAGGACCTCAGCATTCTGGGGGAAGGTAAATAAGTATGCTATGATAATACTGTTTCATTTCTTCCCTGGGATATGAGCTTCATTTATCAACTCTACAATAAATATGGTGACCATTTAATTTCAAACATTTACCGTAAATAATAGCTTCCATTTATTAAGTGCTCACTAAGCACTCTATTCTATGCTTAGTGCTTTCATACATTATGTCACGTAACCCTAACAATAAATCTGGTTGGAGCACATCTCTATCCCCATTTTGTAGAAGAGAATACTGAGGCTGATGCGCATGAGTAACTTGTTCAGAGTGACCCATCTAATGAAAATGTCTGGCTTGGAACCCACTTCTGAGTGAACCGAAAGCCCATGCTCTTAACACTGAATTCTATCTTAAATTAATAAACTAATAGAGAGAGAGGCTTGAAATTCTGCAGCATGCTTCCCTACCTTTTTTCAGGGCTGCTCGTGCCTCCTCAAAGTGTGCCAACAGTGTAAGGAAATAGAGTTTTGGAGCCAAGATTAGGTTTTATTTGGAAGAAAATGAATATTGGTTACCAAAGCCAAGGCAATGAGTAGAGTTGCAGGGTAAGAACTGAGACACCAAAAAGCACCCAATGCAAAATGCTTAGATGAGAGCCAATGGACATAAACACCAAGGCAGATAGGAGGCATAGGGTGGGGGTGGAGGGGTGTGTCAGAGTGTTTTATTATTCACATGAAGTGGCACAAAGAGCCTTTGGCAGAAACTGCCAAGGACTTTGGGCATATACAGGCGTAGTTTTCAACTTTCGAGTCCATAGCATGTACCTTAAGCACATCATTTAAGATTCTAAGCCTCAGTGTCCTTATGTATAAAATGGGAGCAGTCAGATCTCCCTCAAACTGCTGCTGTGAGGTTTAAGTGTGATAATGTATGTGAAACTCTTAAAAGGGAACATCTGGTACAGAGTCCGTGGCCAAAAAGGATGGCTCCTTTCCCCCTCTTTTACGCTCCCTTAGCAGAGCCTCTTTGAAGGAACTCCTGTACTGGACTTGGTAGAGGAGTGCGCCTATCCCCAGCTTTTCCCAACAGACCGCGTTGGCTTATCTCTTAACACCCTAAACAGCAGTCCCTCAAGAAGGTCTCTCTTGGCCTGCTACCTGTGACCAGTTACAAAAGCATAATCTGCTCGACAAGGATGAGGAGGGAAAGTGAGAGTGTTGATGGCTCCAACACTCTATTTCCTTCCACTGTGTTGACACACTGTGAGGAGACATGAACAGCGCTGAAAACAGGTAGAGAAGCATGGAAGTGAGAGATTAATGAAATAGCAATGCAGTGTTCATCAGGATGATGCCGATGGCAGGGTGTCTGCTTTATCACCAGACTCTCTGCTCATTTTCATGGGATGAAGCAGTCTGTTTTCAGAAGACCGTCTTGATTCTTAAAGAAGCAAAGACAGATGGGAACCTACTCTGGTCTGTCCTGCCACCTTCTTTTCTGGAAATAGACCCTCTTCCATGCTTAGTGCCAGAAGTAGACTTCTTTTCAGGATAATTTGCATGGAAGAACTCATTCAAATGGAAGAAGAGGCACTATGACTTAATGAAATACTCCCTCCACCAACCCCCACCACCCACACACGTACAAATCAAGTGAGGCTTTATTTTGCTGGGCAATTTCTTTCGACGGAAGTAGACTCATTGGCCAATTTAAAATAAAGGTGGTTATTTATTCACGCCACCACCTCTTGAAGAGGCCAGAACTAAAAGGAGAAGAAGAAAAGTCTCAATTACAGTTGCAGCAGCACTTAACGGCTTGCTGAGTATTCAGCTGAGATTTGAGCTTGAAATTCTGGTACCAGACACAGTTTAGGATTCTAGGGAGGAACAGGAAATGGCCTAGCTCAGAGTATTCCTTTTCACTTATTGAGTCCATTTATTTTATGGTTCTGACCACATGCCAAAACCATTTGGAGTCTTCAAGAGTTTAAATAGCAATGTCCAATTAATAAGGCATAAAGCCCTGCAGCTTCCTCACCCCCATGCATTTAGACAGCCCTTCTCCGTTCTGAATGTCTAATTGATAGGAGACACTTGCAGGCCTGTGTTTCTACATCTATGCTGAGGATGAGAGCAGTTAGAGTGGCTTCCAGAATGGGTTCCTCTGCTTGGAGGCATTTCCCAACCCTATACTGAGCAGTCATGTCAAAAAGAATGACAGTTCCTCATGGACATTGTGTCTGTGGTTGGAATAGGATGAAAGTTCTGGTAGTTTTATTTCCTTCTGAGACATTCTGGAACATTTTAGCAATGAATTTGTCTCCTGGCTTTTTTGAACTAAGAACTCCCCACATATTATTTTCATAATGAGACATTCTGCTGAGGGACTAATGAAATAGCATTGCAGTGTTCAAAGTGACAGTTAAAGCTGTTGTTTTTTTCCCAGCGATGTATTCATCCTTTGGAAATGATTATTTTTAAAAGTTCATGTTTAGATTTTATATTTTACCTTTACTTGAACAAACTGGAAAATATCTGTGTAACAGCTTTGTTCTAAGAATATTCAATTATGTTTAATGGGAGAGTCCATTAAACTTTTCCCGATTTGTTTTTGTTTTTTAACTGGTTTTAGATGATAACAGGTACTCACCACCCAATTTAGAAATAATAATAAGGTCTCTTTTTTTTTGGCCAAGTCTTTTAGTTTTGTTGGAGGGAGGAAAAGGATCTACAATCTCTTCCCTCTATAATTTGTAGATTATACAAACCCTTGTGCTTTTAATAGATGGTTCCTCATTAGACAGCACAACAGAATAAAATAACTGTCCATTATTATCCTTGAGGGGCAGGGCCAAGTTTCCCCCAAAGACATTATCATATCAAACAACTGCATTAAACGCAATGTGAAACACAGGCTTTATGGGAAACCTTTGGATTTCTCCTTCCTGCCAAAGGGGTTCTAAAAGATGAGCCCCTTTGTTATGGATGGCTCTGGCATTCCTCTAATAGGTGTACCAGATGAAAGATGACTAAAGACATTCCAGATGGAAGAGTTGGCTAACAGCAGCACCATAAATACCTGATGGATATACAAGCCTCTTGGTGTGAAATATGGTCTTTGTTCTGATTTACACTTTTACTACATATTTAAAAGAATGCTACATTTGTCAGGTGGGGGGAACGGGCATTTAAAAAAACTTTAGATTTGTGGAGAGAGGTTAAAGAAAGCCTCTTTCTACTCCTTGACTGAACATTATTATGTTTTCCTCATCAGAACCACATCTTTCTCTCCAGAAACTATCGAAAGGGGACATCTTCATTTGCCTGAACAGTTTTTTTTTATTTGCTAGAGATGGCAAATTTCATTCTTCCACATTGATTCTGAAAAATTTTGTTGGATGAAAAGCTGTAATGTTGTGAAATAGTATTGACCTGTGAGTCCAGATATAGGACTCTTTATTTTCATAAAACTCTGTGCTTACTATTGTTTCACTGTTGGCAACAGTGCTATGCCTGGGACTTAGTAGGGCTCTTAGTAAATATTTGTTGTTAAACTGAGCCTCGGTTTTCTCAGCTGCAAAATGGGAGCTAGTAATATCTGCACCATAGGGATTCAACCCCCATTCCATGAGAGCCTCTGGTGCTGTACTCCGTGCTCAGCACTTGGTTCAAGAAACCTATAGGATGGAAGGGAAATGAGTGACACCTATCAACACACATGAAGTTATCATGTATCACTTCAAAGCTTGAATTCTGAAGTCAAGCAAACCTTAGATCAAATTCCAGCTCTGCCACTTACTAGCTCAGTGACCTTGTGAAAATTATTTAACCCATCTTGGCTTCCAATTGTCAGTCAGTGAAATGTAATAAGAATAGTTCCTACTTTATAGGGCTACTATAAAGATTAAATAAAATGACGCATTTAAAACTCTTAAGAAATTGCCTGCATATAATAAGTACTCAATAAATCTTAGTCAGTATCTTGGCTGTACTTAATAAAACCAAGTGCCTAGAATGAACTCTTCACTACTTTTCCCTGATCAAATCATATCTGGAATAATATTTTTATTCTTGGATATCACAATTTAAACAGATGTTGGTACATCCAAAAAGTAATCTCTGAGAAAATGAAAGGTTTGGAAATTATGTCATATGATAAAAACGGTGGAATGACCGAATAATTTGGTTTAAGAAAAAAACCCATCACTATAGACATATTTGAAGAGAAATTCAAGTCTTAAGGAACTTTTAAGGGCAAAACAGGCACCATATGGCAGGGAGGTAGACACTTCTATTTAGAAGAGAAGTTTCTGATACTTAAGGCTTTCTGAAAATTGAATTTTCTGTTTCATGTAGAAATTAATCCCCAACCACTAAAGTTAAGAGAGTAAACATCTTTTCTGTGACATGGATGCAAGCATAAGGTAGAAGATAGGATTTTATTCAACCTGAAATATTGTGTGACTCCTCATCAGTATTAGAGGTCTGACTGTCCTAATATTATATATTGGATGGCAAAAATCCAGGGACATCCCGACTCTCCAGCTACTTAGTGGTAAATGTGTGCTACAAATTCATTCTGCTAATTCCATTCCATTTTTAGAAAGTCATCACTTTACCGCAGGCTTCTCTAAGTGTCCTTCCTCATGTACAAGGCCAACTTCTTCACATTTCTTCTCGATTATGTTATTTCCCATGTTCTTTAAGTTTAGATCTTAAATTTCTTCCTGTCTATCTTTTTGCCCCCTGTTACCTAAAACCATGCTCTGAGCTCTCCTGTTTCCCTCTCTCTTACACTTCATTTTTCATCTTCTATCTTGATCAATAATGTGTTTCTGTTGCCTCCAGTTACTCAACTCCCATTTACTCCTCAATCCACCAACATTCCCAACACTTGACTGAAACAATCCTGGCAAAGGTCACTCAGACCTTTCCTATGCCAAGTCTAATAGATATCTTCTAGACCTTCGCATATTGTACTTCCCTTATCCTTGTCTTCACAGGCTTGTATCTTTCTGCGCACCCTTATTACACATTTAAATATGCTGGAGGGATAGAGAGAGATTATCCAAACAGAGAGAACAGATTATCATTAGCATACAGGCAGGACATTTTGAGAATGTTTAATAGCAATGGCGAATGGTTCATTTTGGTTCACTTTGGCTTAAGTATAATGTTGGTGGTGGGGCATAATAAAATTTTGCAAGGGCTTAAATTCTAGCCTAAAGTATTGAGAATTAATCATATCTATAAAAAGAAACCACTTCAGGCCGGGCGCAGTGGCTCATGCCTGTAATCCCCAGCTCTTTGGGAGGCCGAGGCGGACGGATCACGAGGTCAGGAGATCGAGCCTATCCTGGCTAACACAGTGAAACCCTGTCTCTACTAAAAATACAAAAAATTAGGAGGGCGTGGTGGCGGGTGCCTGTAGTCCCAGTTACTCGGGAGGCTGAGGCAGGAGAATGGCTTGAACCCGGGAGGCGGAGCTTGCAGTGAGCACTGAGCACTCGAGCCTGGGCGACAGAATGAGACTCTGTCTCAAAAAAAAAAAAAAGAAACCACTTCATATGTCTTAGCAGAAAATTATCATGACTTTAAATGATGATATATTGGATGAAAATTTGTGTCAGAAAGGCCGTTTAGGAGGTTACCGTAACAGTCCAGACCCATTTATTTTCCCTTCACTTTCTACCTAGTGAACTGTGTTGTCTCACTTGAGGAGATGGCATGCAAAGTGAGTACTTGCTTGATGTCAGAACAGAAGTTCCCATTTTCACTACTATCATGAAAAGAGCCCTCCATGTGTGGGCATGGAGACTGGATCTCCTGGAGATGGTTTGGGGGAGGATGGAGAAAGGGCATGAAACAGCTTTGAAACGCATAATATGAATTCCAATTATCCTTCAATTCTTTTGATTTGTTTTCTTCCAGACAGAAAAAAATCATTTTGGTCCTCTGTATCTTTAGCATCTCTATAACACTTGCTAATCTTCAGTTTTAAAAAAGAAAGTACACCTCAGGCACAAAGCCTTCCAGGCACTAGACTCTATAGCAAGAATTTAATCACACTATTTTGTTTTCATTTATTTATTTTTGTTATTACCATCTACTTATGGCAAGTGAAATTGCTTTTCCATTTATGGTAGCATTATACATCTTCCTTTTAAAATGCATTTACAAAAGTAAAATTTAAGAAGGAGGGGTGTTGACTTGCAGAAAAATGGTTAAATAAAAGTAGAAGCGCTGTGCAGACATGGTGAAATATGAAAGGGAACACCAGTGAATTGAGTCTGGAAAATCATAGTTAATGTGGAATTTTGAGTCAGACAAAATTGGTTTAATGTCCAAGATCTACTGAACAATTTACTTAAACTCTTTTGGTCTTAGTTTCTTCTTTGGCAATAATGAAGAAAGTAATACCTACTTAGTAGGACTATTTCGAGGAATGAGAAGAAGAGACATTTCAAAGGTACTTAGCATGACACAGTGCTGATAACAAAGTAAACACATCATACATTTCAGTTCTGCCTTACTTTTCCTCCTGCTGACTGCTGAGATCAGCCATTGCTTCCTGTTCCTCCAGTCCCCAGTTCACACTGTAACTGGTGGGCAGGCCCTGGTATCTAATAGCTGCTGAGTGAGCTCTCTCCTTGCCAGTTTCTGCTGCTGACAGCCTGGCACAGGGCCTGCAGTCCGGCTCCCAGGGATGATTAAATGAATGGCAGCAGGTGGCAGGGACTCCCAGACATGCTTACCCTGCAGACGTCTTTCCTTCTTCTTCTTTGTCAAGAAGTAAAATCATTCTTCCTCTTCTACCCTTCTATGTGCAATGCAGCTAACAACCTGCCCTGTTGTTTGGGCCCCTGTGGAGAAATTCAGGAGCTCAAATCCGTGCAGTCAAAACAGCAAGAACCAGCTGATTTCTGGCTTCCTAAGAATTCTTCACCAGCTCTAAAATAAAATACTATTGCATCTCTTACAAGCTTGGAGAAGTCATTTAGTTTCCTTGCCTGAGCCACAATTTTTCTTTCTGCAAAACAGAGGTGTTATGATCCTGTTTTTGGGATTATTGAGAGAATGTAAAAAGATTCTAGTATAGTGCCTGGCTCCTGCATATGAAAGTTGCTCTATGGATATTCATCCTTTCTGAGCATTGCTACATTTATGGACAGAATCACAGTTTCAGAGCTCGAATTCAGAAGAATTTGGAGATTATTAAATCCTTCCTCCTATCAGAAGCAAGGATTTTCTCCATTCTTCAGGTTAAAATTTTTTACTCTCCAGCTATCTACCTTGAAGCCATTTTAGTGTCACTATTTGGCAAACTGCATTTTTTATACAGTTGATTCTAATACTGAGTCTAAATTTGCCTTCATTTATCTGTTATTCTTTCTAGAGCAAGACTGGATTAGTCTAAGTTGTAATCATTTATTCAGTGTTATTCACCTGCTTCCAGGTGGCTTCTGCTCTATTATTTCTCCAACCTCTCCAGTTCCTGTTGAGGATTTCCCGCTGCCTTTGGATTCTCAGCACCAGATGGTTTTTCTTTAACCTATGGTTGGTCCCAGGAGCCTCATTATGGTCATTCTGAAAGCAGTAGATGCAGAAAGAACCCCTAAGACCTTCAGACAAATATCTTGTATTATTCTGGGATTTCTAGGCAGTGTATAAGAGTGGTTAATAAGCTAGCATCTAAAGGGGAAGCGAAGTTCAGAACTCATAGAAAGAAGTCAGAAAGATTGAAGGAGGAGAGCGGCCTTTTGGCAGGCTGGGGAACAAACACTGAAGAGAATAAATTCAGGATAGTATGCCCAGTAAATAGACCAAAATCATATCAGGTAGAACTGGAAGAGGCTTTGAATTCACTAGCGATTTCATTCTAATATTATTGGTGAGAAAGTTGAGTGCTGCCATGGAGAAATTATATGTACAGCCATCCCATACCTGAGTTAGATTCTAATTCTCTAACACCTGACCCAGTGCTCTTTCTCCCATACTTCGTTGTTCTTTGCCCGCTCACTGCTACTCTTTCTCCTGATGGTTTCCCCCAGCCTCCAAGCCTCATTAGATTACAGTCAGTGGACCCATTTTTAGTTCTACAGAATCTGCACAGGAATTAGACATCCAACAAGGCTCCTAAAGACTTTAATCCTTAGAATCAATGGGTATAAAAATCTAGGATCTGGGAAGGAGAATTCAGATAGCCTAGTACAAATCTTTAGTTACAGAAGGGAGAAAAGGAGATGAAAAGAAAGCCCTGAATTTACTTTCCACAGGTTACACAAATTGTTACTGACATAATGATATCTGATTTTACTGAATGGTTATTATGTACCAGATGTAGTGT
The DNA here is from genome assembly GCF_000001405.40 of Homo sapiens. NCBI lineage: Eukaryota > Metazoa > Chordata > Mammalia > Primates > Hominidae > Homo > Homo sapiens. The sequence continues at coordinate 60,147,752 of NC_000001.11, read as the reverse complement.
GCTGTGATTTTTATAATCATTTTCTTATTTATCACTCTCAAAACTCAATGAGATATGTACAATGTTGCCTGCATTTTTCAAGAAGGAAACAAAGGCATGGAGCACTGACTTATCTTACAAGAGGTTGTACAGTGAATCAACGGGTGGCAGAGCTAAGATTTAAACCCACTTGTGTTTTAACCATTACCCCAAACTATTCAGTATTTTTGCTACTCAAGCTCCCTCCAAAACAGTAGAGCACTTTCCTGTCAATACCTAAGACATAACCATCCTTTTTATTTTAAAGTCACCGAGAGAATAAAAGAACTTTACAAAGTCACACATTTGAAAGAAAATGTCCAACGTTTCACACCATTAGAGGAATATCAAGGAATTACAACCTTGGACTAGAGATGCTAAATTTGAAAAGAGCATTTTTGACTCATTTCTAAAGAATTTGAATTTACCTGGGAGCCAAATGATTAAGCCTTAAGCAAAATAAGCCAGGATCCAAGCCTGCTCTTATCTCCTAATTGGAAGTGAGGGATTTCGATTTTGTTCAACTCTGCTATGCTAATGTATCCATAGTCAAGCAGGTGCTGTTGGAGGAAAGTTGGTTTAATTGGTTTAGTGCAGGAAGTACAGGCTTTATTGTCATCCATTTATTCAACAAACTCTATTTACTGAGCATCTACTACATGTTAATATGTGATTTGCAGTCCCTGCCCCCTTACAGTGAATCACAGTATGATATAGTAAATACTACATACAGGAGTTTTGTCATTTGGCATACACTGATCACCACTGGTATAAAAGGCACTGAGGTAGGTGGCAGGAATACAGAGATAAATAAGTAAAAACTGGCCTTGTATCAAATTTGCTCACAGTAGTGGGGCAGGTGAAAATGTAAAATTCAATATGATATTATCAATGCTTTTACAGAGGTCAGTACCTAATGTTGACAGCAGCAAAAAAATAGTACCTAATTCTCCCTGGGTAAGAGGTCAGGCTGGAGTGAGAAAAAAAAAAAAAAAAAAAAAAAAACAGGAGGGAAACACTTCTAGTTTCCATGTACTTACATGAGAGTCTTTGTTCAAAAATCTCTCTAGTTATTTTTTTATTCCTGTGGTAAAATTAAAACATACTCTTTATATAGAAATAGTAGAATAGAAAATGCAGAGAAATTGAACTTAAAAATACCATTGTTAACATTTGGCTGCATTTGTCTGATCTTTTATATAGTTAGGCTTCTTGCAGTTATTTTTTTATTCTCGTACATAAATAAACAAACTCAACTAACATTTGTTGATTACCTTCCACGTGCAAGACATTGAAGATACAGAGATAATTATGACCTACCATCATTCACATGATCTGGTCATAAAGACACACACTTAAACAATTGAGTCTTAGACACTGATGAGTGCAACAGGAAATACTGATAGAGACAGCTCAGGAAACACAGTAACAAATTCCTCTCTGGTCTACTGTACATACTAATTTAAATAATATTATCCTTTTAAAAATATCATAACAAAGTCATTTTCCATTTAATGAAAACTGTTTTGTAAGATCCTCATACTGTTCTGTCAAACTATTCTTTATTTAAACAAAACTTTCAGCTGTTTTGTGATATTCGCTCTTATAAATAACTCAAATGAACATCTGTGAATATTACACATTATTTTCCTCTTTCCTTTGGCCTTAAAATACAATTGGTGGCTCAATTTTCTTTCCCAACAGCCATTTCCTGCATTTTATATATAAGCAAGCTGGTGTTCAAAGGCATTAAGTTGTTTGACCATGTTAAAATAATCAGTTAGGAGTTGATCCAAGCCTGGAATGCAGAGCATTCAGTTTTCAGGGTGATGTCTAAAGACTACCCTCTAGGTCAGGGTTTTTCAATCTTAGTACTGTTGATATTTGGGCTAGATAATTCTTTCTTGTGGGAGAGTGCCTTGGGTTTGTAAGATGTTTAGCAGCATCCTTTGCCAATAGCATCCCACATACACACCAGTTATGACAACAAAAACTATTCCCAGATATTGCCAAACACCCCCTGGGGGATAGACAATTTTCTCCCCATTGAGAGCCACTGCTCTAGGGGATCCCTGCTGCATAGATTTTGAAAGCTGTGACGATGACCCTCATTGACAGCAATGCCATTAAGAAGTCATCCTTTTCTCTATTTAATAGATTTTCATTCACAACCATATGTAGATAAGTGAAGAAAGTGTAACCCATGAAACCTCAGCAAATTCAGGATGAAATAACCATAAAAGCCTTGAAGCTAAGCTTCCCTAAAGAACAAGAGCAAATACATTATTCTGGAAGGCTTTTAGGATTCAAGCTGGTGTCCAAGAGAATATATGATCCACGCAGACAATAAAAGGAAGGAAAAGAACATGGAAACAGACGTCAAATCCATGGCTGTTATGGTCTTCCAAGCTGCTGATCTCCTAGGATTTCTCTCAAACGACAAACCATATGGAGAGCTCATCTACCTTGCAAGAGTGTTTATGAGCCCTTGGGTAGTGATGTGAGGACTTGGGAAGACTCTGGCAGTCAGTAGGGAAGACTGTAAAGCTGGAGGAATTGCCTTCAGCTCATGCACAGGTGTCTGGCTTCTTAGAACACAGAATCAAGAGAATCAAAATCTTATAATGGGTCCTCATATGTGGCTACTGAGTGCATCTCTTGCCCTTCTGATTTCAAGGGATCATGAAAGAAGGATGCTAGTGAGTCTCCCTAAACCCATTCAACATAAAGTAAGCAGGATTTGGCACAAGTAAGCTTTGTGTGAACTGCTGTCATGTGGATACAAAAAATAGAACTGGGCAGAAATTGGCCTGGAGGCTTACCTTGAGATAAACTGCCATTCCACATAAGGGATAAAATGTTTTGTCAAAAGAAGACTCATTCATCTCCACCTCATGTGTCTTCAATCTGATGACCAAATTCTTGACCAATAGTAAATAGACTCCTAACTGTGGCAGAGGAGAAAGAGGTTCTAGAAATTACCAGCTGAGTGTTCTTGGGTAGGTTTCATCACTTCTCTGAACTGTAGCCTATTAAATTAAACAACTATTTCCTCAGGTTGTTTCAAGATTCAATGAGATGACAGATAACTTATCTAGCACAGTATCTGTTATATGCTAAGCACTCAATAAATGTTAGATGTATTTCCCTTTATCACTCTTCAATAGTCAGACTGTGCACTACTGAGCATTCTTCTTATTTTGAAGGCCTTTTGGCATTTTGCTAAATAAATTGTTTAATTAAAATCTAGCACAGAGCAGGATAATAGCCTCCGTGAGTGAAGGGATCATGTCTTGTCTTTTTCTCTAATATATTACCTTGGTGCTTGCTGTGTATTAGATGCTTGAGAAATATTTGCAGAAATAATCGAATATATGAGTATATGAATGAATAATTTGATCATACAATAAAGTCCTGGTATTGGGAAAGGGAAAGATAACATTTATTCAGTGCTTATCCTGTGCTTATCATCTTGATATACACTCTCCAGTCACTGATCCATTCAATTTTCTCAATTTTTATTCCATTTTCAGAAGATGAAACTACAGCTTAATTAACTTGACTAAGGTCATTTGGCCACTAGGAGGTTTAGCTGGGCTAGAAAACCAAGTCTGTCTACTTTCTACGCCTGCTATGGGAAGTCATGGAACTAGGAACTACCCAAAGCAGAGACCAATTCTTAACCATCTTTAATTCCTGTTATCAGTTAAATTACATACCCCCAAAATATATGATGAAGTCCTAACCCCTAGTACCTCAGAATGGGGCCTTATTTGTAAATAGGATCATTGCAGATCTAATAGTTAAGATGAGATAATCCACTATGACTGGTGTTCTTAAGAGAAAAAGAGAGACACGCAGGAAGATGACCATGTGATGAAGGAGGCAGAGATTGGAATAATGTATCTACAAGCCAAGGAATGCCAAGGGTGGTCAGCAAACAACACAAGCTGGAAGATGTAAGGCAGGGTTCTCCCCTATAGATTTCAGAGGGATCATAGCCCTACAGACACCATTATTTCAAACTTCTAGCCTCTAGAACAGTGAGACAATAAATTTCTGTTGTTTTAAGCCACCTGGTTTGTGGTACTCTGTTATGGCAGCCACAGGAAGCTAATACATACCTCTGTACAAACAATTGACTATCATATTAGAGGAGCTCGATGCATATGTATTGACTTAATTTCAACTCAACTGCCCTGGGAAGAATGCTCTTCTCTATTGCTGGAGATGTGCAAACACAAGTGGAAAAACTATTATATGGTTATGTTATTAGGGGATTTAAATCATTTCTAAGGACCCACCTAAACCAGATCCTATGAACTTGAGATCTGAAAACTTGAAGGAGAATTATTCTGGGGCTGTATTACTACATTTGGAGAGGTAACTCTGCCTAGTGTTTCTAGCACAGTTAGATTTCTATAAAGGTATCCAATCTTGTGATCTACAGCCATCAATAAGAAAAAGTATTTTTTAAATGCTGTTCAGGTATTTCTGAATGATTTACTCATCTTCAAACAGTGTTTGTACTCCATGTGCATTATGGCTTTAACTGCTTTCTTTATATCTTGCAATTTTTTAGACCTGGAAAGGAAAATGTATGTTTCAGGTATAAAATACCCTCTTGAACTAAGAAAGGAATGACTGAGACTCGCCAAGCCTTCAACAGATCCCCAAGTTCCTCACTTCCTCTTGGAACGTAAGGAGTATTAAATGACTATGAATGTGGAAACCACCAAAGCTGCAAATGAAGCAAACTGTATAAATTTAAAATTCCTGCTCTTGTGTATGTTCCTTGCTGGAAATAGAGAGCTCCTCCTTTTTATTGTTAAGGGAGTATCAGTTTATTTTTTCAGATTATTCCCACTATTGAATATTGACTTATCATTTATACAAAACTGTAAACAGGAGCCTAATACCTGAGACCAATTGTAGATTATGGAAATGTGCTCATCTTCTCTGTAGGGATTCATCTTCTTATGGGGAGAATTTCACAGAGATAAATATAATTGCTTTGCATAGGTTTGCAAGAAAGTTTAGTGTTCCTAGCTATCAGATGAGGAAAGGAGAGTAGAAAAGGACTAACATTCACTAAGAACCTACTAGGGACCAAGTTCTATGCATGGTACTAAATTTAATGATACTAACACACTGAAGCATAATTACCCTCTGTTTTGATAGAAGACAAAATAGAGGCCCAGAGTGGTGCCCAGACTTTCCCAGGGCTAGTGAAGGAGCAGAGCCAGGGTTCAAACCTGTCTGTCTGCCTGTAAAGTTTAATCTCTTTTCATTTACTGCATTGCCTTTCTGAAATGGAATAGGAATTTCTCAGATAGGGGTGAATGGAGTAATATTTATTAACGTCAACCTAAACCTTGTGCTCTTCCAAGTTATCTGATAGATTCGCTCCAAGGAGCCATTAAGAAAAGCCACTGGTCCAAGGGCTATAAATTAACACTTTCCTCATACACAGCTATAAGCAGCTCTTTAAAACCTGGGTATTATCGTCCTTAAAATAAGTATGTTTTCTGGGCATTTATGCTCTATCACTCTTGGTTTTTCCATCCTTGACTCCATTAAAAGAATTCTTCTTATTTCCTTTTCTCTTTTTATGGCTTTGCAAGGGGCTAATTTGCAGGCAAAATTGCTAATTTTAAAGCTGCTTTCTGCTTTGTCAGCATGAGACTGACTGAGGAGTTATTAATAGAAGAATAGGATTCCCTTTTCATCCTTTTGCTCTTGACTGTTGCAGGAGGTGGGACAAAAATCCATTATTTAATAACATTTGTTCTTCTTGAAAGGTCATCATTCCAGCCTTTTAGTTTCCACTAAACTGCAGCAGTATCAGCAGCAATAGCAGCCACTTTCTCTTCCTGAAAGGCTTCTAGAATTCCTCCACGCTGCATGGCTGGTATAAGACTGTCTTTGAGATGCACCTTGGAAATGAGGTCCATGCAGGAAAATTCTCTCAGTTATTTCTATGCATTTTCCAAATAGTAATTTCTAGCCATAAGTATTTGTAGTTGCCCCGAGTCATCTGCATGTAGATTTCTGGAGCATAGGGTAAATGTGGTGTATATCAGTTAGGAATTGCATTCTGCGGCTAGTAGCAGAGAATAGAAATAGCAGTGGCCTAAAGAAGAGAGAAATTTATTTTTTACATTAAAAAAATCTTAAAATAGGCATTCAGGATTGGTATGTGACCTCACATTGTCATCACGGACCCAGCTTCCTTCTGCTTTTCCATTTACTGTCACAATCATGTGGTTTCCATTCTCACGGATGGCCCACAGTCTAAGACACAGGTGATTCTAAGCAGGAATCAGAACATGAGGGCGAAGGGCAAAAAGGGATAGATCAGCTGTCTGTCCTTCTCTTATGTGCTTTCCTAGAAGACTCCCCAACAATTTCTGTCTACATCTTCAAGCTGCAAGGGAGGCTTGGAAACATCATCTTTTTAGCTGGGCCCATTGCTGCCTCCACTAAATTAGAGTTTTCTTACTAGGAGAAAGGATAGGACAATATTAGAGTGGCAAATGGCATATCTGCCACATGGAACAAAGAGAATGACTAAATAAATTAAGCCAGTAAAACCTCTATTAAGCACCGGTTTTGTGCCTAGAAATAAAATAATAGAAAGTTTTGATTAATCCCTTTAAGGAACAAAAGCTTATTGCTCATGTTGTCTTCTTAGCCTGGAATGCGTTCCCCTTCCTTGCCCACCTGGAAAACTTCAATTAATCATTTAAGATTGCTCTCAAACATTACCTGCTCTCTGATGCTTCTCGGAGTTTCCACCCTTTAATCCCAGAAGGAATTCATCAATGGCTCAGCTCTGACCCTGGAATACTTTATCCTCACTTTTATTTGCCCCTTATATCCTCAGGGGCAGTACAACTGCAGTGAAGATAACATGGGAGATAGATAACACTGGCTTCAACTCGCATCTGTCACTTTGGACTAGATACTTTTGCCCTTTGAGCTGCAGTTTCCTGTCTCTAGAATACAGAACGTTAATTCCCATATCGGGGCATTTGTGAAGATTAAATGAGATGATATGTGACAAGCATGGCTGCAGGAAATTCTTAAAATATTTTAGTTCATCTTATGCTCTATCATATGCCTGTTATGATTTACAGAAAATATTTTTAACTTTCAGTCTTATTTAAACAACTGGTATTTTGTAGGGTTTTGTTGTTGTTTATCACAGTCAGCTGAAATTTAACATATTAATAAAGTCTCTGGAGATATATTACTCATATAACGTTTCCTTAAAAACCTACCTGAAGATATACTTAATCCAAAATAGAGAGACAGCAAAATTCAATGATCAAAAACAGGAAAATTTGATATGAAGAATGAATGAATACTAATCTATGCAACTTAGGATTTAGGCTCAATAATGATAGTTACAAAGTGAGACTGTTATAAAACAGTCTCTTGAAAAAAAATTAACATAAATAATGTGAAAATAACAATAAATTAACTATAATAAATAGATACAAACTTTCCAGGTTACATAAGCAAACAAAAAAATAGAGTAAAAGAGTAAAAATGGATGAAAATGAACCTACGTGATTGCCCTTCTTTGTCACAGAAGAGACCTAGTAGACAGCATTCTGTTGCTGAAGATGCTATACTATGAAATGTAAATGTGGGAACATTACTTACAATTACAAATATAACTATGAATTGAGCTAAAACCAAAGTATACACCTTTCAAATTACTAGGTGAGAAGATCAAAGACAAAATCTCATAGTATAGCTAAATTGTTTTAAAGGGAAGATGAAAGCAAGCACATATTTTTGAAAAAAAACAGAACACGAAAAACAACAGATGTAAGACCACAATCATTTTGTGAAAATAATAACTAATAATTAAAATAGGATAAATGATTAAATACTATTTAATTGCTTATACTAAATCAAAATAAAAACTGATATGCCTAAAAACATTTCAGAAAACATTGATATAAAGGAAGGATGGGGGAAAACCAGACTAATGAAAAAACACAGAATACATTATTATTATTATTATTATTATTATTACCAAACAAACATGAAATTAAGGTAAAATGAATTAAATGCCCTAAACAAGGAGAATTACCAAAAATACAATAGATAATAGACTATAACTCTTAATAACTCTTTAAACATTGAAATAAATAGCATCAAAATATATGAAGCAAAACTCATTGAAAAATGCAGGTTAGGTAGTTTAAAAATTGTAGGAACAGAGACCTTAACCAACACAATAAGTAATTTGACATAATGGAAGTAAAGCTAGAGAAATATATAGATATCTAAATAAAAATAGAGCTAAATCAAAGTTTACCATCTGTAAATATAAAATATACATCTTTTTAAGGGCTTATAGATTTAATAAAGAACATGTATTAAAATTTTTTAAACCTCTATGAAACTTGGGAAATGAAACTATTACATACTACATTTTCATACAAAAATGCAATAATGGTAAAAACTAATAACAAAGCAAATTTAAAAATGTTGAATCAGAAATACAGACACGGTCTTAATTTATATGCCATAGAAGAGAATATCTAGAAAATACATAGACATATCTGAAAAACTACAAAATGGAATACTATTGTGGAAATCTACTTAACTTTGCCAAGATGTACCAAGAAGAGAAGTCACTGAATTTTAGTAAATTAAAATATATTAATTATATACTTAAGTAAGATAAAATAAGTCAAATGGCATAATTGCTAAATAAAGCCAACAAGAGTTCCCTTGAAAAAATAAATAAAACAAATCAGCCATTAGTTTGCCTAACAAAAATAAACCATGAAATCGAGAATTAAATAAAGAAAAATATACCAGACCTACAGGAGAAGTTATTTCAAATAATATTTGTAAAACTCTATTGTAATAATTTTTGAAATTCTGAATAAAATTGATTATTATCTAGGAAAACATATGGATTTAAAAGTAGATTCAAGAAACAAAATTTGTGATTTTGTTCTGTGAATATGGTATACTAGAAATCCTGTGAATCCTCTCACTGTAAAACATTTAGAAATAATACATAAAATAAGAAAAGGTTATACATGAAAGCAGAACTGAGCTTACAAGACTGTAATTAAAATCTTTAATAATGAGATAAAAAGCATAGGCCTAAATTTGGACAGGTAAGCAAACACTAAAAAAGGCAGCTGCCCTATGTATAATTACAGAAACAAATATTTATTATAACCTACAATCTGCCCAGTGCGAGATTAGGCCAGTGCAATCTGAGAAGTATAAATAGAGACCCCAAAAAGAGCTGAGATCTCCAAATCATTGTATCGCTGTATCATTAGTAGATATATACAGAAATAAATATGTGAAGAAAAAATTATGAGATCATAGCAAACCAAAACTCCCATTGCAACAACCAAAAAGTGCCATAAATATTTATAAAATTATGTTGCTAAAGACTATATAAATGCTTTGGAAGCAAAAAAGACTAAAGAAATTGGAATTCCAGGGACACGAGAACCTTTCTAAAATGAGGTGATATCACTGACATTTTCTCTCCTTGGGGTGTGGCTCATGCAAAGGGTTTCTCACCAAAAGTGAGGTTTTTGGTGGTCACACATGGAAGGCATGGCAGATTGAAATATGAAGAGCCATAATATTCTACATTTTTTTGCCCACAACATATTTGTTGCACATGGGAGGTGGGGTTGATAAACTCCAAGGGTAGAGTAAATTCTCCCACACCTTTCCGTCTTTGGAGACAAAATCTTACTAAAAGACGAAGGCATGCATAAAACCCACAGCTGGTCTTCCCTCAAGATAATTGCCAGATTTGGAGGTTTCAGGGGTGGAAGGCTAAAAATTGAAAATTAAAACCTCCAAAGAGCAGAGCTAAATCTCCAGAAATCTTTCAAGAATGAGCAGACAGATAGCCATTGACTGCTCAATCAAAATCCAGGAGGGCAGCACGTGAGGAAATGAAATAAATGAAGGTCATTTCACTAAGCTGCAACAGCCTGAATCCAGTTCAATGCATGTTTAGATTAAGGTGATTAGCCATTATCCTACTTAGAAAACTGAAGCATAGACAGAAGAAAAAGAAAGGAAAAAATAGACAAAGTATAAAGGACACATGGGATACATCAAGATGGGAAATATAAACACATGTCTTATTTGTGTCTTTAGAGTACCAAAAGAGGAGCAGAGAGCAAAAGACACAAATGAAATATTTGAAGATCTACTAGAAGAGAGTTTTCAAAATGCATCACAGAAAACCCCCCAACCAATTCAAGAATCTCCATAAACTCCAAGCAGGTTAAAAACTTATCTAATCGAATTTCTGAAAACCAAAGACATGATATATAGCTATAGATAGATAAATATAGATGTAGACATAGAGTATATATGTATGTATATAAAAATATATTTACACACACACATGCACACATATACATACGTGTGTGTGTATAAGAAGAGGTAGAGAGACAAAGAGAATGCTAAAAGCAGCCAGAAAAAAAAAGACACTTGCCTAGCAAGGAGTAACAATAAAACTGACAGTACCTTCTTTAATAGAACCTATGGAAGCCAGAAGAAAATGGGTTATGTTTTTAAAGTGCTGAAAGAAAAATTTGTCAACCTTTAATTTGTACCTAGCGAACATATTTTCCAAAAAGGAAGCCCATATAGTGATCCTTTTAGACCAAAAAAATGCCAGAAGTATTAATCAGCAACAGACCAAAAATTAAAGAAGCCTTAAAGAAAATTCTGTCTGAAAGAAAATGAACCCATATGGAAGAACAAAACTGTAAGAGAAAAATGAAGAACTAGAAGGGGTAAGCATGTAGTTAAAAATAAAGCATATGGGCTCATTGAAATGATAATATCTTTAGAAAGTTATGACATACATAGAAGTAAATTACATGAGAATAATAGTAAAATGGGTGGGAAGGAGGTAAATGAGGTTACACTGTTTTAAGATCTGTGTATTTAGAGTGGTAAAAGTTCTTATTTAAAATTATTGTAATAACTTAAGAATTAATGCTGTAGTCTCTAGGGTAACCACCTAAAAAATAAATATACTTAAATAAAAATGAGTACAAGAGGAAATATTGAATAATTCAAAAGTGAGTGTTCCAAAAAAAGGAGGAAAAATAAAGTAACATGGAACAGATGGTCCAAAATGAAAACAAATAGCAAGCTAGTAAAGTCAAATCCAATTACATTAACATTATTTTAAATGTAAATGGACAAAACATTCCAGTTAGAACGCAGATATTGTCAGATTGAACTAAAAAAAATTGCCCAACTATATGCTGTCTCCAAAAGACACTGTTCAAATAAAATATAAAAAAAAGGGAACTGAAAGAATGGAAAAACATATATAAACAATAACAAACAAGAAACTGGTATACTTGTGTCAGAGAAAGCAAGCTATCAGACAATAATGATTCCTAGAGCTAAAAAGACTTTTATAATGATAAAGGGGTCAGTACACAGAAAGATATAACCACCCTGAATTTGTAAACATGTAATAATATAGATTCAAAATATATAAAGCAAAATACGACAAAATAGAACACAGAAAAAGACAAATCCTCAATTGTAGTTAAAGAGTTTAACATACCTCTCAGTAAGTATAGAAAAAAGATACAAAAAAATCAGCAAGGCTATAGAAAATATAAATAACACAATTACAGTTATTAATATCTATAGTATACTATATCTGTTTTAGTCTGTTTTCACACTGCTATAAAGAACTACCTGAGACCGGGTAATTTTTGAAGAAAAGATGTTTAATTGACTCACAGTTCTGCATGCTGTAAAGGAAGCATGGCTGGGAGGCCTCAGGAAAGTTACACTCATGGTGGAAGGTGAAAGGGAAGCAAGCACGTCTTACGATGGCAGAGCAGGACATAGAGAGTGAAGGGGGAAGTGTTACAGGCTTTTAAACAACCAGATTTCATGAGAACTCACTCACTATCATGAGAACAGCATGGAGGAAATCCACCCTCATGATCCAATCACCTCCCACCAGGTCCCTCCCCCAATATTGGGAATCACAATTTGACATGAGATTTGGGTGGGGACACAGCCAAACCATATTAACATCCAACAACTGCAAATGATACAGTCTTCTCTAGTGCACCTGGAATTTTTTTTAATTGACCATAGGCTGGTACTGAGCCATAAGAAAAACAAAACAAAACAACAACAAAAAACACCTGTTTTAACAAAACACATACTTATCTTGAAACACTCCCTCTGGGGGAAGCCAGCTGCCATGTAAGAAAGTCCAACTACCCTGAGACCATTATGTAATGCAGAAGGCTAAGCAAGCCAGTTGGAAAGGCAATGTGGAGAGAGAAAAATGCCCATCCTCCCCCAACTCCAGATACTTTAAGTGTTTGAAGAAGGCTTCAGGTGACTCTAGTTTCAATGACTATTTGACTAAGATCCCATAAGACACCTCAAATAAGAAATGACCACCTCAACCCAATCAATGCTCCAGAGCCATATGAGATCATAAATTGTGATCTCAAACCTCTGGGTTTTGTGCTGCTTTGGTATGCAGTGTTGAATAAATGAACAAGCAGTGCAATGAGTATCTCTATACCCCATTTACCACCAAGGAGGAAGTGGGGTATTGTCCCCTCACTTCTGGTAAAGAGAAAGGGTTTTCCTTTAATGTATATGCTCCTAGAACTTGGAATATGTCTCTGAAAATTAGGAATACTTAGTAGACGTATGTCCGGCTCTTCCTTAAAAATCTAGAGAATGTACCATTGCTGCTGCATCAGGATTGGCCTGCATTCCCAGAATTGTTCAGGCAAAAAATATGAATGAATATATTTCCCATGGAATGTGAGAGAAAGTCCATGGACAGATAGTGTTAGGTTCTGCATAATAGGACTTCCTACTGCATAGAGGAGCAAAGGTCTGCAGCACTCAGAAGTCACAATAGACACCCTGATTCCTAGGGACTGAGGCCTGATCAAGAAATCCCCAGCAACAGAGGAACAGGAACTCTCAGCATGACCCATGGTTTTCCCACTGCAAGTAGACATGCTTAAATCTAGGACAAGGAGGGAGACTTAACTTTCATCTTAAATCTGCGGTGCTTTTGATCAGAAGGGTTACAGTTCATCTAAAGTTTCTTGAGAACAGAAGAATATCCCTCAGTGAATAAAGTTTTAAAACATAAAGATGCTCTCTGATTCCATTCAATAAGTCCTTTTTTTTAAAAAAAGTGTGATGGTTACGACATTAAATATTTCAAATAATCTTTACAAAAATATTAACACTTATTTTCTCATGTAATTCTTAGTGATTTTTATTTTCTTCATCATGCTGCTTTTTCTTGTTAGATTTTTTATGACTAAAATACAGCATTTTTATCACAGGAATAAAAGGAGTTCTTTCCACTCTAAACTATAAATCAGAGAATTGAACAAAAAGATTGCATAATATTTCCCAGATTTAAAAATTCTACGATACTAGTAAGCAACAAGTGTGTGTCTGTAATATTTTCTGCCCTTGGGAATTCACCTACTTGAGTCTGAGAAGTCCATTGGCAGCTAGCAGAAAGGTGACATGAAATCCCAAAGCTAGAACTTTACCAGAAAATAAGTCCAGAAGGAGCCTGACTTGGGAGGCCACTTTCTCTAAGTGCTTTGGCAACAAGCCTTGTGGCTAACAGAAGGAAGATGCAGGCTCTAAAGTGTTTGGCCAGCTCTATCCCTTGCCTGATCTACATTGCTGAATCACCACTTCAGCCATCTGCTTCACCTTCTTTTCTGAAGAGCAGTTTCTGATTATTGTTGTGGCTTATATTAATTTTTTTTTCTTGAACTTTTTTGTGCTATCATGCTTATTATTTCATTGAGCTATTATGCTATGCTAGTTGAGTTTTATATACACTTTTTACTTCTTTTAATAACCCTCCCCATATTCACGATCAGAAAATTGTAGTTCAGTGAAATGTAGTTTTTTGCTCATTGTCCAATGATTAGAAGAGTGGACAAACCGGGATTTGCAAACATCCAAAGGCTGTGTTTCTTCCCATCCCCGTTCTGGTGCATAAACAGGTGGAGCTGGTGCTCTAGAACATGTGAATCAATGAGACATTGCTGTCCAGTCTCTAAATGGTTAATATTCTTGCCTGCTCCTGTTCAAGCTTCTTGGAAGAAGGTGTTGGATCTTTGTGCTATAACATCTATTATGACATTAACTTCAAAGCATTCGACCTGGGCGTTTGATCTACCGGCCTGCTTTTCTGACACATGCTGGAAAATAAAAGTAGGAAACCAAGAATGGTTCAGTCATACTTGTTAAACATTTACAGTGCCAGTCAGGAAAGATGTTGACCTTAAAATTAAGAATTAGAAGCACACATTCCATAAAAGAAATCAGTTCAATAAAAACAAAACCAGCGAGGCTGGGGAGAGGCTTCTGGGTGCCCGCAGGAGACGTGAAGCATAAGCAGCCACTAAATGACATATTTTCCTCTGGCTTTCACTATTTATGGTACAGCGCCAGGGTGGTGCAGTTTTGTCCTGCACACATGTTTTTAATGAGAGAAGGGAGGAAACCATGCCATTTTTGTAGTTTCAAAGGCATGAGAAATAGGAAGTGGTTTCAGGAGGGGCAGAAAAAGTGGGCAGTCTACTGTTGCTGCCTCCTCAGTGTGTGACGTGACATTTAAGACATCAGGCCTATAATCCCAACACATTGGGAAGCCGAGGCAGGAGGGTCACTTGAGGCCAGGAGTTCAAGACCAGCCTGGGTAACATAGAGAGATCCTGTCTCTACCAAAAAATTTTTCAAAAAATTACCTGAGGCAGGAGGGTCCCTCGCACCAAGGAGTTTGAGGCTGCAGTGAGCTCGCTATGATCACGCCACTTCACTCCAGCCTGGGAGACAGAGTGAGACACTGTATCAAAAAAAGAAAAAAAAGAAGAAGATAAAGAAGAGAAAAAGAAGAAAAAGAAGAAGAAGGAGAAGGAGAAGAAGGAAAAAGTACTCAGGTAAACAGAAGAATTCAAGTTGTTACAGACAGGTCTGCCTTTGAGGTCAGGTATTTAATATATTTGTATTGTGATAAAATATACATAACATAACTAGTTTCCATAATTTTGTTTAAATATATGTCCCTACTACTGGAATGTCAGCTCTTTATGAACAGAAGACCTCACCTATTTAATTCACTGAGTTGTTCTCAGCACTAATGACACTGCCTGTCAAATAGTAACTATTTAATAAATACCTACTAATTGTAATATCGAACAAAATGGGCTTTTGAGATGTTATCAGACCAGATTGCTTGCTGGGCTCTATTTAAACTTGGAGAATCAAGTATGGTATAGCTTAAATACTGACTTCGGTGGATTGCTAAAGGCTGTCCCTGGTATTGTAATGAGCATGGTTCTGATTGGTGTAGCCAGAGCCAGAGCACGCAGAGCCTTTTAAGCCAGATGCCCTCTTCATAGAACGTCCTTTCCCCAGGTATTCATCTGGCTCACTGCCTCTTCTCCTTCCAACCTTTGCTTCCATGGCCCTTCCTTTACGAGACATGCATTAACAATCCTATTTAAAATGGGAGATAATTCTCTTTCCTTAAATTTCTTGCCCTTCTTTTTAACTTGTTTTACTCTTTTGCGCTTATCCTGATCTGACTATCTTGTCTATTTCCTGCCTCTCCTTAATAAAATGTAGTCTAGAAGGGCAGAAATTTTGTATCTTCTTTGTTCACTGTTGTAATTCAGTACCTTGAACAATTACTGTGCATACTAAGGGTTCAATTAATATTTCATAGATGAATGAATAAATAAATGACTGAAAAGACTTTTTTCTTAGGGGCAATGTAGAAATGTGAATCTTTGAAAGTTTTTTGTTTTGTTTTGTTTTGTTTTGTTTTGTTTTTGCAGAGGAGTAATCAGATCTGCAATGTTTTATCTCTGACGATTATAAGAATTTTGTAATTCCAAATTTCAGACCACTGCCCTCTCCCACTAACTTATTTTCCTACAGTGTAGGTGTGCACTAGAACCAAGTGTTTTTTTTTTCCCATCCAACTGTCCATAAAGGAAATATACAAACATCTTTTGGGCTTGTTTTTTAAGTATTTACTTGAGTAAATACAGAAATCCAGACAGAGTTTAACAAATGAAAAATAGCTACCAATTTAAAAGGTACTGCAGGCTAGGCACCCATACTACCGCAAATAATAGTTCCCTTCTAATTCTTGGTTACAACAGGCCAGGATCTATGCAAAGTACCTCATATACTTTATTCTCACAGAAAGAGAATGATCTAGGAACTATTATTATGTCCATTTTATAGCTAAGGAAACTGAAGCACATATGAATTGCATGGTAGCCTTGGGACTTAACAATTCTAAACCATGATTCTAGACATCTTACCTATGTTTATCTCATTTCATCCTATTACCCATTGAGAAACAGACACTCTTGTTCAACAGGAAGCTAAGGGCTTACTGAAGGTCAATTAACCAATTGCAAAGATATAGGTAATGCCAGATTTTTCTAATGTAAAAATCCTTTCTCTTTTAAGTATACTGCAATTCCTCCTCCAACAAACTGTTAGAGGAAACAAAATACATGAGAAATGTTATTATACGTATTAGCCTTAATTGTCTCTGTTCTATATGAAAATGTGAATTATCTCTCATTCACTAAGCATCCCCTTCATGCCTTTGGAATCAAGCCTACCAAAACTCCACTTCGGAAAGCATAGCAGGCAAAATCTCTCAGCCTTTAATCAACACTAAAGGCAGGTTGGCAACCCTGCCAGTCTGTAGATTTCTCAATTACATCTAGAGCAGAATGTGTGGGACTCTATGACTCATGGCTTTCGCCACTAAGTCTTACCAGTGATCCTGGACCTCTTGGGATCTATTCTGGTTCCAAACCATCAGAAGCATGGTGTACTTCCTTAACTTGTACCCAGATGCTTCTCTCCTGAGTTCCATCCTGCTCCCCTTCCAAAGACGTCTATGGTTCTAATTCCTGCAAGTCATAATATCTATTATGGACTATTTCTATCTTTTCTGAGTGACTTGCCATGATCAGTCTTACTAGAGAATAGGAAATAACATCTATTTTATGTCAGGTGTCATATAAGCTGTATATCACTTAACTGCGGCAACAATCTTAGAAGTCAGGCAGGTATTATTTTATCCCTTTTATAGACGATGAAATAAATATTTAGAGAAGTTAATCCCAAAGTTACCTAGCAAGTAAGAAATGATGTTCGGAATGAACTCATGTTGGACTGTAAATGTGCAGTTAAAACTATTTCCGCCCTTGGATATTTCATTCATTTTCTGTTGCTGAAAACAAACAAACAAACCTCAAATTTAGCAGCTTAACACAGTACCCATTTTTTAATCTCTCAGCTTTGTAGGGCTGAAGTCTGGTATTGAGGGTTCCCTGCTTAGGCTGAAATTAAGGTGTCAGCTGGCTGTGTTCTCGTCTAGGGCTCAGGGACTTCTTCCAAACTAATTCCCATTATTAGCAGAAGTCAGTTCCTCATGGTTGTAGGATTGAGTCCTGTTTCCTTGCTGGCTGTCAGCTGTGGTTGCTCAGCTTCTAGAAATTACTCACATTCTTTGCCACGTGGCCCCCTCTAGCTTTAAGCTGGTAACAATGCATCGAATCTTTCTCATACTTTTCTAATCTTCTAACTTCTCCTTCTAATAGCAGCCAGAAAAAAAAATATTTGCTTTTAAAGGGTTCATGTGATTATATTGGAGTCACCCACGTAATCTCCCTTTTGTCATAAAATACATCATAATTACAGGAGTGATATGTCATCATATCCACAGGTTCCATCAACACTCAGTGGGAAGGGTAGACGAGGAAGCAGCTCATTGGAAATCATTCTTAGAATTGTGCCTTTCACAGATGTTCTAAACCTGAAACTGAAGCCTGGTATTTCACTGGCAGCCACGTGGCCTCAAAGCAGGCATCAATATCCTAGTAGCTTTCCTACAATCCACAAAGTTCCTAAAACAGCCAAGAGTAGATTTCTATCTTTTATTGTTTCTGTCTTTTCCAGTTTCATGAGGTGCCTTCATTCTCTCCACGGGTTGGCTGGGCTAGACAAGGACTGATGCCAGTAACAAATATTATCTAATACATATGATGATGAGAAAGTGGTGGAAGAGAAGTAAAAGTTAAAAGATACGTTCCTCACCACACTCCCTCCTATAATTTTTGTAGACTTGTTGAGTGTCATATAAACTTCAGACTGCCAGAATGAAAGCTCCACGTTGGTGCCCACAAAATGAAACTTAAAATGAAATGGCTACCAACAACTGGTGCTAATTGTGATTCAAAACTGAGGATAAAGAGGTCTCTTCAACTGAATCAAAGGGCACTGCTATCTACAGAGCTGCTGGCCTATGCTGTCCCCTGCTCACCACTGCACACAACTTGAGGCAACACATCGGCCTCAGATTTTAATAAGCGTCCCTGCAGGAGCATACGGAAAGTGGTCATTCTAACTTGAAAGAACAGAAGGATCCCATAACACTCCAAAGTGGAAGGGCACATCCTGGTGGAATACTTTAGCCAGTAGGAACTTTCTGTCTACCTCAGGATTTCTTGTCATCTGTCATATATCCAACAATTAAATGGAAATTTACAGCTGCCAGTTTTCTAAATAGCTCTCCTCCGTATCCTTTTCTGAGACCCTGAAAACTTCCAAAGCATCTTGTTCTCAGCTGTTTAAGAGACTGTGAATCTTTTCAGCTTATCCTGTATTGCCATCATTTTTCTTATCACCTCTGCAAATCTATTGTTACCTTCCTGGGTGTGGAAACTCTGCCTAATTGTATATTTTTATATAACTCAATGCCTGGTACATAATAATAGATTAACAAAATATTTAGTAACCCACCACTAGTCAAATCAGTGTATTCTGTGTCATTTTTCCTGTTGTGCTGTTTTATTTCTAAATATCCTTTAAGACCAAAGTAACTCCTAAGCGAATTAACACAGGAACAGAAAACCAAATACCACACATTCTTATTTATCAGTGGGAGCTAAACATCTGGTACTCATGGACATAAAGATGGCAACAATAGACATTAAGGACTACTAGAGAGGGAAGGGAGGGAGGGGTAGAAGGGTTGAAAAACTAACTGTTGGGTACTATGTTCAGTATCCGGGTGATGGGATCATACATATCTCAAACCTCAGCATCACACAATATACCCAGGTTACAAACCTGCACACGTACCCCTGAACTTAAAATAAAAATTGATAAAGAAAAAAAAGATTTGTTTTATAACCAAGAGAAAAATACCAAGGTTACATAGTTATGAGTTAAGGGGTTATATTTAGGTACTGATTATTAGGGTGCGCTAACCAGAGATTTAACTTCTGTCTCTCCTTGCAGCCACAGTGTGAGCTTGTGAAGTGCATCTGAGATGGATTCACAAAGATCTAGTGAAAGGAACAAAACCACAGGGATGAACTGACAAAGTTCAAACAGGGACTGATAAATCCGGAGAAATGATGAGCTCCAAAGGAGGGTTCAGTGTGGGTACCACCAACCTCTTGCACTACTCAGACCTATTTGTCCTTTCTTATTAATATGAAGCTCCAGGTATACATAATAATTCCATATTTTAAAATAAAGGTGTTCTCACTCTTTCTCTTGGAGGAGAGGTGGAAGTCCAACAATGCACACTCAATGTGGTGGCCAGTTGTGATCTCCTGGAAGACTAAAGCAAGGGAGTTTGTAGAACAAGCTACAATACCACTACAGTATAGTTTGTCTAGAGGGCACAGCTGATATTTCTCCACTGCTATCTCCACTATCCATTCTAGTTTCCCCTCATCCTTGTCTAGCATGTTAGCTGGTCTGAGCTGCTTGCCTGGTGAGGTGACCTCGACCTTAATCCCAAAGGCCTGAGTGTTTAGTTGCTATATTCTTTTTCAAGTATGTTTGCTGAAGTTGCTCATAGATAGTCATTACCACACATGCAAGTATGAAGAGACACCCCAATGATTTCCACGGATTCCAGATTGGCCTGCATAGTATGGTGGTCACCCTTTCTCCTCACAGTGACAGGGTAAGTTACCACAGCCACTATAGCAATGCTCTCCCTGGCCTATTGCTCTACCAATACACGACGAGCTAAAAGTAATTAGATGGTAGTCACAGCACCCAGTTTAGTAGAACTTACTGTATTCCTGGAAATGAGTTTGCCCTCACCACAGAACTAGGATCTGAATCCTAGCAGAACCAAAGATGAAGGAAATGAAAACACAGATTCCACAACTAGATCTCTGAGCATAAATCCAAGCGGTAACTCTCAATTTCATCCCTTGTTTCCCAGAGCCATAGATTTTAATTAAACAAGACAAAGAACTATCAGTTTAAAATATATGCCTTATCCTGAAGGGCAGCATTCCACCCCGTAAGCATTGTCCCACAGCCTGTATCTAAGCAGATCCTTCAAAGGCCATCCCACCCTTCTATGAGGCTGACTATTTCTAGGTGATAGGGTACATAGTAAGAACACTAAACCCATAATCATGAGCCCATTGTCGGGCCTCCTTTGCTTTAAAGTGGGCCTCTCAATCAGAGGCAATTTTGTGTGAGACCCACATGAATGGATAAAACTTTCTGTGACCTTTCAGATGGTAGTGATGGAAAAGACTTCATAGGAAAGTAGTCAAACCTATATCTGGAGTATGTGTCAATTCCAGGAAAGATACATGGCTTGAATGACTTCCTATTCCAAAGTAAAAAGGATTTTCATGTTGTGATCTGCCACCAGATGGCTGCCTGGTCTTCCTAAGTGATTGTGCCCTGGTATTTGCTGCTACTGGATTTGCATTTAGCAGTGACAACGACTAAAACGGTCTCGGTGAGGGAGAGCTTATGTTGTTAAGTCCATATATAATCTATGTACATGCCACCATGGCCACTCTATTGCACAAATACTGGTGCCAAGAAAAGAATATGATTGACATCCTAAGCACAGATAATACTGTCCCCTTGCATTGGATATTCTCTGGTGGCATTAAATGTGAGACATAGAGTTTTGTACATTCTGACAATTATACCACCATCCTGTTCTTAATGATACACATTAGAGAAATCATAGAATTCCTTTGGTTTAAGGATTTTTTTTCAGATCTAGACTTGTGCTTTTCTTTCAGCATTGACTGACACCTGACTCTATCAACCAAGAGATAATGAGAGGTAGTAAGGTTGAGTCTTGAAATAAAAAGAAAAAAAAAAAGAGGGCCGGGTGCAGTGGCTCACACCTGTAATCTCAGCACTTTGGGAGGCTGAAGATGGGGGGATCACGAGGTCAGGAGATCGAGACCATCCTGGCTAACACGGTGAAACCCCATCTCTACTAAAAATACAAAAAATTAGCCAGGCATGGTGGCGGGTGCCTGTAGTCCCAGCTACTCAGGAGGCTGAGGCAGGAGAATGGCGTAAGTAAACCCAGGAGGCGGAGTGAAAGAGCGAGACTCCATCTCAAAAAAAAAAAAAAAAAAAAAAAAAGGATGATCTGATGAAGCACATGCTTCAGGTGAAATTATTACATCATCTCTAGCAAAAGGGAGGCTGGTCTCTTCTGGAGAAAATGAAGGTGCTGATTTTACTGGCCAGAAGTGTCAAGAGAATTTGGGGACTCAAAATTCTCACATTTGCTGATTCAACTCTTACAATCCCAGGTCTCATGGTGCTACTTTTTAGAAGATACCCTGACTTTGGCGTTGGAAACCTCCTGAGATTATGGAGGTATCTGCTTTGTAGCTCAGTCGCTTTTAAAATTAGTTCCTGTGCCTGATTTTCATCACAGTTGTGCCCTACGAGTGCTTTTTTAAAGTTGTCACAGAATCATTCTAGTTTGCAGATTATTCCTTGAGTTTAAATGAACTCTCCTGTGTCTTTAATTTTTTTAAAGTAGGTCTCTGGTGCTATGAAAAGCAGTCACACCAGTGTACAACCTTTATAAAAAATTTTGTTCTCATACCAAATAAGGACTACAACTTCTTCGTCTTCCAATGTCTTACTCTTAAACTGTACTACCCCAATTTTCTACAAGTAAAAACTTGAATAATTTCAAGGCACAATATCTTACTATCAGCAATGGGTTCTTACTTTTTTTAGACAAGAAGGCAATATAGTTTTAAAATCTTGTTTTCTAGACTAATTTCTAGATTTAGCTAAATCTCTATAAAACAGAGGCTGAGACAAGTGATAATACTTTATTTAATTTTTATGGTTTATACTCAATCAAATGTATTTACTTTTTATTTTTATATATTTATTGGTTATAAGTGCAGATTTCTTAATGCACATATTGCATAGTGGTAAAGTCTGGGCTTTTGGTGTATCCATTAACCAAATGGGGAACATTGTATCCAATAGATAATTTTTCAACTTTCACCCTCAACCATCTTCCCACCTCCACGCTCTCCAAAGTCTATTATTCCACTCTGCATGACCATGTGTACCTATTGTCTAGCTCCTACTCATAAATGAGAACATGTAGTATTTCACTTTCTGTCTCTGAGTTATTTCACTTAAGATAATGACTTCCATTTCCATCCACGTCACTGCAAAATACATGATTTCATTATTTTTTATGGCTACGTAGTATGCCATGGTATGTATATATGCAGACATATATGCACACACATATATACATATATATAATATACATATGTATATGCATATATATATATATAAAAAAAACCTTTTCTTTTTCCAGTTCTCCACTACGTATATATATAATCTTTTCTTTACCCAATCCTCCACTAATGGACACAGATTGAATTCATATCTTTGCTATTGTTTATAGGTGCTTTGATAAACATGAGCACAGATATCCTTTAGATATAATGATTTATTTCCCTTTGAGTACATACTAAGTAGTCAGATTGTTGGATAAATAGTAGTTCTATTTTTCATTATTTGAGAGATCTCCATACCGTTTTCCATAGAGTTTGTACTAATTTACAGTCCCACCAACAGTGTATAAGGGTTTCCTTTTCTCCCTAATCTCACCAACATCTGTTTTTTTTTTTTTTTTTTTTTTTTTTTTTTTTTTTTTACTTTTTAATAGCCATTTTGACTGCTATAGGAGGGTATCTCATTGTGGTTTTAATTTGTATTTCTCTAATAATTAGTGATGTTGAGCATTTTTTCATATATTTGTTGGTTGCTTGTATGTCTTCTTTTGAAAAATGTCTGCCATGTTCTTTGCCTACTTTTTAATGAGGTTATTTTGTTGTTGTTGTTGTTGAGTTGTTTGAGTTTTTTTTACATTCTGGATATTAGCCCTTCGTCACACACATGATTTGTGAATACTTATCCCCATTCTGTAGGTTGTCAATTTACTCAGTTGATGACTTCTTTTGCTGTGCAGAAGCTTTCATTTAATGAAGTCCCATTTGTCTACTTTTGGTTTCGCTGGGTTTGCTTTGGAGGACTTGTTCATAAATACCTTCCCTAGGCCAGTGTCCACAATAGTTTTCCCTAGATTTTCTTCTAGGATTTTTGTAGCTTCCAGGTCTTACATTTAGGTCTTTAATCTATCTTGGTTAGTTTTTGTATATGGTAAGGGGTATGGATCCAGTTTTATTCTTCTGCATGAGGCAGTTCAATTTTTCCATCACCACTTATTGAATTGAGTGTCCTTTTCCCAATGTATATTTTTGTTGATTTTTTCAAAAATTGGTTGTTGGTATGTCCCCTTATTTCTGGGTTCTCTATTCTGTTCCATTTATATATGTGACAATTTTTATAGCAGTACCATGGTGTTTTGGTTACTATAGCCTTGTAGTAAAATTTGAAGTCAGGTAATGTGATGCCTCAAGCATTTTTCTTTTTTCTTTGAAGAGATGATACTTTATTTTAAAAAAGCAAGCCTACAGATATGATAATGGGGAATAAAGGATGAAATAAATAAAAAAAATATGCTGAAGCAATGTAATGTATTAGATCAACCAGCCACCCTTTCTCAACATGGTAGGGAAACACACAGCAGCTTATAGTCAGATGAGTTTCCTTGGCCTTTGGGACTTCTTTCAAAGATTAATAAAGAAAATCTTCACCTCAGAGAAATCCACAAAAAAAAAATTAGAAGAAAGCTGACTAGCTCCCTTTTATCTTTCATTTGTCATTGCTCTTGGTTTGCCCTATTGCACTAGATGAACTCCTACAATCAATACAACTACAGCATCATCTTTGTAAATATATCTAACCTGGAAAGTGACCAAATGTTGAGAAGTCATATACATCAATAAGAAAGCATAATATAAAATAGACAGATATAGCAACTAACTTTTACCTGAAGTATTGTAGATGATTTATAATCTAGGGAAAAGACTGGGGAAGAAAGAAACAATGTCACCAGAAATCCATAGAGAACTCTTGGGAGTTTTCATTTGATTATCATGAAAATATGTTTAGCTATCCATGATTATTTTTAAAATCAAAAAAGAAAAATCATAGGCCAGGCGCAGTGGCCCACACCTGTAATCCCAGCACTTTGGGAGGCTGAGGCGGGCAGATCACGAGGTCAGGAGATCAAGACCATCCTGGCTAACACAGTGAAACCCTGTCTCTACTAAAAATACAAAAAATTAGCCGGACGTGGTGGTGGGCTCCTGTAGTCCCAGCTACTCAGGAGGCTGAGGCAGGAGAATGGCATGAACCTGGGAGGCAGAGCTTGCAGTGAGGTGAGATCATGCCACTGCACTCCTGGGTGACAGAGCAAGACTCCATCTCAAAAAATAAAAAAGAAAGAAAAATCATAGGATATTTTACAGAATTGTAAAAACAAATGAGTGGCAATGACATGAAATTCAATTTACAAAAATTTTAAAATATCATTTACTTAAATAGTTTTTAAATTTTGTTTATTCTTTTAAAGCAAAGCAGGCACTTGATATAAGGCTGAGGCAAAGGGACAATGTTGGGGGTACCCACTCTTGAGTGGCCTTTGGGCCCATAAGAAGATTGTTATATTTTTACCTAAAACATGGCCAAAAACTCATATAGTTCTATCGTGGATATGTACATCTATGCTATTACTACAATATTATACAAAAGCCAATGTGTAGTATATTCTGTAACAGCATGAACTGTGTGTTTCAGTCATCAATGGATATACTATATCAAACTTGGTAAGCTTTCAATTGCTATTTATTAAATGACACAATTAGTCAATTGATCAATTCAAAAAACCCTGAGATACTTTTCAATATCTTAGGAATTAAGAAAATCTAATTTTTCTTGGTTCACCCCTCTTGAAGTCTTAATTGTACATCCAGTACAAATTATGTTTATTTATTAAATGATGTTTTAATAGGCCTTCCCAATCTTTCTCATAGCTCTTCTTCACTGTAAGAAATATAAACATTGAAAATTGTATAAATCCATGGCTAAAGAATGAGACTTCTAAATGTCGTGAGTTTAAGACATGGGTTGGGCATAGCTGAATTGTATTCAGAGTGTCTTTGAAGGGTCTATAATATTGTATCATGTCACTATTCATAGGTTTCCAAGGGAGATTTGTTTTCCTTATAAGTAAAGGGACAAATACCAGATTGCTTTATTTTTTTGCTTATTTAACAAATCAATCACACTGGATTCATATTCTACCTAGCATGGGCCAAATTTCCCTATAAACAGCATTTTTTTCTTGCCACCATCCTATATAATATGTTTTAATTCGTGGTTAATAGCCGTAGAAAAGTAAACCTGTGCTTTGAAAGCCATCAAGGCTCTCAGTCCAGAGCATAAATCGGAATGATTCTGTACATCATGGGACAGAATTGAAAATGAACAGATAACTGGCATGGGCTCAAAATAATGAAAGCATACTAAGAATTCTTTATCCAGATTCAACATGTTCAATATAAGTCGACTTTGCTACACCAACCAAATGAGTAGATTTTTAGAGTTGATTGCTGGAAGAATGAGTGTCAGGGAAGTCCTTAGAGAACTCCATGGGATGAAAAATGGCTCTCTGGCCAATAAAAACAATAAAGATGTAAAGAGAAACAACATATTAGCCATCAACAAAAGAAATTAAGTGCTTCTCATCCTTGGTGACATCAGACAAGAAGCCCATAATATTTGTGCTTCAGGTGGGAAGTAATGCTAAGCAGATAACAGTTAGTGGGGTTGATGGCTTCTTGGTAAGCAAGGTATGACAGGATCACAGCTTGGGTAATCTCAGTGGAACCAGGCCTGATTAAGTGGGAAGATGGTAGTTAAAATGGGACACAGGTGAATTTTCTTGTTGCATTACCCAAAGCTAAATGCACGCAGTGAAGTCTTGGGAAAGCTGGGAGTCTGAACCCAGATGTCTCTCGAGTCTTCCATGCCTGCTCAGGAAAAGGACTAAAACATCAATTGTTTGAATTAGTTGACTAGCTCTTAATGATTGAAGTTGTCCAGCAATTATCAGAGCCTAAATCACATCCATATAGTTCTCATTTAATCTAGAGTTGTAAAGTATGATCTCCTGACTAAACTTCTTAACATAGCTGTAAAGTAAGAGCATTTGCCCTATGATAGCCAGTCTTGGAAGCAAATACTGCTCCTTCACACATTCCATGAAGGTAAGGACCTGGGGATATCAAAGAAGATTGCCCAGACTAAACTCCTGTTTTTAGTGTAGACAGACAGGAATATTTTAGTAGCATTCCTTTCTCCCACACATTTCCTCCAATTGAATTATTTGACACTGGATTTTTCCCTATTATTACAGAAGTGATCAATATTCTTTCTCCCATGGAATGAGTAGCTTTCAGGGGCCCTCAGGCTGCTGGTCTCTTAGTCTATGTCTCTGAGAGCTAGTATGATGTAACTACAAGGACCACAGGGCAGGAGACAAGGACACAAAGAGTACTAATCTCAGCTCTGCTAATAGCTCATGGTGTGACCTGGAACCAACCACTTTCCTTTTGTAGGTCACAGTTTTCTAATTTGTCAAAGAAAGAGGTTTAATGAAGAATTTGTAAGCTCAACTTACGGCTTAAAGGTCCTTTAATACAAGAGTAATTTGGAGTCTAGATTTCCCTGGTACTTTCAGGCACTTCATTTACTTCAACAAAAATTAGACTTTCTGGTTATTAAGTATGGGTAATGCCATGGGTGGGAAAAAATTGTTAACTGTTGAAATTTGTGAACTCTTCCAAACTGAATCCGGGTACCTTTGAGAAACGCTGAAAGAACTCATTTGCGTATCGAATCTGATATTGGCCTGAGTGACTGGAAACTTGTCTCTCAGGTGGACAAATCACTTCATTCTCATAAATGGGTTAGTCCCTGTGGCACCTCTTTGGGAATAGCCTTTCTACTTAAGAATATTTTAAGAAGGAAATGGGAGCTATTCCATGCCCTGTGTCTTTCACCCTCTGCCTCCCAGGTCCCATGGACCTTTAGCAAGTGCCTAATCTGAGAGAAAATCAGGGAGTTACTAAGGCATTTTGCCAACAAGAATACATTTTGATTTAGTAATTAGTGCTTCTCAATCTTTTATTGTGCTCACTATGGCTGGTTGAATGTGAATGTTTCATGTATAGTTACCCAGTGGCTTTTCTTCTTCTTTTTATTCATAGACTCTAATATATAAAACATAGAAAGATGTGAAAGGGTCCCTCAGGCAGTTTAACTCTTCATATATTGGTTTAAAATGTTTAAAATTTGGCAAATGGCCAGCTTCTAGAGCCCTTTAGAATAATGCTTGAAGGAGAGAGCTTATGGGATATCATATGCTACAGACTCTCAGCTCATGTCAACAATAGAGTATGTTTTCAATAAATGTTTTCTCTTGCTGTTATTATTATTATTTTCAGGAGAAGTATCAATGCCAGAATTGGCATTCTGCTTTACGCAACTGTTTTCCCCAGACCACATTCTTACTGAGTTCTGAAGGTTGAACTTCACACATATGTGTTGGATGCCATTTGTTTCTCCTCCATAGTCACTCTCCACCCTTTTGAACTATGTAGTCCAGAAGCCTGACCTGCACAAACTGTTAGTGGGCTAGCCTGTCCTCTAACTTCCAGTTCAATTTGGCCAAAAAGGACCACCAGCAGGAAGTTAGAGAGCGAGAGCAAGAGCAAGGTGAGGCTGAGTGTTTATTGCTCTTCTGTCTACTGGTAGGATTGAGGGTTGGTTAGTTGCTATCAACCAAAGGTCTAATCCTCCATCGGGTAGTTATGTTACACAACTATCCCTGTCTCCAGTTTTAGTGTGGCATGACTTTCATGCCAGGACTCTGCCAACACACGTTGTCTCTAGACTATTAACTCCATAAGAACAGTACTCTCTGTTCTGTGTTCTTTGTTGCTGAATCCTCAGCACTTAAGACAAGGCCTGGCATATATTAGGCATTTAAGAAATATTTGTTGAGGCCAGGTGTGGTGGCTTACACCTGTAATCCCAACACTTTGAGGGCCAAGACAGGCGGATCACTTGAGTTCAGGAGTACAAGACTATCTTGGGCAACATAGCAACTCAACTCCCAAAAAATAAAAAATTGGCTGGGTGTGTTGGCACATGGCTATAGTTCTAGCTACTCAGGAAGCTAAGAAAGGAAAATCTCTTGAACCCAGGAGGCTGAGGCTGCAGTAAGCCATGACAGCACCCCTCCAGTGCAGCCTGGGCAACAGGGCAAGACTTTGTCTCCAAAAAAAAAAAATAATTATTGAGTGAACAACAACTGTTTTCTAAATATGGTTTGCCACAGGTTTTATGGGTCCAAGTGCTTTCAAAATTTTAGAGGTTTTCTTTAAAAAAAGGAATATACAAATATCTTACTGTTGCAATGCTTAAAAATATATGGCCTTATTTCTAAGGCTCCTCCCTAGACCTAAAATTGGTCCCATGCAAATAAAGGGTCCTAAAACTACAATTCTCTATCTTCAAACTCCTTTTTGAAATCTTCACTCAAAGTTGCAAGGACTCTCTCCATTGCCTTCACAGAATTATAATCCAAAAAGCATAGGATTGGAAGTCAGATACACACAGGTGGGAATTATACTCCTTTACTTATTAGCCATGAACTTGGATAGGGAACTTAACCTTCAAGAGCCTTGGTCTACTTCCTCTATAATACAGGAATAAAAAAGTCTTCCCTCAGGGCACTGCTGTGAGGATTACTTGAGGTAATTATAGAAAGGGTCCAGTCTTTAATAGGTGCTTGAGATTGTTCAGTCTTACCATGGTGAAGGCAAGAAGCCTCCCTTCCAGATTTCCCCAGGCCTGCTTCCTATGATTTCCATGGTGAGCCCGCTAAAAACCAGCCTAAGAAGCTGCTACTTTAGGATGAGGCCAGGGCCCTGTTCACATCAAGTCCTGGAGCCAGTATTTGCACAATGGAAAGTCCAGCATTTAGCAGTTTGCCTGCTGCCAAACACCCAGCCCTGTTTGCCCGGGATTCCTTTATGTCATCAGCCATAACTCAGCCCGATCTCTGAGGCACCATTTAGATGCTTCAGGCAAATTTTTTTATTGCTTTCTCAGAGGAAAAAGTCTCCCCATATTTCATTTTCTAAGTGATCCTCAAAGACATGCCAGTGGCGTTCTACATAAACATTTTATTATAGAGTTGAGTAAGCCATATTTTAGAGCCTGGAATTTTTTTTTTAATTCTATGTGCTGTTATTAATGTTTCCTCTTCCAGTTACTCAAATACGAATTACACCCAAATCCTTGCTTAAACAATGCAAACTTCATGAAGATAGGAATATTTGCCTTATTCATCATTGTGCTCTCAGAATAGAGCATTGTACCTGACATGTAACAGACAATAAATATTGCTGAAATAATAAATGAATGATTGAGTACAGCATGCAAAATGTAACATCAGAGAATGATCTGGAGGATATGGGTTTAAGATAAAATAAGAAATCAAATACAGGAAATGTTTTACACCATGTAACTACAAGGGTTAAATATTTGTGAGGCAGTGAGTTCTTTATGGCTGAAGGTACTAAAGTAGAAACTGGTGAACATCTGTCAGGAATTCTATAAAGAAACTTCCCGCGTCAAATCAAAGGTTGGAGTTGGTTACCTTTCATTTTAATTTCAACTCTGAGAATAAATTCATAAATTCATACTGCCTGCTAAGTAGTGGTTTGTAGCAGTTTGGGTACCTAATTGACCTTGGAGCTGAATCCAGTTCCACTATACCAGATTTGGTACCTTTACCACATTAGCTTCAGTTTCTGCATCTATAGAGGGAACATAATACTGACTTTACAGGATTATTGTAGATTAAATGAGATAATAAATATAAGAGCCCCCCAGCACCACTCTAAGTATTTATGAACTGTTCGACAAGTATTAAATTTCTTCTCTATCTCCACACCTCAAAATCATGCTCTTATCAATAAAGCTAGAATACTTTAGAAATTTTCAAAAATGTAATGCAAGAAAGAGGCTGGAACTGCAGTTTGGAAGACCTGGTCTCTTAGTCCGTCACTGGCCCTAACCACCTTCGTGATTTTCAGCAAGCCACATGCCATCATCAGCCTCTTATTCTTCAGCTATAACATTAAGGCCCTAGATTAAATACTTACTTAGATCCCCCTCAAGCCCTGAGGTTACGGTATTTCTTCAGAAAGCTCAATTCACCTACGTTTTAGCACTCCTTAAATACTAAGAGTAATATTAGATAGGAAAACCTGCATGTCTCTATCGGGTTTTCTGACCACAATAGGCAGGAGCCCAGGATGCGGCTGATTCTGACGTGATCTCATGAGAATATTATTATGTGGTTTGGTCTTTGTGAAATGCAATAAGCCATGTGTAATTCATTAGCCATAATCAACCTGTCTTGCAAGGTAGCCTCTCTGAGGCAGATCTCTTTCACAATAACTTCATTTTTTTTCCTAGAAAGAGACTGAAGAATTAATACATTGCAACTATTAGGATTATCGTTCAATTTTTCGAAAGAGAATATTCTTACTATAGGCCTGGTATCTCTCCTGCTGCTGCACAATGGGGTTTCCCACCTCCTTCTCTGAGCCCTCCCTCAAAAACCCGGAAAACTCATTCTCTGCTAAACATATACTTCCTTAACCATTGTGGGGAACAGGTCATTATAGCCTGTTTAGAAACCCTACAGTGCATTGTTGTGTCTTTCTAAAATCTGATTAGTTCTTTGAATAAAGAGCCTGATACCTTATCATTATATTCTTCTCCCCCGGGAATAATTTTCAATACTAATAATATAAATAAGAAAGCATAACATTAAAGCAGGGTGAGCTATTCAGTGGAGATGAAGAGCCAGGGTCAAGAAAAGACTCTTTTGCCTCCAACTGGGAAATTAAACTGGCCTCTCGGTTTTGGTTATGAAGGGAAGAAAAAGATATCACTCAACTGTGAAGGCAAAAGATTTGATTGATAGAGCTGTTATCCTTGGTTAGCTTTATAAGGACTTTGCTTGGATGGGTTGATCTCAAGAAAAAAAATGATTTTGAAAATATGACTCTGCCTCCATGTATGTCCATATTTAAGCTACTGCTTCCCTCCCTCCACCCCCATAGCACTTTCCCATAGCACTTTCATCATTAATGAGTAGTATTCGGGTTCCAGATTATTTCAGGCCTCAATCTGTGGGCACACTGACAGATCCTGGTTGTATTAAGCTTTAAAATGTTCTTACCCAGAGGTTTCAATGAGAAATACATTTTTCTGCCACTGCATTCTCTCCCAGGGTCTGCTACACTGACACTTCTTAGGGACCCTATACAGACCTAAATGACCTCCAGCTCAAAGTATCCCTTTGGATACCACTGGACCGTCAGTCCAGAAGGCACAGGAATACTGTGGGCCAAAAGAAAAGACAGAGAGAGGACTACCATCAGGACACCATCCTTCCAAAAAGGTTTTTGGAAAACAACCTCAATCTAGAAATCAGTGTGCTTGAGTATCAGAAGCAACAAGTACTGACTGAGTACCCACTGTAATCTGGAGGTGTTTCACATTATTTCAAAACCAAATCAGTATATCAAGACCATCATTAGTATGACTATTTTATAAAGAAGAGAGTGGATCTTAGAAAGGTTACATGACTTTCCTAAGGTCACAAAAGTGTTTCAGAGTTGAAATTTGAATTTATATCAGCCGATACAGGTTTCTGTTCTTTTTACCATATTATAGTGTTTCCCAAATAAGATTAAAATCCTGGATCTGCTACTCAGTAGCTGTGTGGCTTTGGTGAAGTCACCTACTGTCTCTGAGACTTTTCTATAAAATGATGAGGATGGAGCTGAGGACTGCTCTAGTCCATGATGCACCAAAGAGGAAGAGCTCCCTGCCAATCTGGCATGAAAATAATTGTTACTAATCATAACTAATTGTTACTAAAAGAATTGTCAGAACTAAAGAAAAGTATTCAAATTACTCTTTAACAAAGATCAAAATCACTAATCATTAAGTGAAAAGTACCTTGCACCCAGGAAGATCCAAATTTTCCAATGACCATGGCTGCCCATAGCTTTCAGGATAAAGCTCAGACTTCTTACTTTAACCGACAAGGCCCTTCATTCCTTACTTTCTTTCTGTCCTCTGCCTTCCTTTTTCCTTAATCCACAGGAGTGTGTCTCCGCAGCACTGCCCCCTACCCAAGCCAGTAATTGCAATATTCCAGTACACATGCCACTCCCCTGCCTAGAAAACTGTCTCGCTTCATTCATTCAGTTAACTCAAATGTAAATTTAAAAGTCAGCTCCACGGTGTCCTCTTCTGGGAAGCCTACCTTGACTCCAGCTTAATTTAGATGCCTCTCCTTTGTGTCCTCCCACACGCCATGGAGACCTTGCTGACAGCAGCACTTCGTGATGGCTGATTGACTTGTTTTGCTTCTTTACCAAATTCAGAGCTCCCTAAGGACAGGGCTATGTTAAATTTAACTCGTATCTTCAGCATCTATCACAGTAACTGAAGCATAAAGAAAGACATTGATAAATGATTCTGAATGAGTAAATGATTAAGACAAGAACAATCAGGAAATGATTTTTTAAAAAAAGGAAACAATTTTTATTCCTGAGAAGCCCAACTTTTTCAGCCACAGTAGTTTTCCCTACCTGTACAATTCTATGTATTGCTCCCTGCTGTTCCCTTCTCCCATCTTATAACAAAAAGAATATTATCTGAATCCTTTCCGTGATTATCTCTGATATGTTAAAGTTATGCTCTCAACTTTCACAAATACTATTAAAAATTACTCTAAAAACTCACTATTGCTTCTTATCAATTCCCACACTAGGAATTTCTTGTAGAGTTTATCCCTAAGAAAGCTTAATTTCCCATAGTAAATTAGTATTCTTTCTCTTACTTGACAATGTAAGCTATGTAATTGAGTGTAACTTCATTTTCACTTTAGCTTCTAGGAAATTCAGAGTCAAATTTCTCATCTAACCATAGCAACTATATAAACCTCCTGATTCGCATGGTTTATATTTTTACTTTATTTTCTGGTCTAATTTAATGCAGCCAATATTTTTTGAGATCTTATTTTGTGCATAGACTGTTCTGGAGGCTTGGTATAAATCAATTAAACCAAACAGGAATAAAATTCTATCCTCATGGAACATACCCAGTTTGGAGGTATAATTTTTATGTACTTTATATAAATCAATTCCAGAATTAATGCAGTATATATGATCTAAAGTTGATGCTTTTATCTATTAAATACCTGATTCCTTCTTCCTAAGTGCATTTATTTTAAGTATATCTCTCAACTAAATTTTATAAATGCTGACTTTCACAGATGTGAAATTTGTAAGAAAAACATAAAATGCTGTTGGAATTAGAATCAACTTATTTCTGACTTTCTTAAATAATGGTAATAGAAAGTTGGTAGGCAGCTTCAGTAATCCCTAATCAGCATTTTATAACACATTAGCAGTTGGTGTCTGGAGTCTGACATTTGCTGTGAATGAGTGCCTGGCAGCTTTTGTTGTAAGTTTAGGATGCTTTTGCTTAGTAATGTGTTCCTTGTTGTCTAGAAGGAGGGAATTTTACTCTCCAAGGCACCCTACGCTGTGAATGTCAGTCTCCCAACCCATCCCAGGGCTCACCTTCCACACCTAATACTATTCTGGGGGTTTCCTGGTTATGGGTCAGAAATGACTAGTGCTGTGATTATGAGCGCTTCTCCTGAGATGCACTTGTCAGTCTTCAAAAAGATCCAAATAGCTTTTTATTTACTCAGGACCTCATAGAGACAGCAAAAGCTTAAGTTGAGAGTTGAACCTGCTTCATGGACTGAGAATATCCAGTTTGTGATATAGTTCACAGAAACATAACATATATATCAATTATATGTACAATACAGTAGGAACCTGATGTTTATGTCCTAGTTAACTTCCCCAAAGGTTTAGTGAGAGTGAAATGGGTAAGTGAATGAGATTGATTCTATCTATCCTCATGCCTTTTTTGGTCCAAGCTCCTATCTTCATCCAGGCCCCCTGCTGCTCTTGCCCAACACTGCATGTTCTCTCAAAGTATCCACCAATGGAGGCCTGAGCTGAAAATTATCTCTCACTATGCAGAGAAGTGAAAATCCATTCATGAAATCTGACCCCACCTACTCCATCTCTGTTTAACTATTTCACTCTCATTACCATATAGGTTACACATACAACAATGCTATCTAATCCCGCCTAATTCACGAAGCAATAATTTAATGCATTATTACTGGGTATGCAAAACACACAGAAAGTCAAGACATAATGTAGATAAAAACAGTGGTAAAGACTTAGATCTGTTTCTAGGTCACACCTGACTGTGTAATTGAAAGATGTTTTCACCTTTTGGACCAAAGAGTTCAGTTTATATTTGTTTCATTTCTTACATATTGATGGAAAAATGTGGTTTTTGTACCACAGCAAATTAAGTATCTGCTTGTATTTTCTTTTATTAAATATACCACATTCTCAATAGATCATTTACTTTTCCTTTCAGATAATTGGTAGGAAAATGTGCTCCCAAGCTTCTGATAATACATCAATATATTGCAAATGCATTTACTAGATCAAAGAAGCCAGTCTCAAAAGATGGTATACTGCGTGAATTCATGTATAGAATATTTAGGAAAAGGCAAAACTGAAGAGTGGAGAACAAATCAATGGCTGCCAGGGTTCGGGGAGGAAGAACAGGCTTGCACAGAAAGAAACAGAGTGAGGAAATTTTGGTGGGGGAGGGGTCATCATTAGGTATAACCATTTTAGGAGTGTTTGTATGGACCCATGTTTTTAATTTAAAAACACTGAATTGTATACAACCAGGAATAAATTTTATTCTATGTAAAATAATAAAAAATGTTAAAGGCCATGTGATTTTTTGCATGGTATAAAATGGGAAGAACTTTGGTTAGGTATCTAATAATTATGGATTTGCTACACTACTTAAGATACCATGTATTTATACCATCTTTAGTTATTAGCCTTTGGATTACAATGTCAAAGGCAATACTAGAATTTTGCTAAGGTAGATTCAACTATTTAAGTAACATATAATCACAGAATCAAATAATTAAAAGGGTTCTTGAGAGTAATTTATCATATTAACAGATTAAAAAGGAAAACCATATAATCATCTCAATAGATTAGGAAAATTAACTATCTGACATTCAATTCTGATTTTGGAAAAAAAAAACTAGGTATAAAAGGGCATACCCTTAACCTGATGACAGGTATCTACATAAAACCTAAAGCTAGCATTATACATAATGGTAATAGATTGAATGCTTTCCTTTAAAATGAGGAACAAGATGACAGCGTCTGTTCTCCCCACTTCTATTCAACTTTGTGGTTCTAGCCAGGGACACAGGAAATTTTGGGGAGTGACAGATAGTTCATTATCTTGATTGTAATTATTTTCTTCATGAATGCATATACACATCAAAACTTATCAGATCATAGCCTTCAATGTGTGTAGTTTATTTTATGCCAGTGATACATTAATAAAGCTTTTTAAAAAATGCCATTTAAGTGCAGTCCCTCCACCTGATAGTAAGCAAAGCCTAATCAAGTTCTTTTTTTTTTTTTAACTTTTATTTTAGGTTCGGGGGTACATGTGAAGGTTTGTTACTTAGGTAAACAGGTGTCATGGGGGTTTGTTGTACAGATTATTTCATCACCCAGGTACTAAGCTCAGTTCCCAATAGTTATATTTTCTGCTCCTCTCCCTCCTCCCATCCTGCCTGCTCAAGTAGGCCCTAGTGTCTATTGTTTCCTTCTTCAGGTTCATAAGTTCTTATCATTTAGCTCCCACTTATAAGTGAGAATGTGTGGTATTTGGTTTTCTGTTCCTGAATCAGTTTGCTAAGTATCATTGCCTCCAGATCCATCCATGTCCCTGCAAAAGACATGATCTCATTCTTTTTCATGGCTACATAGTATTCCGTGGTATATATGTACCACATTTTCTTTATACAATCCGTCATTGATGGGCATTTAATTTGATTGCATGTCTTTGCTATTGAGAATAGTGATGCAATGAACATTCACATGCATGTGTCTTTCTGATAGAATATTTATATTTCTCTGAGTATTTACCAGAGATTGGTGGTAGAACTAGAACTACCATTGCTGGGTTGAATGGTAGTTCTGCTTTTTAGCTCCTAGAGAAATTGCCATACTGCTTTCCACAATGGTTGAACTAATTTACACTCCCAACCAACAGTGTATAAGTGTTCTCTTTTCTCTGCAACCTCACTAGTATCTGTTATTATTTGACTTTTTAATAATTGCCATTCTGACTGGTGTGAGATGGTATCTCATTGTGGTTTCGATTTGCATTTCCCTCATGATCAGTGCTAATCAAGCTCTTAGAGTCTTCATAGTCTGTCTATTTTTATTGGAAGTAGGCAGGAAGTCACTGGGTAGAGCTAGACCTGGTAATTAAGATATAGCTAAACATTCACTCCTGACAAATAGAACAGAACAAATCAGACTTCCAGAAAGCCTGTTCACTGGGAGCAGAGAAAAACTATAGGATCCAATCTCACTGATAAGTAGGAAAGTATATTACTAAAACAAAAAAAGACAAAGACAGATTTGAAATCAAATTCTAAATGCACCAATTCTTGTTTCTATTATACTTTCTGAGCTTCAGTTCCTGCTCTGTGAAATGAGAACAAAAATACTTTTTTTTTCTAAAGGGTGCTGTGAATAACAAATAAATTATTCTATGTTACATGCCTTATATATATATGAGGCATTCAATAAATACTGAATAAATTCCCTTTTCTTTGACCCAAGTCTTTTCTGCTTTTCTGTCTCTTAAAAGCCTTATAAATAGTTATTTATCCAACTACTTATTAAGTATGTTCTTTCTATCAACTCCAGTGCCAGGCAGTGGATATCACGGAAGAATCAGGCATGGCTTTTACCTAGGAGGAGCTCATGGTCTGGTAAGGAAGAACAATATATAAACAAATGCTACATCGCCATTCTACAGTCAAAGGCAGTGGTGGAAAGAGTAGAACCACACAGGTAGAGTGACTAGTTTTGCTTAGCTGTCTCAGGCAAGGCTTTTTAGAGAAGGAGCACAAAGCAGGTCTTGAAAGATGCGTGAGAGTTAACCACGTTTATGTGGATTTGATTGTGGATTCCAAACTGAAAAAAACAAAAGCTGTACATTGCATTCATAACTATTACCAACAAAGTCCTTTTTATAGCTCATACTTCATGATATAATTCTGAATCCACATGCACTGAAAACAACTTCAGGGCCTCCCTGAGCTTAGCAATCTGCCCCAATACTCCCTGGTCCATTTAGAGAGGCCTGATCATTCTGTATGATTTTAGCCTCCTTGATCTTGCCTGGGCTCTCAGAAGAGGCTCAGATGCTCAACAATCTAAGACTAAAGAAAGGTTGTCCCATGGAAGGACAAGTTCCGTACTGAGTTTGTGTTTATCACAACATTAAAATCATTTAAAGGCATCATTAGAGAAGTTGCAGGCCCCTCGGGCCTGTCAGATATGGATGGAAGTCTGAATGTTATTTTTCCTGAACAATCTTCAGAGTGAATGAAACAAATTATCTTCCTCCAG
This sequence comes from Homo sapiens, assembly GCF_000001405.40. Lineage (NCBI taxonomy): Eukaryota > Metazoa > Chordata > Mammalia > Primates > Hominidae > Homo > Homo sapiens. The sequence goes on along the minus strand of NC_000001.11, from coordinate 60,109,668 downwards.
GGAGATTGCTGAGCACCTTAGACAAAGGTATCACGTAATCACACCCCAACCAGAAAATCAAAAACATCTGGAACCAGAAATTTTTTGAATACATATCAGAAGGTATATATTGAATAGATCAAGTGAGTATCCTCCTGAGCTACACAAGTTAATGTGATTTGGAGCCATAAATAACAAACTGTTTCATCTCCATTGCCACCTCATGCATCTCCATTCTTGAAGACTATCGTAATATGGTGGTTTGATTTGAAGTTGCCTGGACACGAGATACATCCATGAAATCCTACAAGTACCAGATTCTTCATTTGGAAACTTGTGCTCATTCCACTGCAATATGCTGCTTCTGAGAGAATGAGCATGCCCTTCTCCCCAGTCCCCACCATACATTTTATCAGGGAACCCTGAGTATACGGAACCGAGGACTGCTAAATTTTTCTGGGAAAAGGGGAGAGACTGGAGATTAGGAACATGGCTCCAGGATATGCAATGAAGACACTTTCTACAAAAAAGAAACCTGACAATTACAAGGAGCTAAAAAGAAGCAAAGGAAAGAGAACTAATTATGTGTTTGGTACTGTGCTAATTATTTAATTAAATCCAGTGATAGCTATTAATATATCCATTATAAAGATAAACAGGCTGGGCGGGGTGGCTTATGCCTGTAATCCCAGCACTTTGGGAGGCTGAGGCGGGCAGATCACGAGGTCAGGAGATCGAGACCATCCTGGCTAACACGGTGAAACCCTGTCTCTACTAAAAATACAAAAAAATTAGCTGGGCGTGGTGGCGGGCGCCTGTAGTCCCAGCTACTTGGGAGGCTGAGGCAGGAGAATGGCGTGAACTCGGGAGGTGGTGCTTGCAGTGAGCCAAGATCGTGCCACTGCACTCCAGCTTGGGTGACAGAGTGTGACTCCTTCTCAAAAAAATAAAATAAAATAAAATAAAATAAAATAAAATAAAATAAAATAAAGTAAAATAAAATAAAATAAACAAACTGAAGCTTAGGGTAGTGAAACATTTAGTTAAAGAATACTATTAATAAGGAGCAGAGTACAGATTGGAATTTAAATCAACTTGACTCCAAAGTAAATGCTCTTAACCACTCTTCTGTTTGAAAAAAAAAAAACTAAATTGTTTATACAGTATATTTCAGAGTATGCAATGTGCACTACACAGTATACAGAAACTAACTGGCCCACAGCCAAGAATGAGCTCCCATGCAGAGACCACATTCCCTCCAAAGTCATAAAGTCACTCAACCCTGCCCGTGAAACTACCTGGACACTGTTGTGAGTGTGAAGTGAAGGAGGCATTTGGAATGATTGGGCCTTTAAACCAGTAGTGGCTGTGTAATGCACGAGACTCCACACTGGCAGCTACTGACTTACTGTGATGAGACAGATTAAAGTGGAGTTTCCCTGCTAAGCCAGCAGAATGGCCACTCCGTGGAAGGATCAGATTCATTACTGAAAATGTAGTGACTACATTTTCTTGTATATCTGAATGTAGTGTGAGGATACACCTCCTTACTAAATATGAATACCACTGTGATAAATATAGTTATGTAAATACACAGGGACCCACACAAGCTATGACAGAGAAACTTCAACTAATTTGTGGGCTCAGGTAATGGTGTGGAGGTGATGTGTGAGCAGAAATTAGGAGTAGGAGATAACTCAGTAACCGAATTAAGGGAGCACCCCAGGCAAAATAACAGCTTATGTGCAACTGCCACCAGAGGTAGAAAGAAGCAGAGGAAGGCCTGAACCAAAACTTACCACCATTTACAGCCACCTGTCACAACCAAAAGTGCTCTAAGGAAATTTGCTGGGTCCAGCATGGTGACTCACGTCTGTAACCCCAGCACTTTGGGAGGCTGGGGCAGGAGGATGGCTTGAGCCCAGGAGTTCCAGACCAGCCTGGGAAACATGGAAAGACCCTGTTTCTACAAAAAATTAAAAAAGTTAGCTGGGTGTGGTGGCACGTGACTATAGTCCCAGCTACTTGGGAGGCTAAGGCAGGAGGATTGCTTACGCCTGGGAGGTCAAGGCTGCAGTGAGCTATGATTCCACCACTGCACTCCAGCTTGGACAACAAGCAAGACTCTGTTTCAAGAAAAAGAAAAATTGCTGAATAAAAATAAAATTGTCTCTAGACTTTTTCTTTTTGAGATGGGGTCTCACTGTCTCGCCCAGGCTGGAGTGCAGTGGCGTGACCTCGGCTCACTGCAACCTCTGCCTCCTGTGCTCAAGAAATTCTCCTGCCTCAGCCTCCTGAGTAGCTGGGATTACAGGCACCCACCACAACACCCAGCTAATTTTTGTATTTTTAGTAGAGACAGGATTTTACCATGTTGGCCAGGCTGGTCCTGAACTCCTAACCTCAAGTAATCCACCCACCTTGGCCTCCCAAAGTGCTGGGATTACAAGCATGAGCCATCATGCCCAGCCATCTCTGGACTTTTAATCAACCAATTGGTTAAAAGCTCTCTGCCCAATTTTCTCTATACTTAGTCCTACAGAGTGACCTGATTTCTCTTCCTGACACTAACTCACTGATCAGTAAAATCAACAGGTTGGCTGATTTTCCATCCAACCCTCATTCTGGTTATTTTAATGTTCCAACATAGCTGGAAGTCACAAAGTTTCATTTGAGTCCTGTCTGTATGTCCTCCATTTCTGCCGACATAAAAGGGCCGCCATTTCGTGGGGACACCTCATACTGAAAAGGCCATGGTGATAGAAGAGCATGAGGCCGTGCTGCTACAGGAGTGTATTACCAAGACACACGACTAATTAAAATCTATAACCTGTTCACTCTTCCTTTTTGAGTAATAGTTTTGTATCCCCTTTGAAAGAAGGCTTAAAGATTGTCACAAAGTTATGGGGCTTTTACAATTACCATAATAACATTATCTAGATAGCACTTCGTAGTATACAATATGTTGTTAAATTCATTCTTTTATTTACTCCTCCCACTTTTAACTATATGAAGGGGGCAAGACAGCTACTATTCTTCATTCTATTTTATACATTCTCATACTGGTGCACAGAGTTTTAAGGATTTTGTCTAATTTATTGCTGAAAAAAACTATCTCAAAACTTAGTAGCTTCAAACAAAAACTATCTTATTATATCTCATGATTTTGCAGTTAAGTATTTGAGCAGGGCTCAGCTGTGTGACTTTTCTCCAAGTAGCATTGTGCTCTCTCAGTGGTATTCACCTGGCAGATGGTCTGGTTTAGAGCACCAAGGATGGCCTCACTCATATGTCTAGTGCCTTGGCTGGGATGTCTGGAAGGCTAGACTCAGCTGGAACTTTAGACCAGAGTATCACCACATGGCCTCTTAAGAACAGTGGTTCCTAGTTAGTTCCAGAAGATAGTGTTCCAATGAACTGGGTAGTATACTGCTTAGTTCCCAAAGATAGTACTGCAGCATGGCATTTGTGATCTAACCTTGAGAGTCATGTAATAATTCTCCCATATTTTATTAATCAGAGAAGTCAAAAGCTCACACAAATTCAAGGGGAGAAATCAAAAACTCTATTATGTTTTTCTTGATTTTATATTGTTGGGAGAAAAAAAGTTGCCTATCATTAGATGGGAAGAAATGTTAAGGAAACTGTGATTATGTTTTAAGAATCATAGGCTCACAGGAAATGCTGGAACTGTGATTTAAATCCAGGACTTCTACTCCAAATTCCATTCCTTTGATCCATTATATGAAGAGTCAGCAACAACCCACATGCCTGTAGGATGTAGAGACATGAGGGAAGAGGCTGGCAGGGAACTGTGGCAAACCAGGAAGCATAGACTCAAGGGCAGACCAAGACTCTGTGGCCAGTTGTGTTGACTTATCATAAAAAGATAAAAATCCAGTTTTTTTATATGAAATCCCCCAATTTTTAAATATTGATAAATAATGCAAATTTTAATGCACAGTTTGAAATATCTCCCCTATATCACACAATTTGAGCTTTTCTGTTTTGCTTTTTGTCGGGAAGAAAATTACACAATTATTTGTTTCCTTTAAAGCAAGAAGTGGCCGGGCATGGTGGTTCATGTCTGTAATCTCAGCTCTTTGGGAGGCCAAGGTGGATGGATTGCTTGAGTCCAGGAGTATGAGACCAGCCTGGCCAACATGGTGAAACCCTATCTCAACAAAAAATTAAAAACAAATTAGCTGGGCATGGTGTCACTTGCCTGTAGTCCAAGCTACTTGGGAGGCTGAGGTGGGAGGATTCCTTGAGCCTGGGAGTAGAGGCTGCCATGAGCCAAGATCGCACCACTGCACTCTAGCCTGGTTGACAGAGCCAGATTCTGTCTCAAAAAATAGAAAATAATACAAGTTCAGATTGGGAGTCAGACAGCCTCAGATTCTAATTCTGGTTTTGTTGATTGCTAACTCTGAGACTTACACTAAGTCACTTATGCTCTCTGAGCGTGCATCCTCATATGTAAAATAGGGATAATAATAACAATAACCCTATAGAACTGCCATGAGAATAAACTGAGGCAATGCATGTAAAAAGCCTAGTATAGTTCATGATACACAGAAGATGCTCAGTAAATCATACTTATGATTATGGAGAGAAAAATATCCTACCACACTATAATATGAAACACTATGAAGAACGTTGACCAGAAATCAAAAGACCTGAGTTTTATTCTAGGCTCCATTTCTGGATAACATTCTGATTTTTATCAATTCAGTCTCAATTACTTCATCTATGGAATTGGTGTGGTAATATCAATGCTACCTACCTCAAGATGCTGGGAGATCAACAAACTACCTGTGTGGAAGAGCCTCCTTTGTTGCTCCCAATATTTAAGCCACACTTAAAATACCACCATGGGCCATTAGACATCTTGACCCTCATTGGATATCAGCATCAGAGAAGCAAAGAGCACACTGGTCAGAGATAAGTCTAAGCTATGAATCAGCAATCAGGGAGGCTAAAATGTAGGGGGCCCCTACAAGAGCACAGTCTACTTCAGGCTGTGAATGGATATGTTAGTCCATTTTGTGAGGCTCTAGCAGAATACCTGAGACTGGGTAATTTATAATTAGCAGACATTTATCAGCTCACAGTTCCAGAGGCTGGGAAGTCCAAGATTAAGACAGTAGCATAAGGGGAGGGCCTTCTTGCTGTGGCATCACATGATAGAAGGCAGAAGAGCAAAGACAGGGTAAGATGACACCAAATTTGCCCTTTTATAATGTTATCAACACTGCCTATGAGAATGGAGCTCTTATGGCCTAATCACCTCTTAAAGGTCCCACCTCTTAATACTGTTACGATGGCAATTAAATTTCAACATGAGTTTTGGAAAGGACAAACATTCAAAGTGTAGCAATAAAGCACATGAAAACAGAAGTTACGATCTGTACCGAGGCTGCAGGAATAGGTGAGCAGCATGGTGGGCCCTAGACTTAAATTCTGACCATTATTTAGATGACCTTGGGAATATCACTTCTCTGAAGGTTTTTAATTCATCACAGGTATTATGAATAATATAATCTCCTCTTGAAAGAGTTAATGTGCAGATCCACTCAACAAGCTCATGTTAATTATATGAGACTGTCTCATACATACTCTTAATGAATGTTTATTGAATCTGACTCTGAGCCATTCTAAAGTCAAGCAGAAGACTAAAAATTTTGCCCCTTTGAAACTCAGGAGAAGACACACACACACACACACACACACACACACCACAAATGAGTACAGTAAACTGATAAAACCTGAAAAGTTTTGTGGATTGTACCAATGCCAACTACCTGGTTTCTATATAGCAGTAGTATACTTATGCAAGATGTAACCATTGGGAAATAAACTAGATGAAAGGCAAGCGTGAGTCCTCTCTATATTTTTGTGTGTGTGTGACTTCCTATGAATCTGTAATTGTTTCCAACAACAACAAAAAAATGTTAAAAAAAAAAGAAGAAACAATGGAATGTAAATGAGAGAGAGAAAGATAAATTGGTAAGACATTAATATCAGAAAACAAGGCAAAGAAGAGAGTTGAAAGGCCAGGAACATTGTGGTGAAGGAAGAGGAAATCCACAGACAGAAAAAAAAAAAAAAAAACTTAGGACCTAGCCAAATCCATGGCTGCAGATAAAAATAGGTAAATGTGACCACATGGCTAGAAAGGGAGGGTACGCTATGAAATGGGGGAAGAAACAGGGAAAGAATAGAGGTCACTGGAAAAAAAAATACCAGAAGTGGATTATGCATCACACTGTGTGTGGTTTTTCATGTGTGTCCTGGAGCTTGTTCTGAGGCTAAGTCTTGAATGGTACATTTGTCTTTCTTACAGATTCGTGACCAGTTTCTTGTTTATTCAATCCATAGAAAGGTTAATTATGCTAGTGACTGTGGTTGGAAAACAATTCTTGGAAAATGCTTTGGTAACAACAGGTTGGCAGTGTATGGAAACCATCTGCTTCCTACAAATGTTAAGGTAAACTTTAAAACTTGTGGGGTTAGCAATTACAGATTGTATAGTAGTTTAATGGAGTGAAAATACATGCTGTGTTAATGCAGACTTTCTGGATCTTCTTGACACCCAGCCTAAAAGGAACACCAGTTATAAGAAGAATGGTCTTTGGGCATATCAAAACTTTGAGTAAGTCATCTTTGTTTGCATGTGTTAAGGCTAACAGAACAAGAACACCACACAAGGGAATATAGTATTTATACTGAATGTCTCCTAAGTAAATTAAGTCTCTCTGGTTTGCTCTTGCCTTGACCCACTAATGGGAACCGGATCATAGATGGAAGATTTGTTTCTCATAAAAATATTCTGTTTATTCTACAAAGGAACATAAAATGCTGTTCCTCTGACCTCATGGCATGAGCTCCTCTCAAGGGCGGCACTTGTGGTGGTTGCAGCTGCTTTGTCATAGAGCTGCCTGCTCTCCACTTCTAATGGCAGAGCTCTCCACCTCCATTCTGGAGGAGAGAAATGGAAATGGCTAATGTGCTCCCAACTTAGTAAACGCTGTTGGGGCTGCTAATCCATCACTCTAAGGGTACTCCTCAAAGAAACAGATTCTTGCTAAAACCATTCAGCTGAAGCTGAGATGGAAAATTTTAAGTAGAGTGGAACTCAGAATTATGAATGGCAATGGGGAGTGGACACAAATCATATTTGCTAATGGAAGTGAAAAATCTAATAGGTCCCTTGTGGTTTCAGCTTCATAGCAACACCTTATAATGCCTAGGACTTAGGTGGCTTTTGTCCATTACTTATTGAGGAATGGCCATGCATACATATAAATTAAGGTCTTAGGCAATCCTAAATCTATAGGTAAGTAACATTCTCCACACAACATTCTTACCCTGATTAACTATTTGTAATGCATCTGTTGAGGTCTGACAAAGCCAGAAAAAAACTGTGTTGTCTACTTCAATTTGTATATGTGAACATCTTGTAGGAATAGTTATAAAAAATACAACATACATCCCAGTCAGAAGACTGTAGGGCATAATTAAGAGCCCCAAATTTGGAATTAGAAAATATTTGTTTGAATACAGATTTTGCCACTATATACTTAACCTTGTGATGGGTTTTTAAACTCTCTTACTCATGGAATCCTCCTAATTAAAACTAGATAGATGGCAATATGTCTTACATAGGATGGCTGTATGTGAAAAACAGCTATTTCACTTTGTGACAGATACCTATTATTCCCTCTTTCTTAGTTCATCAAGCCCCAATTTTGCCTAGGTATTCATATTCATATGTGCCCTAGCTATGTGTTCAGAGAAATGAATCCTCCCCAAGCCTAAGTGGAAAATCATGATCGGTCTAAGCCAAACATGGTCATTCCACTTCCTCTGACAGAATCTGGTCTAGGCATTGGTATGTGACAAACTTCTGGACAAAGAGGCATATGAAAGCAAGGCTTTGGGGGAAGGAAGTATCTAACAAATGGATTATTCACTCTCACATAGAGCCCCCTGAAGATAAACTTCACTTTCCTTCCTCAGGATATAGTCAGCCACATGGGACACCTGAAACTACAGCAGCCAAGTAAGAGTCATGAAAATAAAGCCAAGATAACTTCAGAGAAGTCAGCGTAGATCAGTTGCTCAATGACAGGCTGAGTCTATGAGTTAATAGCCCAAGAACCACCCTATCTCTCTATGATAAACTTACTGTGTTTAAGCTACTTTTTTTTTTACTTGCAACAAAGAAATCCTATCTGATATGATGTAAAAATCAAATAAATAATGTCCTGGGAGGCTACACTATAGATATGGGATGAACCAGAGGCAAATGGTAGCTTTCTGAAGTCACGACCTAGCTTCTAGTCATCCCCCAGTCCTAGACTGTATTAAAGTGATCTGTCCTCTATTTACAGTCTTGGGGATATGGGGAACTCACTCTGGAGGAAAATGACATCACTCAGAGATTCTATAAATTCCCATACACAGTGTCTGGCATTCAATTAAACATGCCAGACAAATCAACAGGCAAGACTCAGAGAAAAATAAAAATAATAGAAAAGAACCAGAGATGACCTAGTTTGGGGAGTTATCAGACATAAACTTGAAAATAACTGTGAGTAATATGTTTCAGACAAATAGATGACAAGATAGAGAATGCAATCAGAGAACAGGGACCTATAAAAAAAATTAAATTCTATGGCTAAGAAATATAATAATATAAATTAAGAATTCAATATGGACTCAACAGTTAACCAGGAATTAGGTCAACAGAAACTAATTCAAGCCAAAGAAAGAAGAGCAAAGTAGCTGGAAAATTCAGAAAATATGAGAGATATATGAGAGATAATTAAAAGGTCTAATTCATATTGTAATATAAATTATATATAGTTCTCTCTATATATGTATATATAATTAGAGTCATATAAAGGGAGCAGAGAGAGAGAGTCAAAGGCAATATTTGAAAGTTACAGCTGAAAATTGCCAAAAATTTATAAAAGACATTAAGCCTCAGATTAAACCAGTATTTATACAAAGAAAACCACACCTAGGCATATCATAGCAAAACTACTAAAATCTGAAACCAAAAACATTTTGAAATCAGCAAGAAGAAAAAACACGTTTACTTTCAAAGAATCAGTAAGTCTGATGGCTGGTTTTTCAGAAACTGTAGAAGCTTTAGGACTATAGAGATGTTATTGTTAAGGTACTGAAGGGAAATAGCTATCAATCCCCAAATGTAAAATCAGTAAAAAAATCCACTTAAGATGAAAGCTATCCTTGGTACCCACAGAAATAACTATTTATTTCCTACCAAAAAATATGTACAAGAATAGTTATCACAAGTTTCTTTTTAATAGCCAAAATTGAAAACCAACCAGTGTCTATCAATAACAGAATAAATAAGTAAATTGTTTTATATTTGTATGGTGAGATACCTCACTGCAAGAAAGAAAAATAAACTACCACTATTTATAAAATATAGATGGATATCACAGTCCTAGCCAGAAACAAAAGTACGTATTACATGACTCCACTTATATGAAGTTCAAGAACAGACAAAACTAACTTATGGTAGGAGAATACAGAATAGTAGCTACTTCTGTGGGAAGTATGAGGGGGCTTACTGGAGTGCTATGTATGTTTGAAACCTTGACTTCAGTAACACACGTGTAAAAATTCAAGTTGAACACTTAAAATTTGTGCTCCTGAATGTAACTTAATCCTCAATATTACTTACATAAAGAAGAAAAAAGCAAAGCAAAAATACAAGCAAAGAAACAAACCCTTAGAAAATTTTTTGTCAGTAAAACCCCTGTAAGAAATGCTAAAAGTAGTTCTTCAGACAGCAGGAAAATCATCTCGAACAATGAAATGAAAATGTAGGAAAGAATTAAGGGTGATGAAAAAAGTTATATAAGTAGATAAACCTAAATAAATATTATCTTTACAAGACAGTAATAATGTTATGTGAAATCTAAAATGTATATGTTATATTGCTTCACACCAAAAACATCAGAAAGACAGCAAACATGATATAAATGTTCTAAATCTTAGCAATGTCCAGAAACTAGTAAAATACTAATTTATATTAGACCATAATTAGTTAAGAATTTTTGTTGTAATTTCTAGGATATCCACTAAAAGCCTGATAAAATAATGAATAACTAATCAGTTAATTGAGTCAAAATAGTAAAATAATAAACATGATAGAGAAAGTGGAACAAACAAATATACTAGTAAATGCATTAAATATAATTGGACTAAACATTTCAATTAAAAACAAAGATTGTTAAATTCGATGAAACAAAATGTAACAACGTGCTCCTTGTAAGAAACACTCTTTAAATGTAAAGACATAGACAGATGATGAGTAAAAGGATGGCTTCTTATGCTGGAATTCCAGAGACGCAGACTCTGACACAAGAATTTGAGTGCAAATATTATAGTTAAATATTAGGTTATGCCAGGATCATATGCAGGGGACTGGAAAAATCAGACAGAGAAAGGAAGGAATACAGGATGCACTAATGAACAGTTTAATTCTTCAGGCTACTGTAATTGAATTCTGCGATAGACAACTGAGAGGTGATATAAAATGTATAACACAGTTATCTCAGCTGAGACATTAGGAAGCTGGGGTATTTATCTCGAAACTTCCATACCTCAGTGGTGGAAGACTGCACCTGGAGAACTACTAACTTCCCCACACTTCCTGCCTGCTCCACAAGTCAATTAAAAGAAAACTGTACAAGGTGCCTTCATAAGCACTCAGTAGAATGCTTTGGCACTCTAGAAGAGTAAGTGCTAAGTAGCTACTGCCACAATTTTTAAAAATATATGATGCAAACATTAAAAAAAAATTTATGTAGTCATGCCAAAGTCAGACAATGTAGGCTTTAAGGCAAACACATTGATAAAAATTTAAAAGTCTATTTCATGAAATAAGGAAATAATTTGCGCTTACTAAAATGAACTCAACTGCATAGCTTCACAATGTATGAAATATAAATTGACACAAGTAAAAGGAGAAATAAATCTACAATCATAGAAATATTAACAGAACTCTCTTAATAATTGACGTATTGCCTGACAAAAATATCAGTAAGAAAAGATTAAGATTTGAATAACACAAATAACACATTGGAACTAATTGACAAATTAGTTCACTGCAAGTGAAAGCAATGACAGAATACACCTTCTTTTTAAGTGTACATAGAACATTTATCAAACTTGGCAATATGTTAGACCATAAACACATCTCAACAACTTCCAAACAATTAGAGTCATACAGAATATCTCCTCTGATGTCACTGTTTTATACCTAGAAATCAATAACAAAAAGACTAAATAGAAAACCCCTAAAACTAGAAATGATGCAAAATATTTCTAAATGGCCATTGTGTCAAAGAATAAGTCACAAATGAAATTAGAAAATATTTTGTATTGAATTATAATAAAACATAATATACAAAATTTGCAGGATGCTGCTAAATTAGGCTTAGATGAAAATGTGTATCCTTCCCATTCAGAAAAAAAAAAAAAAGGGCAGCTTGCTGCCAGTGCTCATTTCTTTTTATGTAAATATGCTCTTTGAGAGTGAAGGAAGTCTGACTGATTTTCAATGTGAAAATAAAATATAAAAACTGTTCTTAGAATTATTTCTAAACAGAACTGTTCACTAATCCTCATGTAACAGAAATGTATATGATGATCACTATTTAATAACTTTTTTTTCATGTGGTAAATTTCAAAGCACACAACACCACAAAGCAGAACATCACATTCTGCACAAAAGGTGATCTGGCATTCTCGTCGTTGTGCCAGCAGCAAACTTTGCAGCCACCAGCTGCATTCGGTTTCTCTGATGTTGGTGGCATGCTGTTGGGGAAATGTCTTCCAGACAGGCGAAGAGATGTGACACCAGCAGAACACAGAGGACCTCAGAGACGTTGTTGCCTTGGCTTGTGATGCTTTTCCAGCATTCTTTCCATCAAGGTCATTCTGAAGTTTGCATGGCTCATCGTGTGTTCAGGATTGTCCTTCTTGATGTAGGAGTTCAGCACTGCAATGTTTAGAAGGTGGTGAAAGAATTTCTTATATCAAACCTTGTGCCTTTTGTGCTCCATTGGATAAGAAGTGAGCATCTGATCAGCCAAGTCCACTGCTCCCATATTCTCGTTATAATCCACAGTGACATATGGCTTCTTAGTTTTCTTTCCATTTCTGTTGTCTACTTCAATCACAGTATATTGTGGAATGTTGACAACATTGTCACCTCCTTCTTGTCACACCATTTTATCTCAGGGTAAATGCTGCAACCGCAAGTGCCACTAGTGAGTATTCTTGGGGCAAATGGAAAATGGGTTAAATGCACATATTAGAAAAGAAATTTTAAAAGGCCGAAACTCAGTGATATAAGTAATTAATTCAAGAAGTAAAAGGAAGGAGATTTAAAAAAAAGAGCAGAAAATAACGAAATGAAAAAATACAATAGAGAAAATAAAGCAAAAATGATTAGATTAAAAATGAATAAACATCTAGCAAGACTGATCAAAGAGAGAGAGAAAGAGGATAACTAGTTATAAAAAAGAGTATATTACAACATACATTTTTTACCCTTTTTTAAAAAGCATACTTTTTGAAAAGATAGATAATGAGAGGATATTATGAATAACTTTATGGCAATAAATGTTAAAGTTTAAATAAAATTGCCAAATTTATTTTCTAAAAACTCCTACACTCTTTTGACAAAAGAATAAGTAGAAAATAATCTATATTTATTAAAAAAAAGTTAAATCTCTAATTTAAAGCATTCCATTAATCTCTAGGCTCAGATAGCTTCACTGGTTAGTTCTTCCACATATTTAAGAATTAAATATTATCAATCTTCTACAAATTTTTCTAGACACAGAAAAGGTGAGTTAACTTTATAAGGCCAGAATAACCCTGATACAACAACTTGGCAAAGGTATTATTGTCAGAGCAATCTCTCTCAAGATCATATAAAAATCATAAATAAAATATTAACAAGCCCAATCCAATGTTATGCAAAAATGATAATACAACAAAGCCAAGTAGGGTTTTTTTTAGTTCAATCAATTTAAGTCAGCACATTAATGAAATAAAAAATAAAATCATATGGTAATCTCAACAGAGGAAAGCATTTGATAAAATTCAACATTCTATTCTAAAAACTCCTAGCAAACTTGGAATAGGGTGAACTTTCTTAATGGGACAAATAATATTTTTTAAATACTTATATCAAATATCATACTTAAGAGTGAAATACTGAAAACTTTCTCCCTAAAATTGTGAATGAAACAAGGATACCTGATATTACCATTTGTATTTAATATTGTACTTGTTGACTTGGCTGGTACAATAATGCAAGAAAAAAATTAGAAGTAAGAATTGCTATAGAGGAAATTAAAATGCCCTTACATGTATCGTGATTGTATGCAATAGGCAATCTAAAAGAATATACAAATAGAACTAGCAAGTGAAACAAGTGAGATTGATATTAATTAATTACATAATAGTTTTCATGTAACAGTAGTAAATGGAAAGTAAAATTTTAGAAAATACTATCATTTACAATAACATCAAAGACACAAAATACCTAGGAAAAAAATTAATGAAAGAGGCAAGACTTTCACAGTCACAACTGTGAAATGTTACTGAGACAAATTAAAGAAAATCAAAATAAATGGAGGGATATACCATGTTCATGGATTTAACAACTCATACTATAAAAATGTTAATTTCCCTCAAAATTGATCTATTGATTTCATGCTATCTCACTCAACATCCCCAGCAAAAATTATTAATTTGTTTTGTGAAAAAAAGACCATCTGATTCTAAAATTTGTGTTGAAATGCAAAAGGTTAAGAATAGCAAAGACAATTGTGAAAAAAGACAATACTGGGAGATTTACCCATGAGTTTTCAAAACTTGTGTATGTCTACATTAATTAAGACATTGAAGTATTGGTGTGTTGATAGATACATAATTAGAACAGAAGAGCGAGTTCAAAAATATAATATATGGTCAATTGATTTTGACAGTTATTTCTCTGAAGTGTAGTTTAAAAATAATGATCTTTGCAATAAATGCTACTGACTCAATTGGAAATTATTATTGAAAAATGTAAATCTCAATTGTTTCTGAACAAGAAGCAACAAAAACTAATTATCAGTGAAATACAGATCTAAATATGAAAATGTAGAACATTAAAGCTTCTAGAAGAAAACAAAAGAATATACTTTTATGATCTTAGGGTAAGAAACACAGATTTATTAAACAATACAAAATCAATAACAGAAATTATAAATTATATAAAAATTAGTAACTCTTATATACCAAAAGAGTATTTAAAGAGTGGAAAGTCAAATCAGGGGGCTATGGGTAAGGAAAAAATAAAATAAATAATTAATTTAAAAAAGAAAAAGTCAAGTTACAGAGTAGGAGAATATATTTGACATATATATAGCAAAGAATCCATATCCAGATTAAAAAATAATAATAATAAACTACAAATCAAGAAGAAAGAGGCACAATCAAAATAGGCATTTCACAAAAGATGTCCAAATAGCCAATAAGCATATGAAAAGGTACTCAACTTCATTAAACATTTAAAAATGCAAATTAAAATAACAAAAACAGTACATTACACATCCAATAGACTAGGTATAAAATTTCTGACCTTACCAAACTTTGTTGAGTATGTGGAGCTACCTTCTACCTGCTGGGGAGAGAGTAAGTTATTTGAACTACTCTGAAAAACCCATAGGCAGTATCTAACAAAGCCAACAAAACAGGTACTCTATGACCCAGCAATTCAGCTCCTAAGCATACAGCCAACAGAAATGTGTTTCTGTTTTATCTGTATATCGAAAAACAAACACAATAATTTATAGATCCCAAAAAAACTGGAAATAACCCAAATGCTTTTTAACAGGAGAATGGATAAAAAATTGAATACAGCAACAATAAAGAACAAACTATACCACATGCAACAACCCGAGTAATCTTACAAACATAACTGAGTAAAATAAACCTTACCTAAAAGTATACAATAGGCAATTCCACTTATTCAATTTCAAAAACAGGCAAAACCAATTCAAGCTGTTGGAACTCAGAAGAGCAGTGACCTTTGACTAGGATGCAGCACAAGGAGTATACAGGAAATGCTCTTCGTTCTTGGTCCTGCTGCTAGTTACATAGGTGCATTGTACTTTTTGAAAATTATTCTTCACTTGTGATGTGTACATGTTTCTGTGTATATATTATATGTAATAACATGTATTAAAATAAAACAAAATAAGTGTATACTAATATGTTTGGCAAAATGAAAACTATGTAGAAACAAAATGAATATATGTGACAGTACTGTAAACAAGTTTTGATTGCTCAAGTGTAGGGATGTGATTGATTCTCAAAATATGTTTGGTAAAGAAGGAAAGAGAAAAAGAAATATACAAGGAGGACTGAAAGACAGGTCGAAAGGAAATAAAAGAGGGAAATAGAACCAGAAACTGCCAATACAGCCAAGGATGTATACACCTTGAGCAGTCTCTGCTATGCTAGCTATCAGATTCACTGACATAACCTGTACTTGCACACAAAATATAAAATTTCAGCAGTCCAATAACTCCTAAGTATCAGGCTCTGGGTTTTTCTTCAGTTAGACTTCCAGACCATATTTTTAACTTCCATCCTCTACTGCTAACACAATTGTCAGTTGTTATCTATGTAGACATATGCAAGGCTAAATAAATAACAAGACCTAAGGCTCTCCCACTTCTCAAATTTGTTTCTTAATATTTATCTTCCTTTATCTCTGATGAACAGTGAAGTTGTCACTTGATAAAGGAAAAGCAGTAAAACATAATACAACAACGTAGTTTCCTACACAGCAGTCTGGAAATGGGTCACTAGGAGAAATGTTTTCAGGGTTTGAACTTGCAGGTGAAGACAATGGGGCTCTAAAATCATATTTGTCTATGTGCTCAGTGCTAGTAACTAAAGAAAAATGTCCCTTTGCTTTCAAAGCAAACCTTAAAAGTTTCTTTCCACCATTGAGAAAGATCTCCCTATTCTGACACCTGTAGTATCCAAGATCACACTGAAGACCCCTCTGTGTGACATCTTTATCCCCCCCATGCACATCTTTCATGAAGCCAGTATTCAAGATTTCACATACCTCTTTTCAGGTATTCAGTTTCCTGCCCTTCTGAAAATTCTTATTAAAAACATGTTTGTTGCTCACCTACTGGGTGATTTTTATGGCCTATCTCAATGAATCCTCATCACATGTCTATGGGGTAGCTTATTGGTTCTCATGTTTCAGAGGAAGACAGTGATGTAGAGAGATGTTAAGGGGTGTGTTCAAGGTCATACAGATATTAAGGGGCAGAACCAGAATCTGTTGGATACTGAGACCTGTCTTCCCTTTCCACTCACTGCCTAAATCAGGCCCACATTGCATATTGCAAACTGGTATGAACATCTGGAATCTGAAAAAAGAGAGAGGAATATGAGCAACTCTAAAAAGCAGACTAAAACACAAAAAGCTTAGCACCCTGAGGCTAAATGGCCAATCTTTCATAATTCCATAGCCTCTAACACCTTAGTAATTGAATTACATTATAATTATTGAGGTTTGTTTATAATTACTCAGGTCCACTTATACATGCATTTATTAATCAAACCTTTAGTTAATATCTATCAGTTACCACATACTGGTCTAAGAACTAGGAATTCAAAAGGGACTATTATTAATGTTATTATTATTGTCATTATTATGATGATGATGACAGCATGCTGCCTACTTTCATGTACTTTATAATCTAATGGAAAGATAACCAATTAAATTAGCAACACAGTAAATGTGTTATCTGTTATAACAGGAAATTATGAGCTGGGTCATCAAAATAAAAATACAATCATGATTAGAGTTATGTTTTCAAGAAGGCATGAAAGTGGAAAATATATTTTAGATTTAAATCAAGATAATATTAAAATAAGTTTGGAACTTTTACATGTATGTGCCTTAATAATCAGAAAACTATATAGCAAGAATACTCTTTTTTGGATGATACAAAATAAATAAGAAATTATTCCAAGTGATTATCTACCTCGGTTTGGCAGTAAGATCAAAGCTCATCCACATGAGCTTTTAGGTCTGGCTGTATTTCCATATCTAGCAAGGTATTGTGTAAAATGCAAGATCTCTGGAGGCACAGGCACTGAGTATGAATATCAAATGTGTCCCAAGACTGGCTAGTTCTTTATTTTATTTCTATTAGAAAGAGCTATTCATAAGAATATTGGGCATAAGACTGTTGTGAGAACCGAGGAAGATAACATATATAAATGTACTTTGTTATGTATTTTATTAATCAGACACTTTTTGGCTGCAAGTGCCAAAAACTTAACTCAAATTAGCTTTAAAAACCGTATTTACTGACTCCAGTAACTAGGAAGGATGAAACAGATCTCTCCTCACAAGTTGCTAGGGCTTAAAGGATGCAATCTGAGTGCTCTCCATCTCTTGCCTTTGGCTTTATCCTTTCTTTTGTAAACAGTCTCCTTGAGGTTTACCTAATCTTAGCTAGCAACACTATAGGAGACAGCAAGTCTTTGTCTCCACTTCTGCATCTATAAATCCCACAGATTCTCATTGGCCAGACTTCATCCTATCCCTAACCCTCAAGTCAATTAATAGGACTAGAATAAGAGAATTTGTGTAACTGACTAAGCCTGGTCACATTTTTCCCATGCAGTCACATGTACCGTACATGAAATTGGCAGCCCTATCAGAATACTGTGGCATGTGTTCCAGTGGAGGAGCAATTCTCCAAAGAAGACAGGACAGAAACAATCATACTGGAGAGTAAAATCTATGACTACACAATCCACTACACTGAGTGTGCCTGAAGTTAAGAATTGTGGATTTCTACAGACACCTCATTAAATTCTAGCTGTGTGATTTGGCCTAGATATTTCACTGCTCTGGGCTTCATTTTCCTGATCTATAAATAACGCACTTTGCAGAGCCATTGTAAACATTAAATGAAATAATCAACCAAGGATGCTTTGTGCCTTGGACATAGAACTTCTCTGTGGGTAGCCATTATTGATAATACTAATTTTCATCTCAAAGGCATAGGAACAAAAGCCCAAAGAGGTTGTGACTTACTCTTGGCCACATCCACTGAACACCCCCATGGAGAGATCAGAACAAGCGGAAGAGCCTGGAGCCCTGCACACATCCTTTACACTCTGGGAATTGTACAAATGACTGATCAATGGTGACGTTTGGTCCTGAGGGAGACAGAGGCTCACATTTAGCTGTGCTTAAGGACAATCGTATAATAATCATAATATCTTGTGCGGCATGGTGCTTTTATTTTTCAAAGTGTTTGCCATCAATTACATCATTTTACTCTTAAATATCCCTATGAGTCACGAAAGACATTATTGCCATTAGTTGTTCTTCTTCTTATTGATTTTTAAAATGCTCGCTTGTTACAGAGCAAATACAGCCATTCCCATTTTTAAACTGTTTCTAGTGTATTTTTTCAATACATTCTGTGGTTTAGCTTTCTCTTACTCGAGTTGTCTTCAAATTGAAACATGGCAAATTTCCTTGACAAATGCACAGCAAAATGGCTTAGGAAGAGAATCACTAAGGGATGGAAGAGCAGGAAAATGCATTTTTATGTACAAAAGAAATGGATTACAAAATCTGTAATTCCCATTCTTGAATTTCTGCAGCGGCTCAAGTCAGGAGGACCAAGAGATCTATGAGCTGATATGACACCACAAGTTAGCAGCTGTTCACATGGATCCCAGGCAGTTGCCAAATGAATGCATCTCTCAACGTAAATAGAACCAGTGGAAAGTCTGGGCCTCATGAAATCTTGAAATCTGCCAAATTATTCCAGCTGCATGAAAATGAGTTCTTACCTTCTTTTCTCATCATACAGAGAAGAAGGTATGATGCAGAAAAGAGAATTCTCATCTAGGTAAAAGCCAGAAATCCCAGATTCATTCTACCACTCAGCTCTGGCATGGCCTTACTTTAGGCATGTCAAAGCCACTCTCTGAGACTCATTCACTTCTAGAGAGTGGAAATACATGAACTTCTGAGGAAGAAGGTCTGGATGTGAATCTAGATTTTCTACATTTTGACTACATGACAAGTTATTTATTTTCTGAGCTCTAGTTACATTTGAATTGCTTAGATTTGAAGATTAACACCAATCTGTAAAAACACCTAATATAGTGTTGGGCATATAGCAGAGGATTAAGAGTTATTAGTAGAACAAAATAAGCAATAAAGTTTACATAGGCTTGAAAGATATACAGATGATATATACATTTATAATTACAGAGGTATTTCTTAAAAATAAAATCAGTTATTTTAAATGATTATAAAGGAATAAGATACATCCTGCATAGTATACATTAAATGTTTTATATCATTTAGAATTCCTGAATAAATAATTGCTCTTCAAAAAAAGTAACATTGTATAAAAGCAAAGGGTAGGATCACTCTCTTCTTTCATACAATAATTATCTAAGGATCTCCTATGTGCCAAGCACTTTCATGCACATGCTACTAACAAAATATACGGTGTCTGCCTTGTATAGAAAGAACATTCAACCAATAATAAAAAAGGACTGTTCTTCCCTGGGGAAAGTACTTAGAAAGAGTGTTTGAGGAATATATAAAAGTGCTGTCAAACTCAGTCTCAACAGAATTTAGCTAGGTGAAAACAAAAAGGTAGAGAATTCTAGGTTGAGCAAAGAGCATCAATTAACCAGCTTTGAGGAAGAAGATGAAAGACATTTGGTAAGAAAGAAAGAGTCTATAGAAATCTTGGGGGGAAAAGCATGAATGAATCTCTTAATTGACAAGAGATAAGATCCTTGTCTAATAATATAAGCAGCTACCACATGATTAATGCCGATCTTTCCAAGGACTTCCATCCTTGTTTCCAAAACGATCAGTGTGCCCATCTACAAAAACAAAGCAGAGAGGAGCTTAGCTGCTAAACATGCTTTGGTAGCCAAACATTCTCATGAGTCTCTAAAGGTAACCACTTCTATAGTCCATCCAACACTTTGTGGACAACGGGGTTTCACAGTCCACTAGGCCACTTACTAGTCAGATGTCCTTGGGCAAGTCACTGAAGACCTAGACCTCAGTTTCCCCATTGTTCAATGTTGACAGTCATAAACCATTTCAGCCTTCTTTTCAACCGACCACATGAGACCAACATTTTGATGAGAGGTGTGTTTGGATGTCACCTCCTGCCCTACAATTTTATGTATTTATCATGAAGCCTGATTTTATCATCAGCCAATAACCACTTATAAAAATGAAAATATCCCTGCATAATCAGACTCTTGTGGGAATAGTAAGCGAGTTGGAACTCACTTATAAAAATCAAGTAGCAAAATGATTTAGCTGTTGGTTAACTCCAGCCTGGGCTATGCTGTGCATGGGAAATGAGCTCAGCTTTGAATGCAGCAGATTCTGCTTGTTTGGGTAGTACTTCTAATCGAAGCATGTACGTATATTTTCCCTCAATCACAGGAAAACAAATTGGCAGTGGCATATTGCTTTGATATTTCAACAATTTGCTGGATTTCCATCCCTCCAAGATATCCAGCATCCAAGTCATGCTAAACAGAAGCATGAAGCATGAGTAGGCCAAACTAGAGAAACCAGTATTTATGAGCCTATTCGAACCTTGTAAAGATTTGATCAGCAAATATGCCAATTGATACACCATGTTTTACAACTGCAGTTGTCTTGGTCTATAAAACTTATTATAATTCTGAAGGGATTTCTGCTTTCTTTGCAGACATTTCTGTTTTACTGCCACCGAGTGGTCTAGATTAAAATTGGCAGTTTTGTTGCTTGGAGTTTCGAGAAGCAAAAGAAAGAAGAGTATTTTTATTTTTAAGTATAAGATACAAATAAATGATCCAGAAAGGCATCTTTCTCTCCTGCCTGATTCATTCTATTTTCTCCATCTAAATCATCTAAATATCTCCCCCAGTATACACACACCCACACGCGCATACACACACACACACATCCCATTCTATTTTCTCTATCTAAATCATCTAAATACCTCCCCCAGTACACACACACATCCCACACACATTATTCCAGCCAAAATCTAGAAGACCCTAGTATGGATGATGGCCTATAGTATCAATGGGCTATTATACCTGTGTGATCTTGACTAATTCATTCTACTTTTCTTTTCTACAACAGAGATTTGGTGAAACACTATAAGGGTTTTGTTTTTTTTTTCAGCTCTTCTTCCCCATCCACTCCCTAGGTGGTATTTCTGATGTTTTAATATTATCCCATTTGTTATAAGCTGGATTATGACCTCCAAAAATTTGTATGTTGAAGCCCTAATCTCCAAGTACCTCAAAATATGACTATATTTGGAGATATGGAATTAAGAGAGGTAATTAAGTTAACATGAAGCCGTTAGAATGGGCTGTAATCCAATCTGACTGGTGTCCTTATAAAAAGAGGAAATTTGTACACATAGACTACAGAGATGCAGGCACACAGAAGAAAGACTATATGAGGATACAGCAAGAAGGCAGCCATCTGCAAGCCAAGGAGAGAGACCTCAGAAGAAACCAAACCTGCCAACACCTTGATCTTGGGCTCTGGCCTCCAGAACTGTGAGAAAATAAATGTCTGTTGTTTAAGCCACCCAGTCTGTGGTACATCATTATGGCAGCCCTAGCAAACTAATATGCCATCTGAAGCAAAGATATCAAATAATACATAATGTATAGACTTTGAAGCAAGCAACTGGTGTCTTGTTAAAGAGTATGTGGCATGAAATTGCCTGAATCTCCAATCCTAAGAGGTCTCAAGATGATTGAAAACTAAAAGCTCCATCTGTGTAACTATATATACCTACATAGACATGTATATTTATATATGTAAATATGTATATTTACATATATGGATATATATTTATATATGTAAGTATATATGTACATACACATGCATATATGCTATATATACACACACACAGCTTTGAGAGTGAGACAAACTTAGGTTCAAATCCAGGCTCTGTCACTTATTAGCCGGGTGGCCTAGGCAAAATACTTCTCTAAGATTTATGACCCTGTTTTATATGACAAAATTGGAAAATAACAAAGTGTAATGGTATAATGAAGTAATACATATGTATTAAAGGGAGTAATCTTTCTTCTTCATAATCCATACTTATACCTCACGTATTTATTAGTCAGTGTTCTCCATAGGGACAGGACTAATAGGATAGATGTATATATGAAAGGGAGTTTATTAAGGAGTATTGACTCACATAATCACAAGGTGAAGTCCCACAATAGGCCATCTTCAAGCTGAGGTACAAGGAAGCCAGTGTGAGTCCCAACACCTCAGGGAAGCTGACAGTGCAGCCTTCAGTCTGTGGCCAAAGGCCTGAGAGCCCCTGGCAAACCCCTGGTGTAAGTCCAAGAGTCCAAAAGCTGAAGAACTTGGAGTCTGATGTTAGAGGGCAGGAAGCATTCAGCATGGAAGAAAGATGAAGGCCGGAAGCCTCAGCCAGTCTAGTCTTTCCATGTTCTTCTGTCTGCTTTTATTCTAGCTGCACTGGCAGCTAATTAGATGGTGCCCACCCAGATTGAGGGTGGGTCTGGCTCTCCCAGTCCACTGACTCAAATGTTAATCTCTTTGGGCAACACCCTCACAGACACACTGGAGAACAATACTCTGCATCCTCAATCCAATTGAGTTGACACTCAATATTAACCATCACACCTCAGATCATGAAGAAAATAATTTCCACTCCTTTCTACCCCTTACTCAGGTCGCCCCAGCAGGAGGTGCAGTTAATGCTAATCCTGAAAACTGATGTAGATTTGGACCTGTTTTCACAAGGAGAATGGCCCAACATTAAAGGGAAACAGCCTCTCTTTCCCCATTACTTTCTGCTGATGACTTAGCCTGTGACCCAACAAGCCCCCGGCTAAGTACACGTACTCAGCATCTGCTCTACAGAATCAGCTAGACCCACAGTCAGGACCTAATCCTAACTTGGAGGAAGTAGAAAAGATCCCAAATCTATTTTTGCCAAAGGGCCCTGATCTTTAATATCTACTGGGCTATAAATAAAGATGACATTTTGGCTCCAATTTGACTCCATGTTTCAAAGTCTCTACTAGTTGGAATCCAATGGAATGAAGCTTCTAGTCTTCTGACAACAGGGACCAAGAAATCAGTGGTGTCACGGAGTAAATATGGGTTCCTCAGGAAAACACTGAGTTGATCTTGGCAGAGAATCATTGCCCTGGACAAGCACACTGGGATGTCCAGTGGAACTTCTTTTTCTTATTATTTTTTAAATTTTTGTTATTTATTTATTTTTAATTCAATAGTTTTTGGGGAACAGGTAGTTTTTGGTCACGTGGATAAGTTCTTTAGTGGTGATTTCTGAGATTTTGGTGCATCCATCATCTGAGCAGTGTACACTGTACCCAATGTGTAATCTTTCATCCCTCACCCCCTCCCACACTTCCCCCCAAGTCCCCAAGTTTATTATATCATTCTTATGCCTTTGAGTCCTCATAACTTAGCTCCCACTTACAAGTGAGAACATATGACGTAAGATTTTTCCATTCCTGAGTTACTTCGCTTAGAATACTGGTCTTCAACTCCATCCAGGTATATATATATCTATCTGGTAGATATATATATATATATATATATCTGGTAGATATATATATACCTGGTGTGTGTGTGTATATATATCTGGTATATATATATATACCTGGTGTGTGTATATATATATATATATATCTGGTAGATATATATATATATATCTGGTAGATATATATATATATATATCTGGTAGATATATATATATATATCTGGTAGATATATATATATATATATCTGGTAGATATATATATATATATCTGGTAGATATATATATATATATCTGGTAGATATATATATATATATATCTCACAATCTATTTATCCACCCATTGGTTGACGGGCATTTAGGAAATGGAACTTCTTTTTATGAGATTTTAAGAGCAGTAAGCAAAGGCAAAAAGAGAAAACCACAGCCTCATTGTGCTCAGCATATAAAGTGGGAGAAAGATCCCATTCTACTGAGGCTTTATGGCTTCCTATAGAAATACTGGTTCCAAGGCAGCACAGAAATGTTTAGTCCCATCAGATTAATAATTTTTCATCTCAACACAGTAGCATCCCGACAAGGAGCATGTGAAAGAAGGAGATGTGTTTTGATAGCCACAATGAATGAATGGAGTGCACTCTTGGCATTCATTTCCAAGGGCTGGGGTTGCCAAATGTCCTGCAATGTTCTTGACAGTCCTGCAAAATGAAGCATGTCCCACCTAGAATGCCAGTACTACCTCCACCAAGAAGCACCACTGTAACTTGAGGATTTGGGCAATTATTCATTCTATTTCGTTCTTTAATATAACATTTTCTGAGCTCCATATCAGGCCCTGAGTGAAAATCGATGGATCTGATATTAACAACATAGTCACCCATAAATTTCAAAGCATACCAGTGGATATTCCATGCATTCTCATCAACACACCAACACTGTACTTTGGTTGAATTTTTTTTTCTCCCTTGGGAATATCATGGAAGCCACTTGAGAATAACACTTTGAGGGTGTTCTCCAGTAGGATGTTATTATAATTACCTGCCAAGGATGCTATGGTCCAAAGTGCTCAAAGCATCAAACCCTCAAGAGACTACAACAGACCTGCACTCCTTATGATTCTCACAGTGTTGAGGCCACACTGGGCTTTATGCCAAAGAATGGGAGACACCTTTGCTTTTCCCTTTTATGTAACTCTGTCACCTGTTCACCAAACAGGTGCTGCTTGTGTTCTCGTGTCTCAGAGTCTCCGCACATCACTCCTTTATCATCCACTTGTAGCTGTGTATAGAATAGACTGGGGTACATGAGCAGGATACCTAAATTTCAGATAAACACTCTAATGTCCAACCTTTTGCAGACTCTGTCCTAGATACCACATAAAACCACATTATTTTTCTCCTTCAACAACCCTTTTCCACCCCCAGAAAAAAAAATCCCTCATATAAATCCGCTCCCTAAGGCTTTACTTACCAGTTCAATTTATCAGATACATGTAAATCCTAGTTTAGGATCAAACTGGAATGCCCCCTCCTACTACATGTGAATTGAATTAACTACACTTTCTTATACCTGTTGATGATTTACATAGATTAGATAAATAGAGGACAGATCCACTGACAGAGAGAGGGAGGGAGGAAGGAAGGAAGGGAGGGAGGGAGGGAGGGAGGGAGGGAGGGAGGGAGGGAGGAAACAAAGTGGGTGGGTGCTTGGCAGACACCAGACTCCCAATTAACTTTAGCTATTATCATTAATACATGTTGCTACAACTCTGCTATCAATGTCATTTTAAAAATGCAGAAACTGAGGCTCAATGTCACAGGCAATTAGTCCGTAGCTTTAGGAGTCTAACTCATTGCTGACTCCAAAGTTTAGGCACTTTTGATTAAATTCTATGAGCTCTACATTCCACTCTATGTAAAATTCAGCTATTTTGAGACCATGGAACAATGTATCATATATGGAAGACTGTATGTATACCCATTACGTAGTTGTGCTTCATTCTGTAAGCATGGGTTCCTCTCTCATCACATTCTAACAAGGAGGGTAAACTGTCATGGTTGGACTGCAGTGTGCAACAAGGAGGGTAAACTGTCATGGTTGGACTGCAGTGTGCAGCTGAAGCCAAATGTCATGTCAGCTGCATGTCAACAAAGCCTATGTCACACTTGACATACACCAGTTTATGCTATTCTAGAGATAATAACAGGCAGATTATGGAAATAAGTAGGTATCTTTCTTCCACATGTATTGTGGGTGGATCAACTGTAAACAACGTTTTCTTTATTTGAAAGTGGTAAATGCAACAGATGGGAAAATTTCTGTTAATAATATATCAGCAATCATGCATATCTGTATTTTGTTTGTAAATATAAACTTGTTCTGAATCATAGTGAATTTTCTGCAAGTGTGGGTGTGGTTAACATTACTAGGGCTCATTATTATCCACTTCTCTCTTTTCAGGCACAGGGAGACTGTGCCCTTTTTAAGGTATAGGGCTGTCATTGATTCAGGCCAATGGACTGCATGCAGCAACAATGTGTGTGTCTCTCCTAAGGCAAAGCATTTCATTCCAGGTGGGTAACCTTCCAGCACTTTCTTGTCTTGCCACAGGCATCATGGTAGCATGTGTTGAGAGGGAGGTGCTGTAGGGTGCACAGAGACCAGATTGTTGAGCCAACACATGGAGGATAATCATCCTGGAGAATTGCCCAAATCCACAGCAGAATTTGTGTGAATGAAAATTGCATTTTTGGTTTCTTAAGCCACGGAGCTGTAGGTGTTGTCTGTTAACACAGTGTAACTTGGCCTCTCCTGATTAACACTATGGATGAGGTTATTTCATTCATATTGTAAGTTAACACATACATCTCTCTGTTGTAGTCAAAAGTAACATATGCATTGTCATCTGATACTCAAACTCTACAATCTGGCCCAAACCTACTTTAGCAATTTTGTCTTCTGAATTCTCCAAATGAACCTAGATGTGATTCCTTGGCCACATCCCATTTCTTGCTTTTCTATGTCTCCACTTAATGTTATTCCCCTGCTTAGTGTATTATCTTCCCTTCTCATATGTCAATTACTACATGTCTTTTAAAGATTCAACTCATCTGTTAACTCTACAAAGAAGTCTTTCCTAATCCTACAATTATGAAGTAATTTCTCTTTCCTTTGAATTTTCATATTTATTTTTTGTTACTCTTCCTTACTTTATGTTGTATCTAATGATTATTTATGAGCATGTTTTTTCCCTCCGGCTGGTAATCTTTAGAGGGGCATTTGAATCTGATTCATCATTGTATCCTCAACAACTCACCATGGTGCCTTAAAATTACATTCAATAAATATTTGATAGATGTAGAGGTACCAGTATTATGAATTTAGTAAGTTTTATCATAAAATCAATTTGGGCCACTTGGGGGTGTCAAGAAGCATTCCTTTACTCAATCATTTTTTCTTCCCCTTTTAAAAAAGGGAGAGCATTATCCTAACCAGGCCATGTTTATTAGTGGGTGGGGATATCAGGCATTGAAAAGTCCTGCATATACACAAGGCCCGTCTTCTAGGCCATGAAGCAGTATCAGGAAGTAGAGCAGGCTTTCTTCTTGTCCCACAAGCATTTAGGAAATGGGGATTTTATGGCCCTTAGGCTTAGGGGCTGGTGGTAAGAAAATTGGAACTGAAAGAAGAGTATCAGCAGCACTAACAGTTATTGGGAATGTAGAGTGTACCAGGACCTGTGCTAACTGCTTTATGTATGTTACATCACTTGCTATTTCCAAGAGCAGCAGGGAGATGGTATCACGTGGTGGATAATGCATAAGGTCTGTAGCCAGACTGCATATGTTTTAATTCCAGCCCCATCACTACCTGAAATCTTGGACAAGGCACTTGACTTGTCTCTGACTCAGTTTCCTTAATTAAAAATAATACTCCCTACCTATTATGATAATAAATGTGTTGATAAATAAAAAATACTTAGAAGAAGGCTTGTACATGATAAATGCACTATAAATATTGCTTTAAAAAAGAATGATATTGCTGTTATTATACTTGGTTTATAGATTAAGGTACTAAAGCATAAATGCTAAGCTCATTGCCCAAGTACATCAAGGTAATAATTAGCAGAGCAAAGATTTGAATCCAAACCTTCTAGCCTCAGAATCAGCATTCTTAATTCTTCTACCATACAGCCACAGGCCTTCAGCATCACTGGGATAGAATGTTACAAGGAATATTAATGCTCCACCTGGCTGGGTAGAAGAATGGCCAGACCCGATAACTTGTGAGGTGTATTTCAACCTTGAGATTCTCTGTCTTAATCTGCTCAGACTACTATAATAAATATACCATATACTGGGTGGGTTATAAACAACAGAAATTTATTTCTCATGGTTCTGGAGACCGGGAAGTCCAAGATCAAAGTGCAGCAGATTCAGTGCCTGAAGAAGGCCTGTTTCCTGGTTCATAGACAGTCTTCTTCTTGCTGTATTTTCCCATGGTGGAACAGGCAAGAGAGCACTCTGAAGTGTCTTTTATAAGGACTCTAAACCCATTCATGAGGGCCCTGCCCTCATGAACTAACCTCCTCCCAAAGGTCCCATCTCCTAATACCATCACCTTGGGGGTTAGGATTTCAACATATAAATTTGGGGGAATACATTCAGTATATAGCACTGTAGTTCTATTCACAGATGTTAAAACTTAAAGGCAGGTAAAGTTCTTAATAATCTAGAGCAGGGTAAGCTAATGGCAGAGGTGGCCAGATGGTCTTTATGTGGTTAGAACTTCTGCTCTGTGGTCATTCTCTTGAACTTTATTACAACCACATTTTCCAGGCCACTATTATTATACTATAGAATTTTAAAACATAATGCTCCAAGGAGACGCTTTAGAGTCAGGCATATGTGAATTTGAATCATTGCACTACCATTTATTTGCAGTAAGATCTTGGGCAAGTTATTCAACCTCCTATCAGGTTAACCTCTATTGGGTTCCTGTACCCTATAACTGTCTGGGTACTAACTCTTCCAATAGCTCCTACTAACAATTTTGTACATGATTCTACCACCCACCAGCTCCATCCCCCAATACAATTCATTGGTTCAGATATTTCCTGACCAAGCTTGGCTGACCATAATTTCTTCTGTAGCAAATGGAACTAAGAAATTCCAGATTTTGCCAGCTCCTTGGGTAGAAATGAAACTTGTGAATTATGATTAGTGACTTTCTTTCTGGTGTTTATTTATGAGCATGTTTTATCCCCCAGCATGTGGCCTGGGGGATGAGAAAACGCTAATGTGTGTTACAGAGAAGAATAAATGAAGCTGATACATAGAGTAGCAGAGACAAGAGTCCTAAAAAAATTCCCTGCCATAGTCCCTGACTGTTTCAGAGGCCTGGGTTCATTTCTGTACTTAGTTTCATGAGAAATTCCTTTTTTGCTACAGTCGGCTCTAGTGGAGTTTCAGCTATGTACAACCAAGGTCCTGGACAATCCAACACTCTGAGATTAGATTCCTCATCAGTAGAACAGAGAAAATAATACCCTACATCCCTTATAGGATCATTACTGAAATTAAATGAAGTGTCACATATAAAGTGCCTCATCCAATGACTAGCACATAGTAAACCTTAAATAGTAGCTGCTATGATAATATGCTTATCAAAATCACATTATACTATTAAAAGTCATCTATCATGTTTATTTTCTCTCGTGTATGTAATATACATTTGTGATCACATACTATGTACTATCACTGTGCTCAGAATGGGCTATGTGGGGAGTAAGACATAGTATTTATTTATCATCAACAATTGAGCAGGTGAGAAAGATTCTAAAGTCATAATTACTATCGAAATAGTAGATTCAATAAAACTGCTGGTTTACTGAAAAGAATGAACCATCTGACTGGGGGCGTTGAGGATAAATGCCTTTGCAGGGTCAGTAACACCGACATGATCTTAAAAGTCAGAAACCGAGTCACACAAAAGACCTTTCAGGCAGAACAATGACGAAAACACTCAGCAGAGGCACGTGGGGATCAAACTCCAGGGAAGGTTGCAGAACACCAGTTAACTGCAGCTGAAGTTCATTGGGTTGGGAGAGAACGTGGGACATGAATTTGGGGAGGTGAGCAAAGCCAAACCAAAGAGGCCATAATGAAGAACATGAACTCTAGTGTTCTTCAGCACTGTAAGGTGACTAAGGTTAATAATAATTGATATGTATTTTCAAACAGCTAGAAGAGAAGTTTTGGGATGTTTTCAACACAAAGAAATAATAAGTATTTGAGCCGATGGATATGATAATTACCCTGATTTAATCATTATACATTGTACACAAGTATTGAAATATTACCTTTACCCCATAAAATATGTATAAGGAAAGAACACTAATAGCAGTAAACTCTTGCAGTACCAAACGCTATTCTAAACATGTAAACTCATTTTATCCTCACATTATTGTACATACTGGTATTATTCATGAAGAAATAAAGTCACAGAAAGGCAAGGTAGTTGCCTGAAATAACATCATATTAAATGGAAACCAGGTATTGAACCCTGTTAAGGGTTGAATGGTGTCCCTGCCTCCCAATTTATTTGTTGGAGTCCTAGCTCTGACCATCAGATCTCAAATGTGACCTTATATATATGTAGGGTGGTTGCAGAGGTAATTAGCCCAATATCACTTGTGTCCTTATACACAAGGGGAAATTTGGACACAAACACACACACACAGGGAGAACACCATGTGAACATAAAGACGGAGATCTACAAGCCAAGCAACATCACAGACTTCCTGCAAACCCCCAGAAACTAGGAGAGAGGCATGGAACAGATCCTCCTTCACCATCATCTGAAAGAACCAACCCTGCCAATACCTTGACCTCAGACTTCTAGCCTCCAATAACTGTGAGACAATGCATTTCTGCTCTTCAATCTCACTTTGTGGTACTTCGTTATAGCAGCCCTAGAAAACTACCACAGGGCCCAAAGTTGGCCCATCTAATCAGTATGCTACACAGTCTTGTTTTTCCAGAGCCAAGAGAGCATTTTAAGGAGAAAAGAAACTTGACCATATTTGCATTCTATTTAAAGTCGGCCTGCCTTTGCTTGTCTTTTTACCTGAAGTCCCCCATTAGTCATAAAGATTAGTAGCTTGGGTCCTGCATGTCTCTTGGAGAAAAAACAAATGTAACACCCCCATATCTTTGTAATACATCTCAGTTTAACATCAGTATTTGCCTCTCCTCTATTTGGACAAGAGACTTCACTGCAAAATGCCTCATTTTTATAGATCTATGATTAGACTGTTCAAAAGAGCAGTTCTTTTTTGCTTCCTGTTTATAAACTCATTATACTTTGACTTACAAGGGCAAAAACAAAACATTGGAGACCATTTTTTTTCCTCTTCCTTACTCTGTTTGATGGTAAATGTAAAATCCTGAAGTTTTAGGAGGGGGCATTCTTTGGTCCCCTTATTACAGCTATTCGTCTTTCTTTGGGAAGAAAGGAGAGAGTGCTGACTCGGATGGAGATGTTTCTTTGGAATCTTTCTCTGGTGACTCGTAATCTAAAGCTGTTGAATTCAAGGAAGGCAGTTTTAACCACAGTATTTAATCTTATGGAGACATTTATTGCACAGCTTTTTGTTTTGCCTTGTTTAATATAAACCACTGGAGAGATGTTTCGTGGTTGTGTCATTTCATAAAGCTGAGTGTAAAGTAGAAAATAGCAGCTAAGAAAAGACCACTCCTTAGGAATTCTGTCACAGAATCTGCATTCTGTAAGGAATGAAGAGCCTTAAAACAGCAACAATAAAAATATTATCATTAATACATATTTGTAGTAACAATGGCTAACTAACATCCACAGAGGAAGTAAGGAGGAGGGGCTGGAGGGGCTATAGAGGCTACTTCCAGAATCAGGCACACCTGGATATTTTATTGTGCTTCAGACTTTTCCTAGCTACATTCCCTTCTGCAAGTTCTTTATCTTCTCTAAGCCTCAGGTTCCTAATCTCTGATATGAGAATATTAATAGTCTTTTTTCATAAGGTTGTTATGAAGATGAAATGGAATGTTGAATGAAAAGCTCTTAACTCAGTGTCTGGCACATACTAAATATTCACTAAATATTAGCTGCTATTGTTATAAACAAGAATATAATTTATTATAAGCCTGTTGCATGTCAGGGGCCTCCAGGTACATTATCTCTAATCCTGATAACAACCTTAGAGGGTAATTATTATTTTCTCCACCTTACAGATAAAAGAGTTAAATTACTTCTTCGAGGTCACTTAGCAGAAGTTCCCTCGGGTCTGAAAAATAGATCAGATTTCACCTGAATACCATCAAACTGGTAGAAGAGCTGCCCAATAGAAAGCCTCTCACCAATGCCACTATATTTCAAGTTGGCATTTGTAAAACCTACGGAGTCAAGATAAGGTCAAAGGATAGTCTTTAGTAGAATAACTAATTTGATCGAAACCGATTTGCTCCTTCAAGCTTTATCACAGAATTTATAGGAAAACTCAAAATGCCATCCAATCAATTAACTGTATCCTATAGATAAAATTTAATAACCTGAAGTTTAAGAGTCTCTATGTTAGGTCTCTTTGGGTAAAGATTAATGACAGTCATCTCAAAATATTATAAACAAAAGGGATGTTTATTACTCGTGTGTTTGAGAGTTCTGGAATCTCTAATTTCAGGCATAGCTGGATCCAGGCTTTTTGCTTTCCTCTCCTTCCCCACACTGGCTCCATTTTCAGCTCTGCTTTTCTCTGTTGGCTGAGTTCTTCCTCCTCTCTGAAAAATTGCAGTATGTGTTGATACAGATATCAACACCTTATCCTCACAGTCTAGTAATCTTAACAGATATAAACTTTTTTCCTCCTACATGTGTGTACAAATGATCCTTGAACAACACAGGTTTTAACTGTGCAGGTGCACTTATAGGCAGATTTTCTTCCAGCTCTACTACCTCCAAGACAGCAAGATCAATACCTCCTCTTCCTCCTCCTCTTCAGCGTACTCCATGTGAAGATGTTGAGGATAAAGACCTTTATGATGATAACTTTCACTTAGTAAATACATTTTCTCTTCCTTATGATTTTCTTAATAAGATTTTCTTTTCTCTAGCTTACTTTATTATAAGAATACATTATATAATACATATAACATACAAAATATGTGTTAATTTATGATGTTATCAGTAAGGATTCCAGTCAACAGCAGACTATAAGCAGTTAAGTTTTGGGGGAGTCTAAAGTTACACGCAAATTTTCAGCTGCATGAGGAGTCATCACCCCTAACCTCTGTATTGTTCAAGGGTCAGGTGCATTGGTCATTGATAAGAACTCTGGCCTTCTTAAGACATAGAGTATAATCAAGCAGCACTTTGATTGAAAATGCCCACAAGGACTCCTTGAAATAGGAAAAGAGATTCCCAAAGAAAGCATTCATTTCACAGAAAGAAAGAATAGGCAAGCGTTTTAGGTAGACAAAACTCCCACCTGTACCATTTTCATTATAGTATTTTTTAGAGAGAAATTTTAATACTTAATTTTGGTTCTATTCTCCTTCATTCATTTGGTCAAAAAATTTTGTAGAGCACACTATAATCTAGACACTGTTCTGGATATTTAACAAACACAGAGAAGAAAAAGAAAAGAAGAGTCCTTCAATAGCATGACGTTAAATTTTCCCATGGATAATATAATAAATTACCACACACAAATGTATTGTCTTACATTTTTGAAGGTTAGAAATCCAAAATCAGTCTCACTGGGCTAAAGCCAAGGGGTCAGCAGAATAGATTCCTTCTGGGGGTCTTGAGTAGAATCAGTTTCCTTGCCTTTTCTAGCTTCCAGAGGCCGTCTGCATTCATTGGCTCATGATCCCTTCCCCAAATCCCTGTACCCTCTTGCCTCCATTGTCACATTTACTTCCTCTTCTGTCATCAAATCTCTCTCACCTCCCTCCTATAAAGACACTCGTGATTACATTTAGGGCTCATCTGAAAAATTTAGATAATCTTCTCCTCTCAAGTTCCTTCACCTAATCACATCCGTAAAGTTCTTTTTGCCATGGAAGGTAATATTCACAAGTTCTGGGGATTAAAAGGTGGACATCTTGAGGGAGGGGCATTATTCAGCCCTCTACAGCATAGCACGAGAAGCCCGGACAAACAAAGCAAATAAATACCACACTCTCAGACAAAGACACACATATTTCCTAAGAGAGAAACCACAAGTTATAGATAAGATGAAGAAGCCACTTTCAGCTCTGGAATCCAGTTTGGCTTCTTCCAAAATAAGAGCAAACATTTATATTGTTCGTTATGTGTCAGGCATTCTTCTAAGTTCCTTTCTTATATAACTCGCTTAAACTTCACAAAAAGTCATCCTCATTGTATAGAAGAGGAAACTAAAGCACAAAGATGTTAAGTGATTTGCCCAAGATTACACTGAACTAGCAGGGCAAGGATTTGAACTCAAAGTGTCTGATTCCCAAGTTCACATATCATTTGAGATCCAACTTAAAGAATGGATAGGCAGGCTGACACAGTGAGAAATGGAAGGGCATTATAGGCAGAGGAAACAAAGTGAACAAAGGCACTGAGGCAGAGATATGAAAGGGAGATTCAAGCCAGTGAGTAGACTGGGTTGGATGCAGCATAACAAGCCTAGGAGAAGTAGTGGGAGATCAAGCTAGAGATCTAGCTTGAAGTCAGATAGTGGAAGGTCTTGAAACCACAGACACCTGCTGTGGCTGATGAGATCTTTCAGACATTTGAGTAGAGGAGGGGGCTTGTCAGAGTTGGGCCTTGGGAAGACTGATCTGGAAGCAACGTGAAGGCTAGGAGGGAGGAGTGAGAAGGGAGCTGTCCCCGCTTCTCTGCTCCCTTAACACTTTCTATATCATAGAATGTGGCTGTGTGTCTCACCCTCTAGAGAGTGAGCCCCTGGAGGGGAGCTGAGTGTGCTGTCCACCTCTGGCTGCATGTGCCAGTGGGTGATATATTCACCTGTAAAGCACAGTACAGCTAGAGGTTAGGAGACAGGGGAACAGATGCTGGAGCTGCTGCTGCCTATGTTGATGCAAATAACAATACCGTTTGGGAATCAATCTAAAGTGTCTTTGCCTGCATCAGCTGAAGTTTCTTTTAGCATAATAACAACTGTCTGGAAATGTAGGATATGCAGATCTATATTCTAATCTTAGCTCTGTACTTGCTTTTGCAGGATTTGGAGTAGTTTATCAATACCCCAACTTGTTTCTTTTCTCTTTAAAATAAAGTAAAACTATTTTGTTTATAACTATTAACTTGTGAGGTGAGAGTTATCCAGCTTGTCATAGGGATCTGGCATAGAGACAGTACTCAACGTTATTATTATCAATCTATAATATTCTGGTTTTTTTGTTTCTTTGTTTGTTTGATATGGAGTCTCGCTCTGTTGCCCAGGCTGGAGTGCAGTAGTACCATCCTGGCTCACTGCAAGGTCCACCTCCCAAGTTCAAGCAATTCTCCTGCCTCAGCCTCCTGAGTAGCTGGGATTACAGGCGCGCACCACCACGACCGGCTAATTTTTTGTATTTTTAGTAGAGACGGGGTTTCACCATGTTAGCCAGGATGGTCTCAATCTCCTGACCTCGTGATCTGCCCACCTCGGCCTAACAAAGTGCTGGGATTACAGGGGTGAACCACTGAGCCCGGCCGATATTCTTATTTAATTTAGTCACCAAATCGCAGTTAGGACAGTGTTATTATTTTGCCCCGTTTCACAGATGAGGAAACAATCTCAGGGAAAAGAAGGGATTTACTCAAGCCATACAGTGGAGACGTCTGGATTTGAACCTACTGTGTTGGAATCTCAACTATGTGCAAACTCACAAAGGGAAATGAAGCCTTCGGAGGAAGGGCGGGACAAGGGTGACCACACAGGTGAGCGAGATGGGCTTCTAGAAGGACGCCCGCATATCTCTGAGGAACAGAGAAGGCACAGATCAAAAACACCTAGGCTCTTCACCCGTTGGCAGCCAGAGCCTGGGTCCATT
Organism: Homo sapiens; assembly: GCF_000001405.40. NCBI lineage: Eukaryota > Metazoa > Chordata > Mammalia > Primates > Hominidae > Homo > Homo sapiens. The sequence goes on along the minus strand of NC_000001.11, from coordinate 60,073,917 downwards.
GCCTAGGCAGTGGAGAAAAACCTGGTCCCCGCCCAGAAACAGCCTTCAGCGTCCTTAGCGACCAGGGCGGAACAGGCGCCGCCCGCGATGCGGGCCCTGTGATTGGCCGGATTCCTGGGCTCGGTCCCCACGCCCCGTCCCGTCCCCGGGTCTGAGAGTGTCAGCTTCCTGGGGAGAAGCACGGACCGCGCACCTCTGAGCTGCCAGGGTGGGGACGCTGCCCTAGCGGTAAGCCCCCCGACTCTGTTCTCTCCGGGCAATCAGGGCCGACACGCAGCTGCTGGGCAGGGAGGGGATTTGAGGATCACGAGTTCCGGGTCTGGAAGATTCCAGACAGGTGCAAAGAGGCTGCAGGTCCCCGGGATGAGGGGCTGCCCTAGCACAGGTCTTTAGTATTGGACTTTTGGGAAGAACCCTGGCCTAGACATCAGACCCAAGTACTGGAAACAGTCCCGTCCTTCATTCCTCTGTGACCCTTGTCAAATAACACACCCTCTCTGGGCCTTAGTTTTCCAATCTGTGAAGGAGCCTTTGGAGTAGAATGATTTCTAAAGGCCTTTCAGCCTCTGGGTGGTTCTAAAAGGGAGTGTTCAGCTGTGGCCAGATTTACTGAACTTCTGATTTTCCCTTGGCATCACTCTGTTTAAACACCTTGTGCAGGAGTTCAATTTCAGATTCATTGTATTGTTGTAGAAAGAGATCAGTGATAACAACAAAAGTCTGTCTGTCTTGTGTACAGTCTCCCTTCAGATGCATTATCTCCTTGGATTCACCCTCAAGTCCCTGAGAACAGACCTAGAATTACCCTGATCTCATAAATGGGGAAACTAAACATCAGAACTGAATATGGATTCTTCATATGTCCCACTAATGCCCTTGTTTCTGCTCTGACCTCACTGGAATTCCATCCTATGTCTTGTAGTACAGGAAGGTAGAGTCACCTAATGATTCAGTAGATCTGCTGTACAGACCTCTTAGGTGAGATTCCCAAGTCGGCTAATTACTGGTGATGTGATGTGATGTGAGTAAGTCATATAGCTACATTTTGCTTGTTTCCTCAACAGTAAAACAAAAATGATAATAGTAGTTAAAAATATCTTTCTCATGCCTTTGTTAGGAGTGTTAAGTGAGGTAATATAGGTGAAACACTTTGTCCTGCTATTATTATTGCTTGTTGTTATTGGCAAGGATGATGCAGTTCCCTAATGGAAAATCAAGAGGAACAATTTACTTATTTTCACCCCTAGGGATCTGAAGGGATTTTGAAAGGAATCATGTCTTCAGCCTGGAAGACTCCCCGTGGATCAGATGCAATGCCTGAGATCATGGTGAAAATCATTGGAAGTAAACACTTTCAATACCTCGTGGAGAAGCCAAAGATGTAAGTCCATATTTGAAAAATATCTATGTTGCTTGGATGATAATGAAGTTTTATTGTTTTGTTTTCACCCAGAAATTTAAACTTAAAAAATGCCATCCATGGAAAACGAAGTCATTAAGATGCAACAGTAGAGGTAAAATCGTGTTGATAACTTCCATGTGCACTGTTTTCCTGATATTTTTCATCTTTATAATTCCCCATACTCCTTAATTACTTGGGCTGATTTTCCAAATAGATGGGAAATATGAGCATTGCGACATTTATAAATATTAATGGAGCACTGCTGCCTTTTCTCATCGGGCTTGTAATCTACCACATGTACTAATTTTGGGGAGAGTGGGGGAGGTTTAATAGTCAATTTGTTGTGAATTACAGGAGTAGGATTAATACAGAATCATAAATTGTAAGGTTTTCACTTACTCCTGTTTGTATTTGATACTCCTCTAAGCTTGGGCTTCTCAGATCATGGCTAAGATCTCTTTCTTCTATTCCAAACCCATCAGAGTCACATTTAAGAGATGACACTCCTGTATTTCTAATATTCACCAGATGTTTCAGCACAGAACAGTATGACTAGCTCTTTCTTACAGAGTTTCAGTGGCTCAAAAAAGGAGGGAAGGTACTAGATCTGTCTTTCATATAGTAGGCGTTCCATAAGTAATAGCTAGTCAAAAATTACTTTTCCTTCCTAAGATTATTTCCTTAGCTCTATCTTCTATTTCAGAAACTCATAGACTGAACAAATATACAAAGATATGGTATTGTTGAACATAGGTGCAAGAAGAAATTTTTGCTAAACCTAGCTGTCATCAGAATCACTGGGAGAGACCTCAAAAATACAGATTCAGGAACCAGCTCAAGGTCTGCTGAATCAAAATCTCTGAATGTAGGTCACCAAGACTGCTGTTATGAAGTACAGGCTTTAATAAGGCTTTAGAAAGGCACATTAGTTCTACTTCCCTACTATCAGTATTGTAAGGTCTAGAGGGATTCCAAAGTGACTGCTATAATCAGTTAGTAATGTCTGCCACTGCACAGGAACTGAGGTTTGCAGCACGTGATTCATACATTTGGGATCCCTACAGTGCTGAGAGGTGTGAAATTGAATCTTAGGTCTGATTCTTTCTTGCCTTTTTGACATTGGGAAAATGAATTAACATCTTTGGCCTTAGATTCTACATATATGAAGTGGGGATAAAACAACACCTATCTAGTAATAGGGTTATTGTGAGGATTAAATGAGAAAAAGTATGCAAAGCACCTTTCCAGTGTCTATTATAAATAACATGCTTAGTAAATAATCCTGCTATTATTATAGAAGTCTTTCTATAGATATAAAAAATGTAACAAAAAATCGAACCTCTTTCTCTGAAATGTTTGATGTCCCTTTTATATTCTATGCCTAGGACACAGTTTATGTCTGTTTTGTAGATGAGGAAACTAAGACACTGTGATATGGTAAGCGATTATTTTGAGATATGTCAAATCCCTGTCACTGTCAAGAAAAGTAAATAGAATTAGTTTGGACACCTGGCTCAGATCTCCTACCTGGAAAACTATATTATTACTATTCCATTCCTTATTTAGGTTATTTGTTTAGCCTTATTCTCTCCCAAACTCCTTGCTTTTTCCAAGGGTAGGGAGCTTAATATGTTTTTAAACAGAAAGCAAGGAGTAGTATTTAATTTTTAAAATAGTGAAAAGTTAGCTTTATCTTATAGGAAGGTGCCTTTCCCCATTTTGTTTTCTAACCTTCAGGAACCAAGAAATAAAAGAGTACATTAAATCAGCTAAATTAATTGTAAAATAAAATATGCAGTTCTATCTCTCCTATTATAGTACAACAATTGGTATTTTTTTAGGTAGTAAGATGGATATTTTGCTTGTTTGTTGTGTTTCCTATAGACTTCATGTTACTGTTGCTGGGATGACATAGGATAATTGATGTGCATTGCTAAAATATTCTTCTATGTTTAAAAATAAATAATTCTTAAATGCTTCTTGTTGCTCAGGTAAGGAAAGTGCCGCCACTATCATGTCATTCATGCTGCAGAATCTGTCTTCCCAAAAGTGTTTATACTCATAAACCAGGGCCTCAAAATGCTGTTTCCTTTGGATTGAATAAGTTGAATCCATTAATAAAAATCCACTTAAGAAGCATAAGTAAACATCAAAAAATAAAGGCTTCTCCAAAATGAAAATTTGAATTAAAAGAAAATCATGGATCAATAATGGATAGAAAAAGAGAAATCTTCTGTATAACCACATTTAGCTCAGATTTCCTGCAAGACATGTGTTGATGATGGGATGGTATGACAGACTTGAAGGTAGCCTTTTAGATGCAGCCCACTATATTAGCTTGCTAGGGCTGCTGTAATAGTGTACCACAAACTGGGTGGCTTAGAACAACAGAAGTTCATGGTCTCAAGTTCTAGAGGCCAGAGGTCTGAAGTCAAATTGTCCATAGAGCTGTGATCCCTATGAAGGTGCCAGGGAAAGACCTATGTGTTCTAGGCCTCCCCTTGTTCTCGCAGTTCCTTGGCTTGTGGCAGCATATCTCCAAGCTTCACATGGCTTTCTCCCTGCATCTGCATCTGTGTCCAAATTGCCCCTTTTTATAAAGACATCAGTCAATTACATTAGGGGCCCACCCTAATCCAATATGACCTAATCTCAGCTCATTACATCTGTAATAACCCTATTTCCAAATAAGGTCATATACTGAGGTATGGGGGTTAGAATATCACCACAGGAATCTTGGCAGGGCCACAGTTCAACCCATAACAACCAGACTCCCATTTTACAGATGAGGTGAGATAACTAAGGCCTCAGTGGTCTTAAAGCAAGCCCCTGAAGTTCCAGGTTTGTTATTAAGATCTAAGACTGGAATGGAGCTCTCCTTCCCTCTTTCCTTAAGTTAACCTGTGTAACTGCTCACAGATCAAAGAAAAATACTTATATTTAGTATACATATATTTCACAAAAGAGCAAAAGAGACTAATGTGTAGGCTTCAAGGAGTGAAACAGGTTTCCCCTTATTTGTGCCATCATCATCTTCCTCCTAGGTCACTATAACCGCCTTCCAACATAGTTCCCTGTCTCTAATCTTCACACACTCTACTTGACTCTCTGCAGTTTTGCTCCTGAATGTGTAGTCCATGGATCTCCAGCATCAGTCTTAGCTGGGAACTTGTTAGAAACAGAACCTCAGCTCCCTTCCTGATATATTAAGAATCTTACTTTAAACCTGAATTTTCAGGTGACTCCTCCACACATTCCAGTTTGAGAAGCCCCATTCTCCAGTATGGCCAGGGTGATCTTTCTAAAATAAAAATTTAATGACGTGCTGCCACCACCAGACCCACATTTGCCTGCCCCACCTGGGGGCTCCTGTAACACCCGTAAGGAATAGTACATGCTTACAACTTCCTATGCATTTCTGTCTCCCCAATTTACTGTAAATTATATATGCACAACTATATCCCCAGCACAGAGGATAAAATATTGTACATGGTAAAAGCCTATTAAATAAATTAGAGTGACATGGCTGCCAAGAAAAATAAAAATCTAGAAAGATAATACTTAGTTGCTTTAAATAAATCCAAATCTAAAGGCCCATGCTGTTAAAATAACATCCAGATGTTACTATGCAATCCTGATGAGTAACATGCCACGTGACAGGAGACAAATATTCTCATTTTCAAAAAGGAGATAGGAGCTAGTAATAATATCACAGAGTCAGAGGCTTGTGGACAATCCCTGCCAAAACTGTAGGCCAAAGAATTAAATATATTAGTTGTGAAAATAAAACACCAAGAGTAAGTATGCATTGACTAAAAATAGATTATGCCAAACTGTTCCATTCTCATCATTGACAAGATTACTGCAGCCCAAATGAAGAGAATGATAAAGACAGTATGTGTTGATTTTGGTGAGTCATTGGGCACAACTTTTTCACAAAGGCATGAAACAAGGCAGAGAACTCTAGACTGGATGGTGTTGAGATAGGTGATACACCAACAAAGTGGTGATGGAACAATTGATATAATCACAACTTGCTGGAGGTGGGGAGGATTTGTGTGTGTGACCCTGCTCTTATTCAACAGTTTTTAATACACAGTCAAAGGAAGATAGACAAATTGTTTTTGTAAACCCATAGTTAGCAGAAAGCTGACAAGCCTTGGCAGGGAAATAAGCTAAAACCAACAAGATTAAATAAACAGAAATATATGCAAAGGCTATCTTTGGAGAAGTGTACATGGAAATGGTTATATGGAATAAATGTTTGGGTATTGCCTGTGTTTGAGCTTAGCATGAGTCAAGGGTATTCAGACAGAGAGATGTGGAGGCTCACTCTACACAGAACTCAGTGGAGTACTGCACACTTCATTCTGGATGCCACATTTTAGGAGGCGCCCTGGCATGCTAAAGGTGGGGGCAGTAGAGGGCATTATGAAATATCCATTGACCAGAACAGAGGCCTCAGAAATAACACCACACATCTACAACCATCCAATCTTCAACAAACCTGACAAAAACAAGCAATGAGGAAAAGATTTCCTATTTAATAGATGGTGCTGGGAAAACTGGCTAGCCATGTGCTGAAAACAGAAACTGGGCCCCTTCCTTATACCTTATACAAAAATTAACTCAAGATGGATTAAAGACTTAAATGTAAAACATAAAACCAAAAAAACCCTGGAAGAAAACCTAGGCAATACCCTTCAGAACAGAGGCATAGGCAAAGACTTCATGACTAAACTACCAAAAGCAATTACAACAAAAGCCAAAATTGACAAATGGGATATAATTAAATTAAAGAACTTCTGCACAGCAAACGAAACTATCATCAGAGTGAACAGGCAACCTACAGAAAGGGAGAAAATTTTTGCGATCTATCCATCTGACAAAGGGCTAATGTCCAGAGTCTACAAGGGACTTAAATAAATTTACCAAAAAAAAAAAAAAAAAAAAAACCCCATCAAAAAGTGGGCAAAAGATATGAACAGACACTTCTCAAAAGAAGACATTTATGTGGCCAACAAACATATGAAAAAAAGCTCACCATCTCTGGTCATTAGAGGAATGCAAATCAAAACCGTAATGAGATACTATATCACACCAGTTAGAATGGCAATCATTGAAATGTCAGGAATGAGATACTATATCACACCAGTTAGAATGGCAATCATTGAAATGTCAGGAAACAACAGATGCTGGTGAAGATGTAGAGAAATAGGAACGCTTTTACACTGTTGGTGGGAGTGTAAATTAGTTCAACCATTGTGGAAGACAGTGTGGTGATTCCTCAAGGATTTAGAACCAGAAATACCATTTGACCCAGCAATCCCATTCCAAAGGATTATAAATCATTCTACTATAAAGACACATGCACACGTATGTTTATTGCAGCACTGTTCACAATAGCAAGACTTGGAACCAACTCAAATGCCAATTAATAGTAGACTGGATAAAGAAAATGTGGCACATATACACCATGAAATATTATGCAGTCATTAAAAGGGATGAGTTCATGTCCTTTGCAGGGACATGGATGAAGCTGGAAACCATCATTCTCAGCAAACTAACACAGGAAGAGAAAACCAAACACCACATGTTCTCACTTATAAGTGGGAGGTGAACAATGAAAACACATGGACACAGGGAGAGGAACATCACACACCAGGGCTTGTCAGTGGGGGGTTGGGGGAAGGGGAGGGTTAACATTAGAAGAAATACCTAATGTAGGTGACAGGTTGATGGGTGCAGCAAACCACCATGGCATGTGTATACCTATATAACAAACCTGCACATTCTGCACATGTATCCCAGAACTTAAATTTAAAAAAAAAAAGAACATTTGTGATTCATGGGAGGATGTCAAAATAGCAACATTAACAAGAGTTTGGAATAAGTTGATTCCAACCCTCATGGATGACTTTGAGGGTTCCAAGACTTCAGTGGAGGAATCACTGCAGGTGTGGTGAAAATAATAAGAGAACTAGAATTAGAAGTGAAGCCTGAAGATGTGACTGAATTTCTGCAATCTCATGATAAAACTCAAATAGATGAGGAGTTGCTTCTTATAGATGAGCAAAGAAAGTGGTTTTTTGAGATAGAATCAATTCTCCTGGTGAAGATGCTGTGAACATTGTTGAATTGACAACAAAGGATTTAGAATATCATATAAACTTAGTTGATAAAGCTGTGGCAGTAATTGAGAGGATTGATTCCAATTGTGAAAGAAGTTTCCCTGTGGGTAAAATACTATCAAACAGCATCATATGTTACAGAGAAATCTTTTGTAAAATGATGAGTCAATAGATGCAGCAAACTTTATTGCTGTCTTAAGAAATTGCACAACCACTGCAACCTACAGCAACTACCAACCTCATTAGTCAGCAGGTATCATCGAGGCAAGCCCCTCCACTATCAAAAAGATGAGGACTTGCTAAAGGCTCACAGATGATTATTAGCATATTTTAACAACAAAGTATTTTTAATTAAGGTATGTGCATTGTTTTTTAGACTATTGTATTGCACACATTAGAGACTACAGTATAGTGTAAATATAACTTTTATGTGCACCATGAAACCAAAAAAAATATGTGAATCACTTTATTGTGATATTTGCTTTATTGCAGCTCTCTGGAACTAAACCACAAATCACTGAGGTATACCTGTAATTTGCATTGATATTTATACCCAAGATATGCAAAGTTCTGGTATTTTCCCATGTGACTCTCCTAAAGCCCATATTCTGTCATTTTTGAATCCTCCAAAACCATTTATATTAATAAATTCTTTGTGACTTGTCTTAAACTCCTTTAAGTGTTAAAGTTAATGGTTTTAGAAATTAATGTATATATGGAATTCCATCAACTTCTTTTTCACAAATATTAACTGAGCACCTACTGAGTGCCAAGCCATGGAGACACAGAAGTGTACCTGAAGTTCTAGTGATGGGAAACACATAATAGACAGATAAACAATGATTGTTCATGCAGGGATAGTGCAATAAGGAAAAATAAAGGAACATAAGGGTCTATCAGCTCTTAAAGGGTCCCAGAAGCTGTCTCTGAGCAGGAGACATTTGAACTGAGACAGTGCAGAGATAAGCAGCTAGAATTATGCAATGAGAATTATCCCAGGTTAGCTACCAGTGAGCTAAGACTAGCCCAGCCTTCCTCCGTGTGCGTATGGCTCTACCAGATTTAAACTCTCCATGAAGCTAATAGTATCTTCTTCCCTCCCCTGCTCAAGAAAAAGAGGCTGCAACTATTCACAGGTCTCAAGTTTGCCCAATATTGGGCATCTGACATTCTCATTTACTGTTACAAACCGATGGCACTTAAGTTGACTGCCTGGAGCCCAGGTAATTTTTTTTTCTTTTTGTATAAGGTTGCCTCATGCTTGCCTCATTGTATTAGTCAGGGTTCTCTAGGGGGCAGAACAAATAAGATATATATAAATAATATATATTTTATATATTATTAAATATATATATTAAATATATATATTTAATATATATTTAATATTTATATGTATTTTATAATAAATATTTATTTATTTATATATTATATATTTATTATATATTTTATATTATATATTATATAATATAAAATATTATATATTTAGAATATATATTTATTTAGAACAAATATATATTTATATATAATAAATATATAAATATATAATTATATATTTAATATATATTTATATATATTAAATATAATTATATATTTAATATATATTTATATATTAAATATAATTATATATTTATATATTTAATATTCTATTTAAATATATTTAAATATATTTATATATATTGAAATAATATATTTATATATAAATATATATTTATATATAATTATATATTTAATATATAAAATATATCATATATATTTATATATATGATATATTTTATATATAGGACATATATATATTATATATGATATATATCCTATTAGTTTTATATATATAAAATATATATAATGATTATTAGCATATTTTAGCAATAAAGTATTTTTAATTAAGGTATGTGCATTCTTTTAGACAATGCTATTGCACACATAATAGACTACAGTATAGTGTAAACATAACTTTTATGTGCACCATGAAACCAAAAAAAGTATGTGAATCACTTTGTTGTGATATTGTGTGTGTATATATATATTATATATTACATATATTACATATATAGTATATATAATATATAATTTATATATTATATATAAAATATATATATAATATATAATTTATATATGATATATAAAATATATATATCATATATAAAGGGGAGTTTATTAAGTATTAACTCACACAATCACAAAGTTCCACAATAGGCCATCACAAGGTGAAGAACAAGGAGAGCCAGTCTGAGTCCCAAAACTGAACAACTTGGAGTTCAATGTTGGAGGTCAGGAAGCATCCAGCACAGGAGAAAGATGTAGGCTGGGAGGCTAGGCCAGTCTAGCCTTTTCACATTTTTCTGCCTGCTCTATATTCTATCTGCACTGGCAGCTGATTAGATGGTGCCACCCAGATTGAGGGTGGGTCTGCCTTTCCCAGCCCACTGACTCAAATGTTAACCTCCTTTGGCAACACCCTCACAGACACACCCAGGATCAATAATTTGCATCCGTCAATCCTATCGAGTTGACACTCAGTACTGGCCATCACACTCATAAAAATCAGAACACCATCCCTCACCAGGAGCACAGTGCTCAGGATCAGGGAACCCATATACCTGCTGCTTTTCTGCCACTGAGGTCCAGCTTGCACCAAGTGATACCACAGGTACTCGCCTCCATCCTAGTGACTCCACAGACCTACAGAGAAAGTAAATCATGTAAATATCTGATGAAAGAGCATTCTAAGGAGACAGAATAGTCAGAACAAAGCCTCTTGGTATGCTTAAGAAAGAGCAGGAAAGCCATTTTTTGTGGAGCACGGTGGGGAATGGGGAGAGGAGCAGGAAATAAGGTCAGAGAAGCCAGTAGGGCCATAGTAGAAACTTTGGATTTTGTTCCATGTAGAATGGGAAACCATTGGAAAATTGAGAGCAGTGCTGCTCACATTGTATTTATGTTTTCTAAAGGCTGCTTCTGTCTGTTAAGTGGTGAGTAACTTGGGAGTGACACAAATAAAAAGAGAGAAAACATTTGGAGAGTTATTATGATAATCCAGGCAGGAGATGGAAGCACTGAACAATTATAGTCCATACATAAAGTATGGATAAATTTTGTGATTGAAAAATTCAAGTATCCCATTTATTATTTTTTAGAAACAACTGATCAATAAGCCTTATCTTTGTTTACTACTTTTCTCACTATACAATCTACACAATAGCTGAATATCTATGAACTCAATCTCTCATTAAAACTGAACAATAACATCACAGAAGATACTTATCTTCATTTTTACAAGTTCAAAATAATAAAGTAGTATGCTAAAATCATACTTCTATTAAGCCCTTTCCACTGCATTAAACTGCTTCTGTATTAATATCCTGGAATAATTTTTGTTTGTTTTTGTTTGTTTTTGTGTTTGTTTTAGGCACTGTGAGAAGTATAAAGAAGCATAATATACTGTTGTTCTGGTCATAAGTCTGCAAATAAGAATACAGGGCATTATGAAAGCAAATATTAAATAGATGTTTTAGAAAACTTATAAGTGTCCGTTGATCCCAAATATTGAGACTATGAGGTAACAGTTATTTTTGCCATTTGAATTCTATATAGTTTAAAAAATATAATACAAAGTCAAAGTCAAAAACAAAATACTGTTTACAACATATGTGACAGAAAAATAATTAACTCCTAAATGCATAAAGGCTTTTCCAAATCAATGGGAAAAAGATGAACAGCCTCATTTCAATAATTGGCAATAGACCTAGACAGGAAATAGAAGAAATAAAAAGGAACAACAGATATGTGGGGGTATATTCAACCTGCAGGATAATAAAAGAAATGTAAACAGTAATGAGACATTATTTTTTACAAATCAAATTAGGAATGTTTTATAATGGAGATACCCAGTGCTGGCAGGTGTTTAGAGAAAATACTCATATGATACTGTGTTTTTTAAAGTATACTTATTGAAAGCCTTAAAAGTATATGTACTTTGGCATAAGATCTGTATCTATGAATCAGTTCTGTGGAAATGATTATGGATGGGTATAATGATTTGGTTTCGAAGATTTACACAAAAATGTGTGTTGTGTCTGGGTCCCAATAGGAAACAGATTATACACTCAAACAAGGATGGCTTTAGTTAAAAAGGACTAATTACAAAGATGTATGCTGAGATTAAGAGAACTGCAAGTTATGGTGCAGGAATCATGGGCTAGCAGCTGCAAGGTTGGTAGGAGCACTAGGTCTGAAGAGAGGAGAGGAGGGGAATGTTACCGAAACTAAATAAAGGAAGCATTCTGCCTCTCGGGCCATCTTGAGAAAAGCAGTGACCTTTGGTCAAGAGACACAGGTAGCCTGAGTCAACCTTGCAGGGAGGGAACCTCCTCCTGCCAGGGCTACCCATTGGCCCAAACCACCTAGAATCATAAGACATAGGCACTGCTTTTCTTAGAGACAGGATCTCTGTCCATCACCCAGGCTGGAGTACAATGGAGGGATTGTAGCTCATTGCAGCCTGGAACTCCTGGGCTCAAGCAATCCTCCTGCCTCAGCTTCCCAAGTAGCTGGAACTACAGGTGTGCACCACAAAGCCCAGCTATTTTTTTTTTTTTTTTTTTTTTTTTTGGTAGAGATGGGGTTTGGCCATGTTGTCCAGGCTGGTCTGGAGCTCCTGGCTTCAAGTGATCTTCTTACCTAGGCCTCCCAAAGTATGAGATTATACGTGTGAGCCACTATGCCTGGCCTCATGGGCACCATTGATAGAGTAAGTCCACAGAGGTCAATTTCCTGGGGTTGAGAAGGATGGTGAGGATATAGGTGCAAAAGAAACATCTCCAGCAGAGCAGCAACATTGAAATTAATGAAAATTTGGAAATCAAATTAATGTTCAACAATATAGGAAAAATTAAATAAGCTATCTTATATCTATATAATGAAATACCATTAGACATTTAAAATGTTGGTGTAGAGATAGAAGTATTGGCCTGTAAAGGTATCTGTGTTATTTTGTCAATTGGAAATTTTTTTAAGAGATTAGAAAGGTTGATTACAATCAATCTTTGTTTTAGAAACAAAATAAAACTTCTCATGTGTGTATATGGAAGCTTTGTATAAAGAGATTAAATGATATTTGGCCACCTTTAGTTTCGCCAGCTAAGATTTTGAGATAACAAATTTATATTGATAGAGTATTTTTAAATCCATCATCTTTTTATATATTCCTGATTTAGTTCAACCTGATTAAACAAAATAACATAGCAATAATGATTGCTCCTCGTTCCCATAGACCATGTGGATGCATCCAGACGTGATGCAGAGACAGAACTGTTTATGCTGCATCCTCTCAGAGTATGGATAGAAGACCTGGCTCAGAAACTGTGCCCTACAGCACAGAGATCATTGGTGAAGAGGCCAGGCAGTTGCACAGTCATTTTGCTTAGACTTGCAAAAGCGAAACAGGAGAGAATGCAAGTGCAAAAGACATTACATTTCAAGCCATTAAAGATTGGTTCCCAGATTTACATTTTAGCCAATAAACATTGGCTCCAGACTGGTAAAGCTGCACTGTCTGTAAAGCTCTTGGGTGTAATCCACCTGAGGACATCGTGATGCAACAATGTTTGGGTTGTTTTTTTTTAATCACAATTAAGGAATGTGATTGCTTTATCAGAATAGATTTTTAATACTAATTAATCTTTGTTTTTTAAAGGGGGGGTGATTTCTAAAATTTGTATTTACTGTGATTGGTAAATAACAAGGTGGCCAGATAGATTGCATTAATTATCTCTCTTTTTATCTATTTAAATAGATTTTCTTGAGTTCCTATCTACTACAAAACCTTTACTTTTTGAACTTTAGTTTTGTCTGTCAATAAAGGAAGTTTTGGGATTCCAGAGAAAGAAGCATCCCTTTGTACCTGAGTGATGAGGAGTGTGTGTATAAAGGAGCTAGCACTTTAAGTTATGATTAACATAAAATTACTATTTGTCGAGGTCTGGTGGAGGAACACCAGGCTTGGTGCTCAATATTTTATACATTTTATCTTGATAAGGATTATTTTTTCTCATCTCACAGCTGAGAACCTGAAAATCAGATATTCCCAAAGTCACACAACATGAAAGAATTTATGTGTGGTGGCTGACACACATAAGCATTTAGATAGAACATATTAGCTAAAATAATTACATTGATAAAGAAATGATTCAAGTATAGGTTCAGGAGTTGAATGAACATATTTTTTTGATCTTTTCGAAGACTAAATTTCTATGATAATAGTACATGGTATGGTTCCATGACATAAAAAAAAAAAAAGAAAAAGAAACAAAAAACCTTCATACTTTGACACAATAGCATTAGCTACATTAGCACAGGCTTCACATTTCAGCTTCCCTGTGGAGTTTGGTGAGCTTTTTCAGCTGTACTCCCCTCCCATTTCCGATTTTATTTTTTATTGTCTTTTTAAAAAGAGAAAAGTCTGGTTGTCTTGATTATCTCTTATTACTTACAAATAAGAACATGCTTTCATTTACTGAAATTAGATCCCCATTCACTGTGTTGGCACACTCTAGGCTGTCTTCTCCAGAGGGTTTAGGGCCTGTTAGATGGCGCACAGTTGGAAATTGGTGGCATTGAGTCGCTGCCAAGGCTGGCAGACCTTTAAGATGGCATCTGGTGACCTTTTGCTGAGCCCCCTGGGTCCTTCATTTGAGATTTTATGTTCTCGGCAGGGGTGTAATCCAAATCAAATGTGAGATCTGGTGAGTTGGAGTTACATGGGAGGTGGGGCCAGCGGGGGATCCCTACCTTGCTTTGGGCAGAGGATGCTACTAGACGCCTTTGCAATGTTTCTTTCTAACCCTGAGACTCTGTGCTCTAATGGAGGGTGACTCTAATGGGCTGGTTTGCAGAAAGAGCCCGGTGAGAGAGGGAACGACTGGACAGTTTTCTCCTCATTTATTTATCATCCAGGAACACAGTAATCCTCTCTAATTGCTCTCATTCCTGGATGACACTAAACTCTTCACGGCACCCCCAGAGCAGCAGCTGAGGTCAGAAGTACATATGCGGAAGCTAGCTGTGTCTTGCTTCCAAGATAGTATTGATGGCGTTTTTCCCCCCTTCTTTTGAAATGGCAAATGTCTATTTTCAGTAATGTAGGTAGATGGTACACAAGCCTAGGAGGAAGAACTGTGAGTTTGTGAACAACATAACAACCAATGCGTGTTGACAAATTGTTTGTGCTAACCACAGACACATGCCGTTTCTCAGCTAGAGAGTCATTTTCTTGATAATTTTCAAAGCGCTATGTATTTTTTTTTAAATACAGCTTTTACTTGAAACAGATTTAACAGGTTATTTTTGGTTTTACATCTACAGGGACTGTTTTAAAAGACAGGCAGATACATTTTACATTTCTCAAGCAATTCTGTCCTGACACTGCCCACAAAAGGATTTCAAAGGTGATTAAAGCAAAGATAATCCATTGTCCCTGCCTTTATCCAAAAGAGTTAACTCCCTGCCAAAAGACCATTTTTGCCTTCAAATCCTGCACTTCCTACTTTGGTTACCTGCTCCTGTACTTTCAGCTCCTCACATAATCCCAAACTTCCATGGACCTTCCTCTGACTCTACTGCCAATAGGATCTGAGTCTGTGCAATGAAGTAGACAGGTTTAAATCCTGGCTCCACTACTGAAAAGCCATGTAAATAGAGTTAGGCCAATCACATCAACTTTCCTGGCCTTAATTTCTTCATTCTAAAATAATAATAATAGGAACACCTGACTATACGGTTGATTTAAGAAATATATAATCTAATGTATATAAATAAGTATAGCGTGGCTGTCATGTTAAATGTTCAGCAATAATATTATTTATGTAAACATTGCAAACCATAGTTATTTCTGTTTCTTATGAACTTCAAATAGTACTGAATCTTTGTAATGTTCATTTGGCATTTATTTATATGCTAACTGGGTATGTTTCATATAACTTATGTAAATTTTATACCAATTTAATACTTTATAGAGATACAACATACCTATATTTACATAAAAGTATACATCATAAGTCTACCACTCACTGAATTCTCACAAATGTGATATACTCATGCAATAAACACCCAGATCAAGAAACAAAATAGTACCAGCATCCCAGAAACCCCGTTATGCTTTCTTCTGGGCTATACATCTCCCCTCAAAGGTAATCACTACCCTGATTTCTACAATATAGTTTTACCAGTTGTTAGCTTTATTGTTTGCATTATTTTTGGACAACCAAATGAAATTTAAATTTCTTGAAGGCAGGGAACATATATGTCTTCTCTCATTGCAAAAAACTATTTGTCAAATATACACTCTCCTTCTCATACTCCTGTCTTGCACTATTATCATTTGAGTGTGTTTGTCTGGCAAAGCCCCAGTTCTGTGTGAGCCTCACTGTCTGCCTTCTCTGCATGTCTGTGAGGACTACTGGGTGAAGTGCCATTCACGCTCTCAAATTGATTTCACAAAAATCAATGGTCTTTAACCTTAACTGGCCACTCAGTTGGCCCAGCCAACCTGTCTTATTTTTCTGATCACCCCTCTTCCACTCTTCATAGCAGCTGTCCCAAACCATCTGCCCTTAATTCAGACTTTCTACCCCATCATTTCCCCGATGAGACCCAAGGTAACCATACCTTGTTATCAGAGAAAATTCAAGCTGTCAGCAATTTGATCAACATCTTGTCATCAAATGTACTAATTTGCCTACATCCTTACCTATTTTTCTACAACCTTAACCCTGAGGTTTCCCTTCTGTGTCTGTCCTCTCAATGACTTCCATTTCCCTTTGTCAAGGTTCATCTTATATCATCAATGATATCCTCTCCTTTTCTGCAGTTCAACTGGCTATTCACCATTGGCATTTCAACAGGCTAAACTCCCTAACATCTTTGAACATGATAACAAAGTCTTATCTGAAACCCTATATTCCACATCAATCATCACCCCATCTTTCTCCCTTCTTGCAGCCAAACTTCTTCAGACAGGTCTTTATACTTCCTGTCTACATTGCTTGTCCCCCTTCTTTCTTCAATCCACTTCAGTCTAGCATCCACCTACATTACCTCATTGCAACTCCCTATACCAAGATTCCTGACTACATCTTCATGGCTAACCCAATGGACCCTTTTCAGAAATTTCCTTTCTCAGCAGCATTTAATACTGTTGTCCTCTCTCTGGAGACATCCTCTTGCTTTTCTACGAAGTCTTCCTTCTAGTCTCCTGATTTCCCTTCTACTTTACCGGGAATTTTTTTAAAGCTCTTTTTAAGGCTCATCTTTCCTCTTTAAATGTAGTATCCATCAGAGTTTTTTCCTAGGCCTTCTTTTCTTCTTGTGCTACCACCACCAAAAGGATGACTATAAAAATATACATATATTCAAATTATTGCCCATGGTTTGGTCTTATTCAAATCAACAAGTATTGGAGTTCAACAAGTATTATTTAAATCAATGGATGTTATATTTAGATAACATGATATGCTTGTAAATGGATCTTTTCCACTGTATCTATAAATAACAGCTAGAATTTATAGAATGCCATGTAGGTACAAGGCATAGCTACTTTGAAACTTATTTTTTCAGATTATAGAATAGTATTTTCCTATGTAGAAAATTTAGAACAATAATACTATGAAGTATAATCTGACATGATATAGTGTAATAGAGTGTAATGTAATACGCTAAGTTCTACCACCCGGAGATACTGTTAACTTCTGGCACATTGTTTGCTACATGGAATAGGCACACACGTTATATACATGCCTTTTACACAGTTGAGACAATCATATATTCACTTACTTTTATAAGTGGACATTTACTTGTATCATTAAATTATTCATAACTATTTTAATGACTTCATACCCTTTATCACAAGCAAAGAATGAAATAGTCAATGCATCCACCTATTACTAAATATTTAGAGTTTTCTTTTTTTTTGCATTTTTCTCCTTAATACACATGCTTTAACATTGTTCTACAATGTCAGAGTTTCAGCTTCTTGACTCCTAATGTTTTGTCAGGTCACCCACTGTAAGAATTATATCTGTCTTCTATGTTTAAAATGGTACCTTGTTACTGTTTTGATTTGTAAGACTTTCCATTATTTTTTTATTTTTTATTTTTTTAGAGACGTGTCACCCAGGCTGGAGTCTAGTGGTGCGATCTCGGCTCACTGCAACCTCCACCTCCTGGGTTCAAGCGATTCTTCTGCCTCAGCCTCCCAAGTAGCTGGGACTACAGGTGTGTGCCACCACGCCCGGCTGATTTTTGTATTTTTAGTAGAGACGGGGTTTCACCGTATTGGCCAGGTTGGTCTCAAACTCCTGACCTCATGATCCACCCGCCTCAGCCTCCCAAAGTGCTGGGATTACAGGTGTGAGGACTTTTAGTTGTTAAACAAAGTTGAACCTTTAATTTTGTTTGTTATTTGAATTTCCTTGAATCATCCTACAGTTTTTTTTTTCTTTTCTCTAATATTAAACTTAAATGAAAGGCTCCCAGGAGAAAAGGAAGTCTCAAGGGGAGAGGCATAGAGCAGAACTGGAGCTGACAAACTGTTTTGACTTTCTTTTCTAAGGCTGAAAATACCTGTTACATTTACAAGTAAGAAATGTGATAACCTTTAGGGTTCATTTTTCATACTGGCCATTGCTTACAGTAAGGGTTTGGGAGCAGATGGATAGATTATGAGTATGAGGAAGAGGGTAAGGAAAAAGATAAAGCCTGCAAAGATAATATTAATAACATGTTCTCTCTATGGTCAATGATGCATAGACAAATAACCAATGTTTATGCTTCCACATTCCACTGTGCTGAGTTTCTACTGTTCACAACACCAAACACACCTTCTGTTCTTATGCCAGCCTAGTGTATGAGGAGTCTGCCTGTAAGTAACAAAGTATACAATTCTTTCTTCACAGCAAGGAGAATGACAGCTTGAAAACAGAAACCCAAACAATGCACCAGAAACCAATGACTGATAATGCAAGGCAGATGAGCAGAGACACCCCAGTTCCCATTAACTTCACTGATCAGCAAACCACTGATAATCCAGATGATGTGAAAGAGAAAAAGCACCCAGAGAACAACCAGAAATCAGAAAACAACCAGAAACTACTAACAGGGGCAAACAGTAGCAGATTCCTGGATGGCAATGTGAGTGACAAAAAATACCCACGTTTATCTTGATAATTTATTAGGAAAATATAGATAAAAACATAGGTTCACACAAAAACACACTGTACAAATGTTCATTAATATATTTTGCATGAGATAGAAGTAAGAATCAATTTTTTTCAATCTGAAAATGAACTTCAGGGTCATTTTGTATATTGTATCTTTGCTGACCACCAACGGAGTTGGTCATGATCACCAAAGAAGTTGGTCATGACAACCAATGGAGTTGGTCAACCTATTCTGCCTGTGGTTAGCTCAGTGATACTCAGTGTTGTTACTATACATGCAAAGTTGGGGCGTGTTGGAGGGTAAGAGTCTGTCTGCTTTTACATTACAAAAAGAAATAATTTATTTTAAAAATACAATGCAACCATGTCTAATTACAAAAAAAAATTATAGGCCCCAAACTCTGTTGATAGAAATATATACCACTGCACTCTGTTAACAATCAACCAAACAATTCATAACAAACTAACTTGATGATGATGAATCTATATGATTAGTAGTTTGTAATTAAAAAGCAAGTAAAGCAGCAATTGAAAACTGGATCTAAATCAAGACAAAACTAATGATTCATTGATAACAAAGTACCATTTCCAAAATTGCTGAAATTGCAATTAAACAGATACATAGAGTAGGAGTTTTGCAATGCTGCCAAGCATTAAGTGACAGCCAGATATTTTAGTAAAATACTGAATTAGATTCTGCAGTACACTCTAACATAACTATTTTTAGTTTGTAATTTTAATAGCCCTTTCTAAATCACTGAGCTGCTAGCTAGTCTTTAGTCATATGAGAAAATGAATGCCTATGGATTTGTGATCTTCTGCTCATAAGAACCATGCAAAGGATCAAATTTTGGAGTGGTTAACAGCCTATCTATGGACCTCAGGCTATACTCTGCAAGGTCTAGTTGAACACTGAAGACCAGAAATGAAAGTGACTTTCCCAAAACATGAGTGACACAGATTGAGCTGTCACTCAAGCCTCTTAGTCTCCAGTTTGGCTGAATCCTTGAATTTAGGCCTTGGTTACAGCAAAAGATAGTGAATCTGCAGAGGTGATATAATCCATTTGAATGATCAAATGTGAATTTTTATCTGAATGTTTTAACCTAATTTAGATTCTGGCATTAATATATTTGTTGTTTTTGCTCCCAAAGAATGGCCTTGGTAATAATATTATGGTTATAAAAGACGTTATTATTGACTGATTGCTTCGAGGTAAATTTTATTATTTACTCTTTGAAATTAACCCTGTGAGGTAGATACCATTGTTATTTCTACCACCATGGCATAGATGATAAAACTAACACTCAGAAAGGATAAAGTGACTCATAAGTGTGTAGATAAGATGTTTGTCTAGGTTTTCTTTTTTTTCTTTACTTAAATTTTTATTGAGCTTTCTAATTATAAAAATAGCATAACGATGTAGCAATTTTTGAAAAACAGGAGAATATAAATAAGAAGAAAAATATCAACTAAAGAAAACTAGTGGTTTTCTTTTCCTTTCTTCCTCTTTTTTCCTTCATACATAGATATAGAATAAGAATCATTATATATACTCTTTATTATCCTGCTTGATTCACTTCATATCATATCAAAAATTCTCCCCTTGGCATGAAAAAAATCATCCTACGCATCATCTTTAATGGTTCTGTGAGAGTTGTACTCAGAACTAACACTTAGATGGATAGCATTTACTATGTGCCAGGCAGTATTCTGAGCTCTTTACAGATATTAACTAATTTACTATTCCCAAGCACCCGGCGAGGTAGGAACTCCTATTATCTTTAGTTCATGTTTAAGGGAGCTGAGAAACAGAGAGGTCAAGGGCCTTGCTAAAGTCATAGAGCTGAGAAGTGGCAGACCCACAATTCAAGCCCAGGTTCTAGGTCCTTAGTCACCAAACTGTATACATTCCTTTATAGAGATATAACACAGTTCACTTAACAAACGCCTTATGGGCACTTAAGCCATTTCTAGTTTTTCTCTTATATATAGACATCTGTTTCTTGACACTCCTCCTAATACATCAAACTGCTCATTCCTGTCATGGACTCTGCATTCGCCATTACCATAGGTAGCATGTTCATTAGGTAAGCTGTTCTTAACCTCCATGATCTGGATTATTTGCTAGCTCGGCAGTACAGGGAGAAAATTTGCCCCTCCCCTCCCAGAACTCAACAGGGTTTCTAGTGGGAGGCTCAGCGGGGGCTAACACTCTGCCACCAAACAAGGAAGGCCTTGTGGGAGGTGTGGGGACCGACTAATTGGTTCTGTCTGCCGGGCGGGCGTGTGGTGCTGGCCCGCCAGATGGCAGCCACAGTTGCCTGGTACAGAGACCCTCATTACCAGCTTGACTAAGTGGTAAATGGAATCCTGCCGCAGTTACAAAAGCACACCAATCAGAACTCTTTCTAGATCCTTATCACTCACACATAGATGAAAATAAGCTTTCCTGCCTGGGACGTAACAGGCAATCTGGACCAGCTGAATTTGCTCCAAAAGAGAAGTTGCTGATAAAGACTGAGCTAACATGCTTGAGGACGAGCAAGTGTGAAACTCTTTTCCAAATCACAGAGTAAGTTCGAAGAGTCTCATTGGTAGGAAGTAAGTAAAACTGAAGATGTTAAGAGAATCCCTCATTTTGTGTATATAAGAACAGTGAGATATCTTACAAATAAACAAGTACAAACCTTCCTTTCACAAAGGAAGAATGAGAGGACCAGAGAGCTTAAATGCTCCAAGGTCTCACAGGAAAAGAGCTTGGCTCTTCTGACTCCTAGTCCTAGGATCTTTTTGCCTCCAAATTCTGCTTTATATGCGTATGTTTTTGAAAAAATACATATTGTTTATATCATTTCTCAGAATTATCAGCTCTGCCTTCTCTCAGAAGAATAAAAAAGAATGTGTGACTAGCAACAAACTCAGTAGCACAGTTTCAAAAATAAAATTGTAGTGTGCTTTTTGCATCTGGCAGCATGAAAATGAAAGTGTTAGTGCTTTAATTTTAATAATTATCACAGTTTATTGGGAAGGTTTCTTTTCAAAGCCCTTTTGTGTGTTTTCCCTTGTTCCTTCTCCACAATAGCCTTGCAAGGTAGGTAAAGGCACATGATGTTATCTTTATTTTATAGATGAATAGACAGATGTCAAGGACATTTCTACTTGGCTGTGCATTTGCAGCTCAGATTTAGAAAGTTCAAGGCAGAGCCTTTGATCTTGTACTTCTGGTGGTCTGTGTCTCACAGAATGGTCTCACCCCTCTCTCAATTGCACCAGCAAGAAACCTGAACATACTTTCCTCCTGTCTCTCCCTAACCCTGACATCCAACCAATCACAGATTCCGTTAAATTCTACCTCCTTCGTGTCTCTCAAAACCTTATCTTTCTTTTATTTTCCTTGTCATCACCTTAATCAGACCACCATTTTGTCTCACCAGGGAGATTTTAATCATCTTCAAACTGACTTTTCTGACTTTAAAGCTCTCTCTCTGTATTGGTCAGCTATTGTGATAAATACTGCTGCGTAACAAATCACCCCACAACTCAGTGGTTTATAACAATAATCATTTATGCTCACATCTACAGATATGAGCTTAGGCAGCTTTTATTTATCTCAATTGGGTTGGGCTGGGCTTGGCTCTAAAGTGGATTTGATTCAGGTCTGCTCTGTGTTTTCTTGTTCTGAATCCAGCGAGCTCTTCAAGGCATGTCCTTCTCATACTGATGGAAACATTTTAAGAGAACAAACTCAATTACACAAGTGCATTTTAAGTCTTTGCTTTTTGCTTGTGTCATATCCACTAACATCCCATTAGCCAAAGCAAACCACATGGCCAAGCACAACATGAATGGGGCAGGGATATATATGCTATCTCTTTTAGGAGGAACCACTTGATCAGATATAGCCTCTGCTTAAAACACTTAAATTCCCTTGTTAAATCCCAATTCCCTGGTATAAAATTTAAACTCCTTGACTTAGCATTCTAGCTCAACTCTGTCTATTCTCTATTTCACTTTCATCCCCACATCTCACTAAACTGAAATTCTTTTCCATAAATAGAGTTCTGTTCCCTTTCACCTCAAATCCTTTGCCCATGCTATTCTTTATGGGTAAAATTCTCTTCCCTCCATCTTTATTTGATTAACTTCTAACCATATAAGTGTCCCAACTTAGATAGCAGCTCTATCAAGAAGCATTATCGTCTGATTTCCAAGACTGAGGTAAACGCCTTTCCTAATGTATTTCCAAGTGAATCTGTGCACACTTCTACAGTAGATGTTGCCATACTATTAAAATAAACTGTTTCCTTATCTGTCTCCTTCCACAAGTCTATAAGACCACTGAGAATAAGAATTGTTGCTTGTTCATTTTCATTTCCAAATGTCTTTCTCTGTATATTGGCTCAAAGCCAACATCTAATTTAATGGGAAAACACTAGAAACTTTCTCATTTCAGTTTGGAAGAAGTTAAGAGTGCCCACTGTCTCCGCTGGCTTTTAATGTTATCCTGGAGATATTTGCCAATGCAATTACATAAGAGAAAGAAAGTACAGGCATATTACTTAGAAAAGAAGAGGTAAAACTATTTTCAGAGTATAAGATTGTACATCTAAAATCTCAAGACAGTTAATGAAAAAACTACCAACAATCAAGAGAATTTGGCAAACTAGATAGTTATAAAATCAATAACACAAATCAATGGCCTTCATATATGTCAACAAAAATGAGTTAGAAGATAAAATGGAGGAAAAGGCACCATTTACTATAGCAAATAAATGTAGAAGTAAATTAACTAAATAAATAAATCAAATGCCAAGACATAAACTTAACAAGAAATGTCCAAACCTGTATGAGAACAAAATATAAAGCACTCCAGAAAGATACAAGGGTAGATTTGAACAAATGGAAAGGCATGCTGTTTTCTTGTACATAAAATGTTAACATCATCAAAACGTCAATCCTCCCTAGGGTAATTTATAAATTTGTTGGGATTCCAACAAAAAAATAGTGTTCGGTTTTTATTTTGTTTTGTTTTACAACTAGCCAAATTGATTAGCAAGTTAATTTGGAATAACAAACAAGCATGAATAGTCAAGAAAACCCTGAAAAGGAGAGCAGCACTATGAATAATGGGTAAGATACCATTACCAGATATTAAAACAAAAAGTCTCTATATTTAAAATAGTGTGGTTTTGGCACATGAATACATGAAAGACCAATGAAATTGAAAAGAAAAATTCAGAAATAAACCCACTGGCATATTGTTATTTTGTATATGATAAAGGTGACATTGAAAATTAATAAGAAACAGATGGACATTTTAATCAGTGACACATTATTGGATAGCTATAGAGAAGTTTTAAGTTGGGTCTATTCCTCATATACCATACATACGTAAGATGTACATTAGGATATATTCCAAATACATCAAAGGTTTAAGTGTAAAGAAATAAACATATACAAATAGTACAAGTAAACATGAGTGATTTCTTCTATCATCTGGGATAAGGGGAAACTTTCTTAACTGTGACTCAAAATGCAGATACAATGAGGAAAATGATACTTTTCACTGAAGGAGTGATTATTTTCACCATAAGGGCCAGACACCTGTAAGCAAAGCATATAAACACCTGACAAAGTAGGAGGAAAATCTGCAACTTGCATCACTGACAAATATATCTCTCATCTATAGAATATTCTACTTAAAATAGAGAAGAAAAAGGGTTATACTATTAGAAAAATGGGCAAAATACATGAACAGGCAGTTCACAGAAAAACAAATGTAAATGTTCCTTAAATATATCAAAAGATGTGGACTTGCTTTTAATAAGTAGAATGTAAATTAATTCTGCCCTGAGATATAATTTCTCATTAGCAAAATCCAGGAAATTGATAACATAATTTGGCAAAATCCATAATATTGATAATATACTTTGTTGGAAGGCTATGGGGAAACAGATACACTGCTACAATGATAGAAAAAAATTTAAATGGAAAAACTGCTTTGGAAGAAAAATTGACAGTAATTAGCAGAACTACATCTACATTTTTTTATAAGAAAATCTCACTTTGAGAAATCTATCCCAAAGATGTACTTGAAAAATATAATATTAAAAGATTTATGCAGAAGATATACATTCCAACATTACCTGTTACACCAAAAAATTATAAACAACCTAAATTTCCATAGACAATGAACTGTTTGAATAAACTAAGGTACATCCATACATGGAGTACTATGAAATTGTAAAAAGAAATGTAGAATTTGTGTATATATGAGTATTATTATATATTATTATGTGGAGTAATATAACAAGATACATTATTAATTGAATAAAAGTGAGGTAGAAAAATATATATAGATTATTCTACCAGGTATCTATCTATATATATATCTATTATGTACATATCCCTTATGTTTTTTAAAATGAAGGAATTAATTAAGAACATTATTAAAAAGTGGTTATGTCTTGGGGATAGATGGAACATGATGAATGGATAAAAAATAGAAACCATACTTCTCTGAATGTCTTGTTTTGTAGGTTTGGCTTTGCAACCACGCAAATGTTTTACACTACAGAATTATAAAGTAAAATTATATGTTAAGAAAATCAATTTGTAAAAATCAAAAACAAAATAAAATAAATCTGGTTTTCTTATCTTTTGGTATACAACAAATTGCCCTAAAACTTAGTCACTCAAATCAATAAACATGTATTACCTGCTACTGTTTCTCAGGGAAAGGAATCTAGGAGTGGCTTAGATGAGAGATTTTGGTTCAAAGTCTTGCAAAATTTCACCCCAGATTTCACCCAGAGATGCAGTTATCTGAAAGCTTGATCAGAACTAGAGGATCTACTTCCAAGCTCACTCATGTGGCTATTGACAGAGGCCTCCTGGCTGTGTCCACAGGTCTCAGTTTTCCTCATTTGGGCTTCTCTCTAGGGGTGTGCATGACATGGCTGGCTTCTCACAAAATGAGTGATCCGAGAGAGATTGATTGTACACAATCAAATTGGAAGCTGCAATATCTTTTATAACCTAATCTCAGAAGTGACGTACCATCACTTCCACAGTATTCCACTGGTCACATAGACCAATCTTAATTAAATGTTGAGGGGATGAAGGAGACTACATAAGGCCATGAAACCAGGAAGCAGGGATCACTGGGGCCACCTTGAAAATGAGTGACCACATGAACCTAACTATATATTAATTGGCAGTAAAATTAAACAGAATGAAACAATTGTAAATGATTTTAAAACACAGTGACTTCATTGCATATCCCTAGTGGAATATTTACTGTAAAGAAAATATTTCTTGAAAAAAATATTTAAATGTTTTTAATGACCATTATGTTGATACTGTTATTCTCTGTGTGTATATTTTATGTGATAAAGCAAGTGAGTCACTATCCTGATGGTTTTCTCTTTTTTTTTTTTGGACTTGCTATTTGGGGTATAGAAGAAATAAAATATAGGTAGAGTATTAATAAAATTACATAAAACCCCTATGGTCCTACATTTGAAATGAAAAATCAGTATGAACTCTTTTTAAAAATGTATTTCCCAGTTCTGTCCATTGGAAAAATTTAGAAACAATGACTAGGCCCGAAGCAATGAGTAGCCTTGCATCTGCATTATGTTCAGGAAAATTCCAAGAGCTGATTCCACCTTTGAGCCTGGAATATCCACTTATAACGAAAGCAATGAAGATACAAAGCCTTCCTAAGACTGGTCAAAAAAGACTCAGGATCTAACTTAAAGAGTTTCCCACAGTTGAAAGCGACATAATTTGGGCATCAATAAAAATAATAATTGCAATAGATTGAAACACATTAAATATGTTTAAATGTATATATTCATAATGATTATTTTAAAAAACAAAAACTCATTGGTTATCTCTGAAGAATGCTAGGGAACAAACTATTTATTTGAAAAAAAACAGTAAATAAAACAACCAAGCATTTATTCATTTGGCCATTTTCTATGCAAACTGTATCTGAAGTAATAGTTGATGAAGGGACGTTTCCCTTTAAAGAACTATTTCTGTTAATAAATGAAGAATGGTGGGATAAGAATTTCACCATTTTGCAAAGCCCTAATGAAAACGAAAGGAATTAAGCAATGCATATGACTGCCTGTAATTATGATCCAAAAAAAGGCAATTAGATAGCATTTGCTTCCATAGGAAAATATACCACCTACAAAAGTGTCTTCTCAAATAAAATTGATCTTGAACATGAATAAGACTTTAGATTTAACTACTATTTTACAAGAAATAAATGATACTTTTTAAAAACAGCATAGGGGTGCCAGAAAATGCAGACTGTGTAAAACTCTACAGTTCAGACAACACAGCTTCTTCAACAATTGCAAGAAAAAATAATGATGAAAGGGGCAGAGTGGGAAGACTAGACATTTTAAAAATATGTAAGCCTGGATGCAGTGGCTCATGCCTGTAGTCCCAACACTTTGAGGGGGTCAAGGTAGGAGGATTGCTTTAGGTCAGGAGTTCAAGGCCACTCTGGGTAACCTAGCAAGAACCTATCTCTACAAAAAACAAAAAGTTAGCTGGGTGTGGTGGTGTGCACCTCTAGTCCTAACTACTTGGGAGGCTGAGACAGGGGATTGCTTGAGTCTAGGAGTTCAGGCCAGGCTGTGGTGAATAATGGCTGTGCTACTCTGCACGCTAGCCTGGGTAACAGAAAAAATTAAAAAAAAAAAAAAAAGAAGAAGAAGGAAGGAAGGAGGAAGGGAGGGAGGGGAGGAAGGGAGGGAGAGAGAAAGAAAGAAAGAAAAAGAGAAAGAATGAAAGGAAAGGAAGAAAGGAAGGAAGGAGGGAGAGAGGGAGGGAGGGTAGGGGAGGGAGGGAGAGAGAGAGAGAAAGAAAGAAGGAGAGAAAGAGAAAGAAAGAAAGGAAGGGAAGGAAGGAAGGAAGGGGAGGGGGAGGAGGAGGAGGAGAAGGGGAAGGAGAAGGAAAGAAGGAAGGAAGGAAGGAAAGAAGCAAGGAGAGGAAGGAAAGAAGGAAGGAAGGAATTTTAAAAGATGTAAGGAAAAGAGGAAAGGAGGAAAAAAGAGAGAAAAGCAGGAAGGAAGGAAGGAAGGAATTTTAAAAGGTGTAAGAGATATTAACCTATTGCAATATATGGTTCATATTTTGAATATACAAACTATGAAAATAAGATTTACCAGACAACAGGGGGATTTTAAACACTGATGAGACATTTGAAGATATCGAGGAATTACTGTTAATAATAAGGAATTTTTAAGTGTTATAATGTTATTGTGTATTTAAAAAGAGTCCTCATTCTTGGGGCAGTGGTTCTCAAACTTCAGCGTGCGTCAGAATTACTGGAGGACTTATTCAAACACAGATTCCTGGGCCCCATCCCACAAATTTCTATTTAGTGGGTCTGGCGTGGGTCTCAATAATTCTCATTTCTCACAGACTCCCAGAGGAAGCTGAGGCTTCTGGCCCAAAGACTACACTTTAAGAACCACTGCTTTACAGACATATGCTGAAATAATGTGGATGAAATAACACACTGTCTGGGCTCACTTCATCTCTGGTGGAGGGTAATGTGGGGATAAATAAAATAAGATTGTCAGTTGATCACTGAAGCCTGGTGATGAGCACAGGGAGTTTCATCATGCTATTATCTCCACATGTGCCTGTTTTTGAAGTTTCCAAAATTAAAAGTTTTAAAATGTAAACAAAGTATACATTGTTGCAAATATGAGTAAAATAGTCAAATGATTAATATCAATATGTATTGTATTAATTTGTTTAAAGCACATTTAAAATCACATATTACATATAATATTAATTTGGAAATACATTTTTTTCTAAGTCTACATTTCTTAAAAAAAAAGTATACAACTTTTTACTTAATGTTTCTCATGGCTGTCCTCATTATCACTACTGCCCATTTTTGAGCCATTTAACAGCTTTCTAGAACACCCCAGTACCTTGGTCTAAATTGTTTAAGAAACAGAACTTTTCACATCTGCATTTAATGCTATCTCTGGAAATTTTCTCCCAAACCACAGCTATCCATTGCATAATGTTAAGATGATTTGTTGTGTTCACTTGTCTTGAAAGAGAGTGTGGATGACTCTACACACACTCAAAAATAGTTTTATTTATAAGCAACCTTTAAAAGACTTGTTTACATTTCCAACTCTTGCAAGTTCCAACACCCCCAGAAGAGTCAGTAAATCTGTGTTAGATTTTTGTGCTTCATTTGTACCAGTTCTTTTAGGCAAACATCACACAACTAGGATTGATTGAAGTCACTTCAGGCTATGGTGTTGGTCCCCAAGCGGTATTTTGTTATTCAAAGTAAACTAAATGAGAGAAACCTATGGTATTAGAGACTTCATAGGTGCTCTGACAAATCCCAAGGTCAGAAACCTGGGGAATCTTGATAAAATTTCTCATTTTATCTTTTTTGACACGTGGGGAACACTCTTCACTTTGGAAAAATGACAGCCCCAGGTGACTTAAATCAGCAAGGGAGAAATCTGAAGCCCAGCCTGCAGCTGGCCTGAACCCAGGCACCAAGAGCTCCTCCCCATTCTCCCATGCTGTTGCTCTAGTTTGTCAGCAGATTCAGGGCTCTTCTTGATGTGGGGGGGTGTCAGCCAGGCACAAGACAGAGTCCTGGCCCACATGGAGATCATATTATTGGAGGGAGATACACAAAATACAACAAATAAATATATCATAAGGTTTTAGAATGTATAAAATATTTAAAATACATAACACTCATTCTTCACAGCATTCCAGGGAGTACAGTGTATTTTCCTCTTTCCATAGTTGAAGCCAGAAAACTTAGTCTGTGGCTGGGCGTGGTGGCTCACGCCTGTAATCCCAGCGCTTTGGGAGGCCGAGGCGGGCAGATCACGAGGTCAGGAGTTCGAGACCATCCTGGCTAACACGGTGAAACCCCGTCTCTACTAAAAATACAAAAAAATTAGCCGGGCATGGTGGCGGGCGCCTGTAGTCCCAGCTACTCGGGAGGCTGAGGCAAGAGAATGGTGTGAATCTGGGAGGCAGAGCTTGCAGTGAGCCGAGATCACGCCACTGCACTCCAGCCTGGACAACAGAGCGAGACTCCGTCTCAAACAAACAAACAGAAAACAAACAAACAAAAAGACTCAGCCTGTGATGTCTAGGCCCAAAGAACTATGAGGACAGGAGTCACACCTGCCTTGTTCATTTGTATCTGTAGTGTCAAGGATAAAGGCACTTAATACATTTTCATGTTTAAATGAAAACAAAAGCAACTGAAAGATACCTTGACTCATGGAATGATAAAGTATTGATAACATTTCTTTAAAACACTATCATAGAAACACATAAATTCTCAGAGGCAAAAAAAAAAATTGTGTGTGGCTGAAAATGGAAATATTTTATATTGCAAATAATTTGCAAAGAAACATATTGTCCTGTGAACAATATGTCTGAAATACCTAGCCAAATATTTTAAAGAGTGAAATTGGCCAGGCCTATAATCCCAGCACTTTGGGAGGCCAAGGCGGGAGGATCAGAGGTCAAGAGATCGAGACCATCCTGGCCAACGTGGTGAAATCCCATCTCTACTAAAAATACAAAAAAAAATTTAGCTGGGCATGGTGGCATCCGCCTGTAGTTCCGGCTACTCTGGAGGCAGAAGCAGGAAAATCTCTTGAACCCAGAAGGCGGAAGTTGCAGTGAGCCGAGATCGCGCCACTGTACTCCAGCCTGGCAACAGAGTGAGACTCGGTCTCAAAAAAAAAAGAGTGAAATTGCTCTGTGGACTGAACAGTGAATCTCCCTCATCCTAGTGTAATTGGGAAAAGCAGGATTCAAATATCTGCACAATTTACTAGGGAGTGTTTTGGACAAGTCTGCTCTAGTCATTGCTCTACTAATAACATTTTTATGGCTCCCACTGCCCTCAGAATAAAGCGTAGATGCTAACAAGGCTAAAGGTAATTCATTGCCTTTCTCCTGCCTCTCTCTCTCCAGGCTTATCTTTTGCCTTTTCCAAAAGTTAAACTATGCTCTGAAAGCATCATCTGTCTCTTACATGCATGCATGCACCTTTGAGGTTTTCTATATCCAGTTCACTCTTCCTGTAATCCTCTTGTCCTCTCCTCCTCCCTCTCCACTTGTTAGCCTATCCAAATCCAAATCTGACTTATGTTGCAAGCCTAGATTTAGATGCCATTCCCTTCAGACCCGGACCACCAAGTCCAGATCAGGTGGACCATGGACAATTCTGAGAGTGGCCCTTAGAATCCCTTTTCTATTGTCATGGTTACTTGCTATGCCTCCCACCATCAGCAAACTCTGTGAGAGCAGGGGCTGAGTCTGTTTTTATCACTGTAGGGCTTATGACAGTGCCTGGCCCAAACTAGACAACCATAAATGTTTTTTAAATGAAGGAATAAAGTTATTTAACTTCTGCAAGCCTTGGCTTTCCAAATGTAAAAGGTTGCTAGTACTACCTACCTTGTATTGTTGTGTAAGGATTTAAATAATGACATGAGCAGGACACCCATGTGGTGCCTTGTACAGAGTATGAGCCAAATAAATAACTCTTGTGATTTTTATGCCTATTCAGAACTCTCTGTCATTCTTGCCCACTCTGCTCACTCTAGAGAGCGTCTTGGTTTTTCCTTAAAATGTTCATGACTATAAAACATCTGTAGGTTGCTATTCATACTGATAGGTTATTCAACATGACTGTCAATTTAGTAGTTTATAGAGAATCCTTCTGATCATGTCGCCCTTCTATTACCTGGTATTAAAAATAACGATGTGTCCAGAGGCTGAGGCAGGAGAATCACTTGAACCCGGGAGGCAGAGGTTGCAGTGAGCCGAGATCTTGCCACTGCACTCCAGCCCGGGTAAAAAAAACAAGACTCCGTCTCAAAAATAAATAAATAAATAAAATAAATAAAATAACCATGTGTCTTGATTTGTGCCAAGTTTTTGTTTTAATCAGATATGGTAAGATACCATACTTGGAGACAATTGCCTTTGAAAAAAGAGTTAATTGCTTTCATTTCCCAAGAGAAGCAGGGATTCCACACCACATCGGGCTACTTGAGGACCTCAAGAAGGAAGAAGGAGGAGCAAGGAGAGAAAAGCGCAAGCCACAGCCTTTCTCTGGGGTTTAGGTGGGAAAGGCAAGGCAGGGCAGAACAAACAGCTTAGGACTAGCTAGTTGGAATAATTCCCCCAGGCTTTGGGGCATAGTGACTATCCCTAGTTGTCTGGAGCCTAGTCTTGGATTTATTTAAGGCAGGAGAAAAAAAGGCTTGCTGTGTGAGAGTTAAATAAAGGAGGTATCTGGGGGTTTGAACTCAGGACTGGTTTGCATATGAAAGATGTATTAGCAGGCCAGTTGTTTGCCATCTCTAGGAATTAGCTAGTCCTGGGAGGGGCAGTCCCCCCAGCCAGCAAGGCCTACCTTCTTAAGATGTCAAAATACCATAAAATATGAATAATTTAAAAACACAATTAATATACCATGCTCCATGGCAAGAGAGAACAGGGTTTTATTATTGATCCTAATTCTATCATTTATGCTATTGTAACTTTTAGTGACATTACTCCTAGAGTATAATATTCTGAGCTTTTTAATCTCTTGTCAAAGTTAACAATTACCTTTGCTGCCCTTCCTGAACCTGCTAATTAAAACAGCCTAATGATACCCTTATCTCTAATAAGAACCCCACATTTGCCTATAAACACCTTATGCTCTACCTATTATTTTTTGCCTGTCACACTTTCTTGCCCAAATGAGACATACCTAAGTGTGAATATATTTATCTAACATGTGTCAAGCGTATAATGCTGAAATTGGTATGAAGGCAACATTTCTTCACGACGATTCAATGACTCAATGATACATGGGCTAAAGTTCATTTAGAACTGGGAATGTGCTTAAATAAATTGGTTGGTTTACTCATTTTCTCCATTCTTTCCTCTTTCTCTTCCCTACCTCCTCTTCTGCTCCTTGCTTCCCTTTGTCCTTGTTCTGTTAAGATTCCCAGTCAAGCAAATGTCCACTGCAGCTCTGTACCAACCGGAGACCAGTCCTTATCCTATGTGCATGGCATTCCCAGGAGAAAGCTTAGAGACTGGTCCTTGGAACAGATGGTGAGAGGCAGCTCTGACCAACCTGAGGTGTGTATACTAAGAGTTGTTGAGTTGTGTCTATTGTAGATGAAGGAGTGTTGTTGACTCAATTTCTTGATGTGGAGCAGAAGATAAGTTGGTCTGAGGGCTGGTCATAGTGGCTTACACCTGTAATGCCAGCACTTTGAGAAGCCAAGCTGGGAGGATCACTTGAAGCCAGAAGTTTGAGACCAGCCTGGACAACATAGTGAGACCCCATCTCTACAAAAAAAAAAAAAAAAAATTAAAGACAGTCTGAGAATAGACAAATGGACACCAGACTTCGTTTATCCAGTCAGCTTTCCAGAAAGTGTCCTGAGGAGTTCACAGACAAACCTTAAAAATTTCAACCGAACTCCTCATGCTCCTCGCACCTTCCTCCTTTTCTAGGATTGCTGAGCTCAGGAAGGGCCATTATGCTCCCAGTTAACTCAGTCAGGGTCTAGACACCATCCTTGATTTGCATCCCCCATGCTAAACTCCCAGCTGCAATGGGTCTCCAAAATGTGTTATTCTAAATTCTTATACCATCAAAGCAGTTATTTTGTAAAAGGCAAATGATGTATGTTAAAGCATCTTCTACCAGACCATGTACTCTAGGATTTGCTTTCTTCTCCTGAAGGAAGAGAGCTGATGCATTGTAAATAATGAATACACCAGATTGAATGCTCACCTTCAGTGCCACAGACTTGTCCTGCTCCAGGCCAGGACTGCGAGTGGACACTCAGATACCAGCCCCAGTGTGCCTCTGCTTCCTTGCTTTGGTCTTTAGCCGGCTGATTGAAGAGTCTTGCTCTTTGTTTTTCATTGTTGTGTTAGGATATTGGCCAGAGCCCAAGTGGGACAACAAATGAAGACGCTTTTCTTCTTGCCCTGGTCAGAAGAGAACTCAAGTCACGTCCTTTGAGTTCCAACTTATTAGAAAAGCTTCAGAAAGAGCTGAAGATCCTGGACCCAATCTCTTCAGGATTTCTTCTCCAATCTCAGCTGAGCCGCCTCTTTTTGAAGCATGAAGTCCCTCTACAGTTACCAACAGTTAAAATCCTTTGTCAGAGATTTTCTAAGAGGGGTTCTCCTGAAATGGTATGGCAATTGTACTATTGGAAGTGTGGGTTCCTTTTGTTTCCTTAACTTGTACCCACAAGGGTAAAAGACTAAGAAGTTAGCTACTTTCTTGCAAATAACTTTTATCCCTGACTACTGAGATAAAAAGCTTATTTATATTCATGTGTAGAAATTTCTAGTTCGAATAGAAAATAGAGTTAGGTCTCTTCGCTCTGTTTCATTTCTCTTTAAAGGTCCTCCCTGCCCCAACTTGCATTGTCAGCTTTTAACAATGTTAGGGTAGTTACAGATTCAAGAAAATGGGCCCACGCAAGTCCATTCATGAGCTAGCTTAGTCTGCAGGACCCAAGGTAAGAATTGAGACTGAGCTAAGATCTGCTTTGTGTCATCACAACTTCCTAGAGAGTTAGAAGTGGGAAGTATCTTTGAAATTTACTGATTAAGGAAATGAGGCCCAGAGGATGTCCAATAACTTGTTTAGGAGACTCAGAGAATTAATGGCAGACACCATGCTAAGACACAAATTTCCCAATGACAGGGCCAGAGTTCTTTGGGCATTGTATTTTCCAAGCTCATACCTATGTCTGAATATAAAGAGTAGTCCAAGTGTCACTAAATTCAGGGAGCCAGAGGAAAATACCCTGAAATAGGAAGAAATAATAGCAATAAGAATATCATTAGTGAGCATGTATCAATAGCAAAGCAATAGACAGCACAAACCTTAAAAAAGAAGGCCTGGACTTTAATCTTAATCCCACCATCTTAGTTCTGTGACATGGAGCATACTCTACTTAAGTCCTCCCATGCCTCAATGATCTCATCCAGAAAACCAGGCCAAAACCAACCTTGCAAGTTTAGTCTCAGGATTTAGTAATGTGATAAATGCAAACTAATAGAATTAGTTATATATTTATGAGAAGTATTTAGCAATACAATATTGATTTATTACTGCAACCCATATGAATATTCAGTTCAACCAAATTTTCTGGCCTGAGACCTAGTTTCTATCAGGGGCCCTATCTAGCTTCCCTCTCCCACTGCTCACCACTCTGCTACCCTGGAGCTGTCTGTCCACCAGAGTCCCTAGGATGGCATCCAGCTTAGCAGTGGAAATGGATGACATTCCTTCAGTCCTTTCCTATGCAGAAAAAAGGTCTTCAGATTTTTCACTTGGCCTAATAAATTTTTGTCTTCAGATTATCTGAATATATCTGCTCAATCTATCTAAATATATCTGCTGAATACATCATATATAATAAATGTATAAGATATGTGAGAAGGAACAAGAGAGAGAGTGGGGGCAGCGGTGGGGAGAGAGAGAGAGGCTAGAGGTTAGGTTGTACTATAGTAATAACCCCAAAATCTTTGTGGCTTAAAGCCACAAAAAGTTATTTTTTTTCATGTTTATTTCCATAGAGCCAGCCATAGTTCTTCTTAACACTGTTGTCATTTTAGCTCTGGGACCCAGGATGATGAAATAGCCACTTTAGGATATTTTTGGACAGGATAGCAGAAGGGGAAAAAGAGTCCTGGAGGGTCTCATGTTAGCTCACAGGGTCTCGGTTCTGGTTATAACTCATTGGCCAGAACTAGTCACATGGCCTTACCCAACCAGAAGACAACCAGGAAGTACAATTTTACCATTTGTCCAGAAGGGAAAATAATAAGAATACTTGCTAAAAAGCACCAATAATTATGATACTATATTTTTAAGTGTTTTTTTAAATGTTTGATGGTAAAAATTTGCCAAATACATTTTATCTCAACAGGCCTCTTTCCTTACATATAAATTAAATGAGGATGTTCTATTTTACATTTAATTTTCAGGTGAATTATGAAAAGCTACTCTGGTTTTTAAACAGTGCAGCATCAGATTATCCACAGCAAAATAAAGCAGCTGCAGACCTGAGAAAAACTGAGAGTCATGGCACTCATAGCCAAAGGTACTCTTCTCCCTTTTTGTGAGGGTATTGTTCCTAGGTGTCTTAGTCTGTGTGGGCTGCTATAAAAAAGTACCATAAACTGGGTGGCTTATAAAGAATATAAATGTATGAATCACAGTGCTGAAGCGAAGGCTGAAAGTCTAAGATCAGGGCACCAGCATGGTTGAGTTCTGGGAGGGTTCTTCCAGGATGCACACTGCTGACTTCTCCCTGTATCCCCACATGGCAGAAAGAGAGCAAGCTGGCTTGCTGGCCTCTCCTTACAAAGGTATTGGTATGGTTTGAATGTGTTTCCCAAAGTTCATGTGTTGGAAGCTTAATCCCTAATGCAACAACAGCCCTGGGAGATGGGACCTAATAGGAGGCGATGAGGTCATAGGGCTCTGCCTTCTTGAACGCATTAATGTCATTATCTCAGGAGTGAGTTCGTTACCAAGAGAGTGGATTTGCTGTAAAAAGCGGGTTTATCTCTCACCCTTGCCTCCTCTTGCCCTTCTGCCTTCCACCACAGAATGATGCAGCAAGAAGGCCCTTTCAAGATGCCTGCCACTGACCTTGCACTTCTCACCCCTGTGAACTGAAGAAATAAAATATCTGTTCTTTATAAATGACCCAATCTCAGATATTCTATTATAGCAGCCCAAAATAGACTTAGACAGGCACTAATTGCACTCATGAGGACTCCACCCTCGTGACCAAATCCCACAGGCCCAGCCTTCTGATGTTATCACGTTGGCATTAGGGTTTCAACACAGGAACTTTGAGGGGATGCAGTCAGTCCATGGCATAGACTCCTAGAGCTGGCAGGGATCTTGAAGGCATTCACTCAAACACCTCACCCGATGCAGAATCACTTTGCTCTTCACCAGCACTTGGCTTGTGCTCAGAGTTTTCTCTCTCTCTCTTTTTTGTGCGCAGGCCAACATAGAAAGTTATTTGCAGCAATTGCATATGTTTTTTAACATCAAGCATGTGTCTTTTTATGAGGTTGCTGTGTGAAAATGAAAAACCTCATTATGAAATAAGAAATGATTGTGTACGGGTGCAGAGCTCATCTATAAAGTGTGATTCCAAAAAGATGTTCAGTCAGTCAGCTCCTGAGTCGCAGGCACTAGCAAAAAAAGGTTTGAGATTCAGGCATCCATAGTCACTTCATATAATCTCAAGGGAGAGAAATTACTCAAAATAAAAATAAGATGTGAGGAATATAATCAGAAATGAAACGCAATAAAGTATAATATTTTCATGTTTGCCAAAAAAGGTGACAAATTGCAGTGGTTAGGAGCATAGCCTCCATTGCAAAAGCCTGGCCTCAACTATTGTCTTTGCCACTCTGGGGCTATGTGACCTTGGCATTTCACTTAACTTCTCTGTGGTTCCATTCTCCAACTGTAAAATGGGCATGATACACTTCACTTCACTGATTTGTAATAGTAACTGAGTTAATAAATGCAAAGTTCCAAAAATCAGTGCCTGGTACATAGTAAGTACTATGTAAGTGTTTTTATTATTTTTAACTATTCTTCTAGAGGACACTCCTTTCAGCTGCAAATAATGTGGCATGGTGGTTAAGAGCTATGGCATTAGAGTTAAGTGTTTTACTCTAGGAAGAAGGTAGCATTTTTTGTTTGTTTGTTTGTTTGTTTGTTTGAAAATGTCCTTGGGCCAACAGTTGGACTTGATTCCTTCCTACAGTGTGCCCTGTTTCACTGTGATAACTTCAACACTTATTGAATGTGAGCTGTTTGTCAGGCTTACTTTGCTGGGCACAGTGAATTCCAGATTGACAAAGCCTAGTCTCTTCCTTTAGGGCTCATGGTCCAAAGAAAACAATACTGCCATCTAGGCATTCCAGTCAAATATCACTCTGGGAGCAACTGTCTTACTGAGAGCCATAAAGCCCTAGAAATTTTTAACCAACAGCAACTATCCTTCATATAATACATACTGTAAAATTTTGACCCTGAGAGGTCATAGACCATGCGGTAGAAAACAAGGCCAATCCCTGGCGTGTAAGGTCTTATGAGTCCTAGACAGAAAGCCTTTGCTGATACCTAGATAAGGTTAGATCTCTGTGTTGTTAGTTCCATAGTCCTTCCCCTTCATAGCGGTTATGGCATTTTCTGTTATTTATTTGACATTTGAGGTTAGGAATTGTGGCTGTCCTGGCCAACTCTGTGTCTAGCATAGTTCTAACATAGTTCCTGGCATACAGAAGATGCTCAATAATATTTGTTGAATGTAATTGGCACCTCCAATTTTCTAAAGTGCTCACATCAATTTACTTTCAGGGATACATGAATATCTGTTCTATAGAAAAGGCACATGAAGAAATCATTTTGAGCTCATCAGAGAAGGTGCTGCTTTCTAAAAACCAGACAGTATGTTTGTAGAAATACAGGACTGATGGCCTGTAATAAAGCCAGGCTATTTGTTAATTAAGGTATGGATCAGGAAAATCCTCTTCTCATGCTCTGTCAGGTAGATCCTCTAATAGGGTAGCTCTGTGATGTTTTAAAAGGTTCCAGCATTGCCAGTGGCAGTAGGGGTGGCAACAGCTCTCATCTCCTAAACTGGACCAGATGAACTAAAATTCTGCAACAGGCCTTCTAAGAAGCCCTACCAGCTGCAGTAAATGGGTTCCATACAACACCTGCCCATCCAGTACTCAGTGTACGGAGCCAGGGACCAAAGCTTCATGAATTCTTATCCCCAGAAACTGTCCTTGCAAGAAAAGAGGAAGGAAGACTTATGATTCAGATCTGGAACAGAGATGTCTGATTGACAGTGTTTGGGTCATGTGCCCTTGCAGCAAAGAGAGGCTGGTAAAGCAAATAGTTGGCATTCTCCTCTGCCACAGTGAGAGGTGGACTGTCTCATGAGCTGGGGAACTCCCTGGACAGGTGAAGGCACATGCAAAAGTTGGTGACCAAAATAAATGCACGTGCCCACTATTCCTTCTCTGTACCAAACTTTTGGAAAATATTATATATTATTAAGTAGTTCAGAATAGTATAATTTGGAGCCAAAACTTGTGTGAGAGTCCTAGAGCCAAAAAAAAAAAAGGAAATAATATCACCTTTGGACAAAGTTATATACATCTAAAATGAATCAGTTCCAGGTACTGTACAAGATCCCTGGGAAACAGTAAGGAACAAAACAGACTTGACCTCTTAGAGCAGACTACCAGGGAGGAAGTCAGACTTGAAAAAATAAGGAAATAGAGATGTGACTGCAAGTTGGAGGAGACCTATTAAGGAAAAGAACAAAGCACTATGAATAAGTATATAAATCAGGGGTGTGCAGGAGCCAGACATGAGGGCCAATGATGCACACCTCTTCCCAACTCCTCATTCAGCAATGTCACAGTGGTAGCCTGAAATCACCCATGGTGGGGGTATTTACACCAGGGAAATCAGTAATGCAGCAAATTAGGGCTTTATCTTGCAAAGCTGATTGTTAAAGATTTACCAGTATACCACTGAAAGAAACCCAATTTAGATGGGTAGAAGTTGAGCAATGTCATGGACTGTCCCTCTAGGGAACTTGGTGTTTAACTTGAGACAATGGAAAACAGGAAAAGTTTCACAGAGGAAGCAATAGTACACCTGGATCTGGAGGAACAAATACATTTGGCTGTTAGATAAGTAAACATATCAAACCAGTTTCATAAAATCAGTGAATATAACATCTCACCCTGTTGTTTTTCACCTATTATTTAAAATAACGATAGTCTGTTAGACAGACCACCTTAATACTTATGTACATTTGCATGCCAGACTGTAAGTAAATAATTACTCCCAAACATTTCTGGGTTTTTCAGATATAAGGAGCAGAGTCAAGGTTAATGCAGGAAATCCAGCTGGTTCAGGATTTCCTCCCAGGGAACTAGGCTGTCTTGGTATGGGGATCTGGTGGAATCTGCTTTGCTTTGCTTGTGGCAGTGAGCAGTTTCGAAATGTCATTTGTCATCAGTAATTATCTGAGTTGAAGAAAAGTAAAATCAAGCAGATAAAGTAAACTACTATGATTGCTTATTTTTTGTCTCAACCTAGAAAAAAAAGAGTTACAAAGATAGATTAAGAATTTTGGCCTTTGTTGTAGTCAGATTGGTTGGTGCCTCTTGGAAAAGAGATTAGGTAGAGTTCACTCAGATGGAGCAGGTATGAGTTAAGCTATGAAATGTCTGCATGCGGCCTCATGACCAGGTTCCCAAGACTGAGAGGGCCTACGTAGATGGGCTCTCTGGTTCCATAGTGTGTAGCAAAGTTGAGAAATGTAGTAGGAAAGCATGCAGCTGCCTTGGGTGGATAACCTTTTCATAGCCTTCCCCATTTCCCCTACAATCAGCACTCCACCTCAGCACTCCAGCTCACAGCCAGAAGTGAACAGGAGTCTGTTGGAGATTTTGAAGATGGCACTAAGGACAACCAATGGCAGACTCAACATAGACAATCTCAATCTGAGTTTTCGAAAAGAAGATCGCTCGTTCTCTGGCTGCCTCCCTCTACCTAAGGTAACCAAAATTCAATTTCAGATTTGTTCCTCTGTAAAGGCCACTTCAGGGCATTGGGTCTATAGCAATAAGGCACAGGGCTGATCCATATTCTGCCTGTGGATTACATTACACAGTTGTTTGTTTTCTTTGCCTGAGAAGTGAAAAACAAGGCAGAAAAGGAATTGTGAAATGTACAGGAATTGTGAAATTGATCCAGGAATTACTTATATTGGGCTGTTTTATGTTAATAATAGAGAATATGACAACACTCAAATAATATTTCATAATGGAAAACAACTATTTTTGCAAGGCCAAATGTTTATTTCTCACACTCTTTCCTGGCTTCCAATGAGAACAGCATGTGGTGTCCCAACCCTTAGCAAAACCAAATTTTAGGGACCGATGTAATTTACTGCCAATAGAGGCTACCATGCTGTTTTGGAGCATTAATTAATAGTGCAGATGTGCTTCATGGAAGATAATCCAGAACCATAAAAACTCATGGAACTTCTGAAGCCAAATAAACCCCATCATAAGGCTTCTTTGGATACAGGTAAAATAATAATTACCACTACTACTGTAACTCTGTTAGCAACACCTCATCATCACTACACTTTTACTAAGTGCCAAGCACCGTGCTAAATGCTTTGCTTACATTATCTCATGTAACACTTACAAAGTTAATTCTGTACAAAATACTACAAAATCTAGGTAGTCCTTATAATACCCATTTAATAAATTTTTAAAACTGAGTCTCGCCAGGCGTGGTGGCTCATGCCTGTAACCCAGCACTTTGGGACGCCGAGGCAGATGGATCACCAGGTCAGGAGTTCAAGACCAGCCTGGCCAATATAGTGAAACCCCATCTCTACTAAAAATACAAAAAAAATTAGCCAGGTATGGTGGTGCATGCCTGTAATCCCAGCCACTCAGGAGGCTGAGGCAGGAGAATTGCTTGAACCTGGGAGGTGGAGGTTGCAGTGAGCCAAGATCACGCCACTGCACTCCAGCCTGGGTGACAGAGCGAGACTCAGTCTCAAAAAAAAAAAAAAAAAAAAAAACCTGAGTCTCAAAGAGGCCAATTGAATCACCCAAGAGTCACAGCTAACAAGTGGCAAGGCCAGGATTCAAAGTCCAGAAGAGTTATGGAAACTGAGAGGCAGAATTGGCACTTCATTAGGTAGAAGATATCTGGATGATTCCATTGAGTTCAATATACAAGAGTTAGAATTCCAGAAGATTAGAAAGAATTGGAAATTATAGGCCAAAAAATCCCTGTTAGAAATATTGGAAAATGCCTTTCATCTAGGTATACAGAGGTTGGAATTGAGGGAGTCAGAGAATTTAAAAGAACGGTGATATTTACTAAGGAGCAAGGACATGATATGCTGAAAATGAGTTCTTATTCTAGGACAAAAGCATTTTTCTTTTAACTTCTATATTTAAAATCAACTGTGCAAAGGCAAAACTCTGTGTGTGTGTGTGTGTATGTGTGTGTGTGTGTGTGTGTGTTTGAATATTATACATGCAAGCATATTTCATGAGAAAGAGAAATAGAGCATTGCAGGAAAGTCCACACAGCACATGGGGCCTTTACTTGTTTGTGAGAAGATCTACAGAAATAGACTCTTAGTCTAAAAATTCTTAGCAGCAATTTCTTCT
This sequence comes from Homo sapiens, assembly GCF_000001405.40. Classification (NCBI taxonomy): domain Eukaryota; kingdom Metazoa; phylum Chordata; class Mammalia; order Primates; family Hominidae; genus Homo; species Homo sapiens. Next base: position 60,031,831 of record NC_000001.11, on the reverse strand, counting down.
TAGATTAGAAACCACATAACCAATGGTGAAGTTTGAATATTCTCAGATGATACTCATAGAATGAAACATAAACAACTTGAAAATCAAAATATATTTACTAAACCTCTTTGAGTCTCAGATTTTCCACTGGCAAATCTGGGTCCCAAATATCTATCTCCTGTGTCTATGTGAGGATTAAATAAAATAAATATGTGAAGGCATTTAGCATACTATCTGATTTATAAGGCCCTCACTAAATATGCTTCCTCTCCTTCTTATAAAAAAGAAATCAGTGTTTGGTGAGGGTCTCACTTCAAAACAGCCTAAGAAAGGAGAATCTTCCCACAGTCAAGTGATGGCCACATTGAGGTCTGGTTATCAGGGCAGACCTTGAATCTTGAATGTTCTTCTCCCCACAGCCGTCCCTGAAAGCTTAACTTTATGGTTCAGATCCAAGGAAATGGGGTACATTTTCCTTGAAGCTGGTCTGCCTTTCGTGAGCCATCTGGCATCTCTTAAGACATCTGGAACTCACTCAGAGCATAATACAGTTCTGGGAGGCATGTGAAATAGAATTCTGTTTCCCCAGAACATGAGGCAAATTGAAGCCCAAGGGACATTGGAAACAAGAAGCAGCCACTATCACACCTCAACTCCCTTACTCCTGAACACGGGACTTCAGAGTGGACAAGGAAAGGTTATGACTGAGTTAAAGGGGTTTTTTGTGGGGGTTGTTTTGACAAGTAGCTCTGAATTTCCTTTGGGTGCAGAAGAGAGAATCACAGACTATGAAAGCTATGCACTCTCTCTCCAGAAAGATTAAAAAAAAAATTTAAAAGCACATCCAGACTGCCACCATTTCAGAGGGTTCACAGATAATCTATAACTTCCAAGATAGATAAATGCAGCCTTAAAGGATATTCTATGGGTCTTGTCACTAAAATCAATGGAATCTGACCATCCACAAAGATCAGTATAGAAGCATATAAAGTATCTGTCATCTTCATTCTGCGGACTCACTCATCCTGTTCCTCTAGCATACCTTCAATGCAATGATGGTTTCTGTCAGGACTGCCAAGGCAATGTGGATACACATTCATTGATTTATTAACTTCCCCAACTATTACCCAAGTCAGATGTAGATTCAATAGGGTTGTAGAACCTAAGACATTCTATGCATGCAGGCTCAGTTTAACCCTTTTACACAATCCATATTCTTCAACATTTGAACTCATCCTCTTTCTGCTTCATAGCACAAACCCCTCCCAAATTGCTCCCAAACCTGCCTCCCAGGAAGAGCTAGCTAGAACATAGGTTGTTTTAATTACTCTTTGCTTCATTTTCATGTAGCTTCCTCATCATTGGGAGGGAGTCCCCTTACTGATAGCCTGGGTTTGTGAATGTGAAGTTCATTCTTGTGGCAAGACTCTAGCTAGGACATGTGTTTAAGTGGACCAGGACTGTAAGACCTCCTTCTGTAGTTTGTCAGGTTCTGTTTTCATATTTAGTGTTTTCTATAACTGGAAGCTCTGCCTTAAAAGTATAAAAAAGATTTTTACTAACTTTGAATGTTTCTCCTCTTCCAATGCAACAGCCACCTTTCTGATCAATATGGCATATTTAACCCATTCTTGCGTTTGACATAATAATCACTCAATATGTTCTGGGCATTGTGGTAGGCACTGAGGACAACAGACTTTTATGGTTTGGGCTCCTGAGTTCTCCAGGAGCTCAGGGGAAAGGCAATGTTTTAAATACGTCATCACAATTCTGTGTGACAGTGCAATGACGGCAGTAACTCTGAACACAGAGAAGGAACACCAATGTGCCCACCTGAAAGCTCTCCAGAGGAGATGATGTAAACACTGAATCTTAGAGGACAGGCAAGTTTGGCAAAGAATGCGGGGACAGGGGGACCGGGCATGGTGGCTCACATCTGTAATCCCAGCACGTTGGGAGGCTAAGGTGGGCGGATCACAAGGTCAACAGATGGAGACCATCCTGGCCAACATGGTGAAACCCTGTCTCTGCTAAAAATAAAAAAATTAGCCGGGCATGGTGGCGCATGCCTGTAGTCCCAGCTACTTGGGAGGCTGAGGCAGGAGAATCACTTGAACCCAGGAGGCGGAGGTTGCAGCAAGCTGAGATCCTGCCACTGCACTCCAGCCTGGGTGACAGAGCAAGACTCCATCTAAAAAAAAAAAAAAAAAAAAAACTTGGGGGGACAGGGGAAGAGATGGGAAAAGTGTTCTCGGTAGAAGTCGCAATGTGAAAGCACTGACATGAGAGCATGGCTAATTCAGGAAAGGGTAAGTCCTGCTCAAGTCAACTTTAGAATGGAAAGTAGGAGCCAGTTTATGAAGGGTCTTTCTAAGGAGCATGAATTTTATACTAAAGGTCCAAAGGAATCATTGAAGGGTATTAAACAAGTGAATGATATGATCAGATTCAAATGGGAAAAAAAAGCATTCCAATCGAATTTGGAGAATTGATTAGAATCAGGCAAAATTAGGGGCAGAGAGACCTTTTAGAAGGCTGTTTCAATAATCCAGGCAAGAAATTATGAGGGTTTAAGCCAAGGCAGTAACAGGAGGGATGGAGACATCAAGGAGGTAGAAAAGCAAGTCTTGATGACTAATTAGATATGGGCCCTGACTTAGGAGAAATCTAGAATGACTCCCAAGGTTCTGGCTTTGGCAACTTGATGGATAGTGGTGCCATTCTCTGAGATAGGAAACAGAAAAGGAATAATTGAGAGGGGTAGAGGAAGGAGTGATGAGTTCAGTTTTGAACACGTTGATCTGGGTAGAGAGGTGAAAACTGAATAGTGATTTAAGACTTTTCAATATGGAGTGGAATTCATAGTAGTTAAGATCACCCAAGGATGTAATGACAAGTGAGAATGGAAGAAGGCTGAGGAGAGCACTCATTGTTAAGGAGTAGTAAACAAAGAGAAGCCAAGAAAGGAAATTCAAAACAATCAAAGGAGACATGGGAGTGGAAAAAAAAAAAGCAAAAAACAAAGAGAGTTTGGAGAAGGATGGCATGATCGGCCATGTCTCATGCTGCAACAAGATCATCTATAAATAGGATTGAAAAGTATTCATTAAATTTAAAACCACGGAGGTTCCTAGTAACTTGGTAAACAGAGTTTAAGCAGAATGAAGAGGTAAAATGCAAATGGAGCTATCTGTGGGAAAAGAGGGCTCTGAGACAGTGTGCACTGATCTTTCAAGGAGCATTTTGGGGAAATGAATGTTTATTTCACATGTTTTTTTAATAACAGATATTTTATTTACTTCTGGTTAAAAACATTTCCTTATTAAACAGAATAAACTACATAGAAACATTTTCTTACCAAGGGTCATCATTATGAATATTGATGTTTTAATGGATCTTAATAATAATCGTGAATAACGTGGAATTGCTGTGATTTTCTGGTAGATGTTTCTGTTGTGCCTCTCTAACTGGCAGCAGTCAGTTCTTAGCAGCTATCCATCAGTCTGCTTCTAGGAACCCTGATGTACTATTTCTAATATGCTGTTCATTTTAGCCTAAAGCAAAACTCAGTGTTGCCAGAAGTAGGTGATCTGTTTTTAGAATAATCTCTTAATATTGATATTTAAAAATACATCAATATGTTCTAATCATGAAGATAGTTCAGTTCTTATTTATGGAGTAAAATGGCCTAGTGTGACCAATCTCTGACTCTTGAACTTTATTTTTTTGCCAACCTCCACTCATACACATTCCACTCTTCAGTGAATTCAGCTCATGCATTCATGGCCTCTTTCACCCATATATACATTTACTCAATAATTATTGATCCTTTATTTTTCAATACTCTGCTAGCCAATGGTGATAAGAAAATGAATGATACCCAATCCCAGCCCTGAGTAAGCCACCACCTTGTAGAAATGCTCAACAAATGACAGATAATTACTGCCCAGCCTGGAAAGGGGTATGATAGCAGAACAGATAATGTCAAAATATATGCTGCTTCTAAAAAGCACCGTGCTCTTTCTCCCCCATAATTACACATGCTTTTCCTCAGCCTGGAATGCCCCCCAACTCCTTATTCTTCTAGCAAACTCTTCGTTTTTTCATGTTTCAAATCAATCTTTTTTTTTTCCCCTCTTTTAAGCTTCCCTGACATTTCTCCTCTATACACAGGAACATGCAAGTTTCAAACCCGATTGGTTGTCTTTCCTTTCATAAAGAAAAACGAAGATGAGCTTTTTGTTGTCATTTTAAAATGTTGGTTTTATAATTATTCAGGTATGGTGAAACCAACAGATCAGGAGATGAGATGACTGCTACTGAAAAGATAGTCTGTTTCTCATGGTTGCTAAGAGGAGCAGGCACGCCACACCATGCGGGGCCAGGCCACACCATGCAGGGCCAGAGGAAGCGCCAGGTTCTGTCAGGAGGCAGAGAGAGTGAGGGGAATGTGGGCATGAGATTTTTTTGTGGGGAATGGGCAGAGCAGGGTAAACAGGCTTAGGATTGGCTGGCTTGCATAACCAGCAGGCTCTGTACTTGGCCCCAGGGTGGTTAGAGCAGGGAAATAGTGGCTCTGTGAGTGCATCAATAAAAGAGATGGTTGGAGTATGGGCTTTGGATAAGTTGGTTAGCTGATAAAAGGCAGACTTCAGGAAGGGCAGTCTCTCCAGGGTCAACAAAGCCCTGCGAAGGCTGAAGTATCAATATAAAAAGATAGGCTTAATACAGGCACTAGACTGAGCTTCCTCTAAAAATAGTAACAGTGACTAAAAATACAGGTCAAGTATCTCTTGTCTGAAATATTTGGGACCAGAAGTGTTTTGGATTTTGAACGTTTTGTTGGATATTGGATAGTTACACATACATAATGAGCTATCTTGGGGACAGAACTTCAAATCTAAACATGAAATTCATTTATGTTTTGTATATCACTTATACACATAGCCTGGAGGTAATTTTATACAATAATTGTATTAATTTTGTGCATGAAACGAGGTTTGTGTTAAATACAAATGTGTAGAATTCTGCACTTGTGGTGACCTGTCAGCACTCAAAAAGTTTCAGATTTTGGATTTTTGGATTAGAGATGCTCAACTGTAGTTATGTTTGGACTAAATAGCTAATTTTAGTAGTTGCTATTATTTACTTATATATTCATTTTTTTATGTAGTTACTATTAGAAATGTCTAATTTAGTGTAAATAGTCCACACATTAAACTTGACATTTCTTTTTTCCTTCCTTCTCCCCTTCCTTCCTTCCTTGATACCCCACTACCTCTCTCTCTCTCCCTCCCTTGTTTCCTCTCTTCTTCCTTCTTCCATTTCTCTATTTTCCTTCTTCTGTACTCTCCCCTCTTCTCTCTTCTTTCCTCTCTCTCTGCTTCCTCTCTCCTCCTTCTGTCTTTTCTTTATTTCATCAAATATTAATCAAATGCCTAATAAGAACCAGGCACTATCCTAAATGCTAATTTTATCATGCAATCCTGACAGAATCCTGGGAAATAGAAAGTACTAGTCTTGTTTAGTAAATGAAGTTGTAGGACCTAAAAAAGGTTAAGTAACTTCCCAAGATCAGAGAGATCACAGGCAGCAGATCTGTGCTCAGATAAGGTCTGTTTGGTTCTATCATTTATATGTTTAGCCATTATTCTAAATATACAACAAAAGTTACTACACCCTAAAAGTTTGAAATATTTGAATCTAAGTGTCACTTACCCACCAACCTGAGAACTGAACTGGTTTGTACTAGTTCAGAACAAGATTTAGAACATATTATGAACTTGGGAAACTTCAATGACACCTCATTCATTCATTCAATAACTATTTATCTGAGCATCTGGTTTCTAGACTAAGTTCCATAACTTATTAGCTATGTGACATTAAGGAAATAATCCCTCCAGGTCTTTGTTTCCTCATATATAAAATGTAGATAGTAATATTAACCCTGCTAATACAACAAGCTTGTTTGGCTAATCAAAATGGATGATACAAAAACATTTAGCAATTTACCTATATAATCAAGTATGTGTAATACATAGGCATTGACTACCCCTTCCATGGCTGATAAAAATGTAAGATCAGCATTTCAAACCCCAGTGACTTCTGAGTAATGAAATATACCTCTGTGTCAACTGAATAAAAACTTGCTGGTAAGCATTCAGTTGCACATTCTTGTCCTAAATGGTATCCTGAAGGATACCTCAATGGTAGAATGTACTCCTGGGTATTAATTCTTTGTCAAAATAATATAGCTTCCAATTATGAGAAAAAACAAATATTAATTGTATTCTATTGAAACATTTTGTATCCTAGTGAAACATCAAATCTTTTTTATTTTTTTTTAACTTGTAGGTCAGGGCTATATGTGGGAAGCATGGATTATATCTGACCCTGAGCCTGCTGGAAACATTGCTTAACCATCAAGATTTGGGTTACCAAAATGAAATAAAGTAAGTCAACTCTTATTAAGAACTGAATGTTTGTATCCACCACCCCTTCCCCAAATGATATGGTGAAGCTTTAACTTCAAATATGATGGTTTTTGGAGACTGGTTTGGGAGGTGATTAGGTTTAGATGATGTCATAAAGGTGAAACCCCCATGATGAAATTATTGTCTTTGTAATGAGAGGAACAGACATAAGAGTTTCCTGTCTCTGCCATGTGAAGATACAAAAGGTAGCCATCTGTAAGTCAGGAAGAGGGTCCTCAGCAAGAACTTAAGGTGCCAGCACCTTGATCTTGATTTTCTAGATTCCTACCTAGTGAATGACATTTTGTGATAGCAGCCTGAATTTTTTATTCATTCTGTCCTCTGTTAGGATGCCAGTCACATAGATCTGTCTTTAGAGTAGGAGTTCTATGTGTGAAGCAATCGATTTCATCACTTGATGGAGTTAAGAATGTTTGCTTTTATTGCGACCAAAGGGTCTTCTTGGCCATAGAAAAACAAAGCAGGAAACTTCCACTTACAACCATTACAGACTATCAGGGACTAGACTTACCATTCTACCTTAAGCAACTAAAAATAGGACAAAATATATGAAGCAGTGATTCTCAGACATCGAACGGCAAGCAGCACAGAACAATGACTCCTGGGAGAAGAAAAATAAAGCAAGTGAGCCTAGCTTATTGCATAGGAATGGGGAATTCAGGCAGAGCCCAGCATTCTCCCTGAGTTAAAGGGACAGAGTTTCGAGTTCAAGAAGGCCAAAAAGACTAAAATGCACAGCACAGAGGAGTAGAGAAGTGAGAAATCCCCAGGGAGCCGTCTCTGGAGATTTCCAAGAGTTACCCTTAAATCTTCAAGTAAGTGCTGGCTAATGTGTCCATTTGAGGAAACTACCCAAGGCCAGGAAAGGTAACACCAAAAGAAAGAGGTAGAAACATTTTTAGATCTCACATAGGATTGGGAATACTTCATGTTTCCACCAGCTAGTGAGGCAGACCTCGTAACACATACGGCATTGAGTAGAAACCTTAAAAAAGTACATCATTGTAATAATGGTGCCAAATTACCCCAGACAAACTCAACAAATCTTAAAACTCTAACAAGGCTTGAAAATGATCAAAATGTTTTTGAGCAACTTAATTTTATCTAAGAACAAAGTCCCCCAATTTCAAAGGAACAGAAAATCTCAATCAACAATGCAAAAATCACAATTTTAAAATGTATACAAAAATTGCTAAGCACAAAAAGAAGCAGGAAAAGTAGGACTTATTATTCACAGAAAAACAAGTTAATAAAAGCAGATTCCTAAACAACACAGATAATACAATTAGTAAACAAGCATATTAAAAGAACACTTATAAATACACTTCTCCTGTTCAAGAAGGCATGAACATAATGAAAGATAAGGAAGATTAAAAAAGATCCAAATAGAACTTCTAGAGATAAAAAATACAATGTCTTCTCCCCTGCAACATGTAACCCCAGTGTAATAATGTGAAAAACACTAAACAATTCACAACAGAGAGACATTCTACACAATGCCCAGCCAGTGCTCCACAAAACTGTGAAGGCCATTAAAAATGAGGAAGATCTGAGTAACTGTCCCAGCCAACAAGAACATAAGAAGACATGAAGACTAAATGTAATGGGATAGCCTGGAGGGAATCTGGAACAGAAAAGAAATATTAGGTAAAAATTAAGGATATTGGAATTATGGACTTTAATCATAATGTATCAATATTGGTCCATTAATCATAGCAACAGTATCATATGATTGTAAGGTATTGACAAAAAGGGAAAACAAGTATGAAGTATATGAAAATTCTCTGTATTATCTTAAATTTTTTTCTATAAAATCTAAAACTACTTTTAAAAAATGAGGTTTATTTTAAAAATACAATACCTGAAAGAAAACTGTTTGTTATGGAAGCAACGGAAGATAAAACACAATAACAAATAAATGAGCTTGACGACATAGATACGGACACTATGTAAAATAAAACTCAGTGTGAAAAAATGAAGGAAAAACTAACAGAGCATCACTGGGCCTTGTGACACCAGCAGCCTAATACATGGGAAATTGGAATCTCAGAAAAGGAAGAGAGGGATGAAGAGAAGAAAAGTATGTTGAACAAATAATAGCTGCCATTTTTTTCAAATTTGGAGAAAACTATAAAGACATGGACGCAAGGAGCTCAATGAACTTCAGACACAAGAAATTTGAAATAAACCATGCAAAAGTTCATTGTAATCAAATTGCTTAACCCAGTGGTAAAGAAAAAACCTTAAAAGCACACAGAGAAAAAGACAAATTATAGTAGCCTTCCCCTTTCTGTGGTTTCACTTTCTGTGACTTCAGTTACCTATGATCTGAAAATATTAAATGGAAAATTCCAGAAATAAGTAATTTATAAGTTTTAAGTCGTGCACCGTTCTGAGTAGCATGAAGAAATCTTATTCTGTCCTGCTCGGTTCTGCCTGGGAAATGAATCTTCCCTTCATCCAACATATCTGTGCTGTATATGTTACACCTGTGTTAATCACTTAGTAGCTGTCTTGGTTATCAGATTGACTGTCATGGTATCACAGTGCTTGTGTTCAAGTAATTCTTATTTTGCTTATTTGCTTATTAATAGCCTCAAAGCAAAAAAGTAGTCATGCTGGCAACTTGGATATGCCAAAGATAAACTGTAAAATACTTTCTTATGTGAAAAGATGAAGGCTTTCAACTTAATGAGGGAAAAAAAATGTATGCTGAGGTTTCTAAGATCTACAGAAAGAACAAATCTATTTGTACAATTGTGAAGAAGGAAAAAGAAATTTGTGCATAGGATATATAGGGTTCAGTACTAGCTGTAGTTTCAGGCATCCACGATGGGTCTTGGAATATATACCCTGTGGATAAGGGGAAACTACTGCAATTTCTTTCTCAAATTTTTGGTAGAATTCACCAGTGAACCCAACTGGGCCTGGTACTTTCTGCTTTGAAAGATTGTTAATTATTGATTTAATTTATTTAATTAGCAAATCAACTCATATCCAGAATCTGGTTCCCTGTCACCCCCTCTATTGTTACTTAACAACACCCATCCACACTACCATTATCTTTCTCCTGGATTTCTGTAATAACCTCCTAACTGAACTCTGTTTCTACTCTTATACCTAGTTTATCCTCACTCCCACAGCTATTGTTGTCTATTAAAAAACCTAAAAGTGTTTGCATCATTACTCTGCTCAAAACACTGCAAGAGTATGTTATTACACGTAGAAGGCAAAAAAAAAAAAAAAAAATCAAAGTCCTCTATAAGAGTTGCTCCCCCATCACTTTGGCTCCATCTAAAATTTCCTTTCCCTAATCTGTTCCAGTTACACCATGCCTCTTTTCTTCCTCAAACACACCATGCAGACTTCACCTTAACACCTATCTTTTGAATGTTCCCTCTACCTTGAAAGCTCTTCCCACAGATATCCTTATGCTAACTCCCTCACTTTCTTCAAGTTTTTGCTCAAATATCTCCTTGTCAATGAGAACTACACTAACCACCCTATTTAAAGCTGTGGTCCCCATCCTTTGTTCCCCTTCAGCTAGTCTCTTTTTGTTTTCTTTTATACACTTATCAACCTCTAATGAATTAGGTAATTTGCAGATTTATCATCTGTATAGCTATTATCTGTATCTCCCTGACAGACAGTAGATGATAGTGCCATGGGGAAGTCAGGGTCTTTGTTTTATTCATTGATGTATCCAAAGTGTCTAGAGCAGTGCTTGGCACATAGTAGGTTCTCAATAAATATTTATTGACTTGAACTGAATTGGGGGTTGGGGATACATTGACTTGAACTGAATTAGAGAGGTAATCCCTCAAAATATTCTCAGGGATGCAGATACGTAAATTCTTCCCAGTCCCTATCTCATGAGCAACTTGAAGAAGGCCTTCCTTACCCACCTCACCAAAATCAGGTTCCTTGTGCTGTACTCTCTCATGGCACCCAGTCATTTTATTTGCTAACACTTATCAGTATTTGTAATTGTGTGTATTTGTGTGATTTGTTAGTTTAATGTCTACATAGTGATCTCCATGCTAGCAAGGGGCATGACTATTTTCCTCACACTGTATTTCCAACATCTAGCCTAGTTCTTGGCTGTATTAGTCTGTTCTCACAGTGCTATAAGGAACTACAGGAACTACCTGAGACTGAGTAATTTCCAAAGAAAAGAAGTTTAATTGACTCACAGTTCTGTAGGCTGTACAGTAAGCATGGCTGGGAGGCCTCAGGAAACTTACAATCACAGTGAAAAGCAAAGGGGAAGCAAACACATCTTACCATGGCAAAGCAGGAGAGAGAGAGAGACAGTGAGGGGGGAAGTGCCACAGTTTTAAACCATCAAACCTCATGAGAATTCACTCACCATCACAAGAACAGCATGGGGGAAATCTGCCCTCATGATCCAATCACCTCCCACCAGGCCCTTCCTTCAATACATGGGGATTACAATTTGACATGAGATTTGGGTGGGAACACAGAGCCAAACAATATCATTCTGCCCCCAGGTCCTCCCAAATCTCATGTTCTTTTTATGTTTCTAAACCAATCATGCCTTCCCAACAGTCCCTCAAAGTCTTAAGTCATTCCAGCATTAATGCAAAAGTCCAAGTCCAAAGTCTCATCTGAGACAAGGCAAATCCCTTTTACCTATGAGCCTGTAAAATCAAAAACAAGTCACTTACTTCCAAGATACAGTGGGAGTACAGGCATTGGGTAAATGCTCCCATTCCAAAAGGAAGAAATGTGCCAAAAGAAAGGAGCTACAGACCCCATGCAAGTCCAAAACCCAGCAGAGCAATCATTAAATCTTAAAGCTCCAGAATAATTTCTTTTGATTCTATGTCTCACATCCAGAGCACACTGATGCAAGGGTTGGGCTCCTAAGGGTTTGGGCAGCTCTGGCCCTGTGGTTCTTCAGGGTACAGCTACTTTGACTGCTTTCACAGGCTTGCATTGAATGCCTGTGGCTTTTCCAAGCACACGGTTGCAAGCTGTCAGTGGATTTACCATTCTGGGGTCTGGAGGACTGTAGCCCTCTTCTCAAACCCCACTAGGCAGTGCCCTAGTGCGGCCTCTGTACAGGCACAGAGTCCTGTTTTAGCCACAGCTGGAGCTGGAGCAACTGGGATGCAGGGCACCATGTCTTGAGGCTGCACAGAGCCTCAAGCCCAGCCTGGGCCCAGCCCACGAAACTATTTTTCCCTCCTAGACTTCCAGGCCTGTGATGGGAGGAGCTGCCAGGATCTCTGAAATGACCTAGAGACATTTTCCCCATTGTCTTAGCTATTAATATATAGCTCCTCATCACTTATGCAAATTTCTGCAGCCAGCTTGACTTTCTCCCCAGAAAATGTGCTTTTCCTTTCTACCTCATAGTCAGGCTATAAATTTTCCAAACTTTTTTGCTCTGCTTCCCTTTTAAACATAAATTGCAATTTTAGACCATCTCTTTGTAAATGCTTATGACTGTACACTTTTAGAAACAGCCAGGTCACATCTTGAATGCTTTGCTACTTAGAAATTTCTTCTGCCAGATACCCTAAATCATCTCTCTCAAGTTCAAAGTTCCACAGATATCTAAGGCAAGGGCAAAATGCTGCCATTCTCTTTGCTGAAGCGTAGAAAGAGTGACCTTTACTCCATTTCCCAAAAAGTTCCTCATTTTCATTTGAAACTACCTCAGCCTGGACGTCATTGTCCATATCACTGTCAGCATTTTGATTAAAACCACTCAACAAGTCTCTAGGAAGTTTCAAAATTTTTCCGACATCTTCCTGTCTTCTTCTGAGCCCTCCAAAATGTTTCAACCTTTACCCATTACCCAGTTCCAAAGTCACTTCCACACTTTCATGTATCTTTATAGCAGTGCCCCACTCTCCTGGTACCAATTTTCTGTATCAGTCTGTTTTTACACTGCTGTAAGGAACAACCGGAGACTGGGTAATTTATGAAGAAAAGAGGTTTAATTGACTTACAGATTTATAGGCTTAACAGGAAGGATGGCTGAGTGGCCACAGGAAACTTATGATCCTGGCAAAAGGTAAAGGGCAAGCAAGCATATCTTACCACGGCAAAGCAGGAGAGAGGAAGAGACAGTGAGGGGGACGTGCCACACTTTTAAACTATCAGATCTCGTGAAAACTATCATGAGAACAGCATGAGGGAAATCTGCCCCCATGATCCAATCACCTGCCACCAGGCCCCTCCTTCAACACATGGAGAATACAGTTTGACATTAGATTTGGGTGGGGACACAGAGCCAAACCATATCATTGGCACATGATAGGTACACAGTAAATGTTTAAGGAATTTACTTATTCATTTATTTAGCAAGCATTTACTGGGTACCTACTACATACCAAGCACTACTCTTACACACTAGGAATATAGATATGAATAAAACAAAGCCCCTTTCCTCATGAAACTTATATTCTAATGGGAAAGATAAATAATACATAAGTTAGAATATATGGCATATCACATGGTGATAAGAGCAATACAGAAAAATAAAGGGTAAAGGTTATGAGCCACATCAATCGATGAACATATGAATAATGAGGTTATGATATTGAGCTTAGTCAATGAATTTCCACTGTGCCAGCTTTGGACATGAGAGTCTGCCTTCTTTGAAACCTTGGGGGTGGTTGGATGAAGGCGAGAGGTGTGGTTAAGCTGGAAATGCAGAAAACTGAGCTAAGAGCCGAGTAGAAAATTACAAGGCCAAAATTAAGACTACCAAAAAGGCACCAATCTAAAGGAAGAAAAAGCAAGTATCAAAGCTCACATTATACCTGTACGTAGTAGAGACTCAATAGATATTTGTTGATTAAAAATTGAGATCCAGAACCAAGATTCTGAGAATCGGGAATATGAGACCAAGAGAAAATGCGGAGCAAATAGTGTTAGGCTACTTACTATCCTATCAACACTCTCAATTTCTCACTGTTTTTGTGCAGATCAGAGAAGCACACAGATTTCTTTATTCACCTGTCTTTGACTTTTAAATGTTCAAGGATATCACAACCATAAGAACTAAAAAAGAATTGCATTTATAAGAAATATACCTGTTTCATCCCTAAACAGTCATTGGCTAAAGCTTCTTTTGTTGAATTAAATCCATTTTGTTAAGGGCTTTGTATGCAAACCTATATCCTTAAGAGATTAAAGATGTAATTTAGACACACATTTTAGAAGCTGAATGCACGAATCATTATTTTAGTACATATTGTCCATTAATCTGCTGTTCAATTGGGAACCCATTTGGAATGTGGCTGCTTGCTAATTAGCAGGATTCTAGTGCTGAGCTGCTTCCTGACTAAATGTCCTTTAGAATCAATAAAACATCAGGAGGGATTATGGTGATGTGGGATTAGCCCCATCTAACCAAATAAAATGAGTTGTGCTTCCTCCTTAAACTGTCATGTTGTGAGAGTTGATGAGAGGAGCAATTTCACAAACCCTGTTACAAAGTTGTTGTTGTTTTTTTAACATTGAGATTTGTTTTTTTGCCATTTGCCTACCAATTAGCAGAGACATTAGTGAATGACTGCCAGGATAAGGCGATTTTGAGAAAGACTTGATTACGATTTCAAATCTCTACTCTGAATCACCCTTATGTAAAATGAGTTCAGGTTTTGTTGGATGGAAATTATTATCCGTGTTCTTGGCCAGGAACATGTAAATCAGAATTAGCATTTAATGTTTCTGTGTGACTTTGCAATAAATGGTAATTAAGGAGGGCAGAGAGAGAACAGGAGGCAAACTAATACTCTAAAATTGTATTGGCAAAATTAAATGCTTCAAACCAGTTTAAAACACATGCACACAAGCCAAATTGTGTTGGGGGAAGGGATAAATAATAAAGCTGCTATGGAAGCTTCATGAAAAGAGGGGAGCAATTGACACAGCCACAAGTAGGACTTATCATACACATCTGGTCCATTACTGAGAGTGCAATTAAGTTGAAAAAGACTGGTTTTGCTAATCCCAGGAACAACCAGAGGATTTTAGAAGATGAAGGAAACCTGAGGTGTCTGATTCAGCAATTACTTCTGACGGGAATAGGAAAAGTGTTAGGTAGCAAGCTATTAGAAATACGGTATAGATCTGCCCATTGGCTGTGCCTTAGAAATCAGACCTGCTGCCTTTTCTCTTCCAGAAAATAATAATAAGTGCTTTATAAATATTAACTCTTTTAATTATTGCAACTTTCCCATGAAGTAGGTATATTATTTTTCAAGTGAGGAAACTGAGGCACAGCAGCACAGAGAGGCTAAAACCAATACACAACTAATAAATGAATTCGTCAATAAGGCTAAGTCAAATGTAGGTTCTCTACCTTCAGTCTTGGCTCTTGGTCACTACACTACACTGATTCTCCTACAAGTCCCATGAAATTCAGTTTATAAGATAATGACTAGGCACAGAGGCTTTGGCCAAACTGCCTAAGTTCCAGAGCTGGCTTCACCCTTGGGCTTGATGCTGAACAGAGTTCTGGATTTGAGTTTAGGATCTCTTGCCCTCTCTTCCAGGACCCAGGAGGCATGTAAGATATGAATACCAAAGAGGGAAACATTTAAGCTCCAGGGGCAGGTATGATCCAAACAAGCCCAGAGCTTGGAAGCAACCTTTCCTTACCAGTGTAGCCCTTCTACCACCTCTTCAGCCCCCATCTATGGAGAAACCCAGCATGAGTCCTAGCTGGCAACCTGGTTCTGAAATACACTAGGTTTGGAGCCTGGATAAGTAACAAATTTCTCTTAACCTTAATTTTCCCATCTGTCAAAAGGGAAAAATAAAATTCATTTGTTTAGATTTCAGAGTTTATTGCCTCTATATCAGGGAAGGGCTGTACTTCTCCCAGTTAACTGAAAGGTGGAAAGAATATAACTTAGTACATGAACAAGAAGGTTAAAGCATAGAAAAACAATGCAAGTGAATGAGTGTCTCAGTAGCAAGGTTAAATTACATGATCAAAATAACCCCTTGACTTGATTGGATAAAGAATTAATGCATATGCACCTAATACATCCAGGTATGGGGCTAGATGCTCTACATGGCTACACAGCATAATCCCAGCAACCCCATGAGTTGGTTTTCCTTTTAGAACCACTTCACAGATGAGTAAACTAAGGTTTAGAGACATTACATAAATTACTCTCAAAAGTTAGGCTTCTTTGACTCTTACTTCTGTTAGGGCTGTTAAGGCTGAATTGTATCCCTCCAAAGTTCACATACTGATGTTTTAATCCCCAGTACTTCAGAATATGGCTATATTTGGAGGGCCTTTTAAAGAAGTGATAGGCTGGTTATGGTGGCTTATGCCTGTAATCCCAACACTTTGGGAGGCCGAGGTGGGAGGATCACTTGAGGTCAGGAGTTCAACACCAGCCTGGCCAACCTGGGAAAACCCTGCCTCTACTAAAAATACAAAAATTAGCTGGTGTGGTGGCACATGCCTCCAGTCTCAGCTACTCTGGAGGCTGAAGCACGAGAATCACTTGAACCTAGGAGGTAGAGTTTGTAGTGAGCTGAGATCGTGCCACTGCACTCCAGCCTGGGAGACAGAGTGAGACTCTGTCTGCCAAAAAGTGAAAATAAAGAAGTGATAACTGAGTTAAAATGAGACTGTTAGGGTGGGTTCTAATCCAATCTGAAGGCTGTCCTTATAGGAAGTGGGCATTTGGACACACAAAAAGACACCAGGGATGTAGGTGCACAGAGGAAAGACCATGCACAGAGAACACAGCAAGAAAGTGGCCATCTGCAAGCCAAGGAAATAGGCCTCAGAATAAACTAAACCTACTGACACCTTGATCTTGGACTTGTAGCCTCCAGAACTGTGAGAAAATAATTTTCTGTTGTTTAAGCCATGTGATCTGCGGTATTTTGTTATGGCAGCCTGTCTTAGACCATTTGGACTGCTATAACAAGATACTATTGACTGGGTGGTTTATAAACAACATAAATTTATTTCTCAGATTTCTGGAGGCCAGGAAGTCCAAGATCAAGACAGAAGCAGATTTAGTGTTTGGTGAGGGTCCACTTCCTTAGAGACAGGTGTTTTTTTCACTGTGACCTCCTATGGTGAAAGCAGAAAAGGGTGTCTCTTAGGCCTCCTTTATAAGAACACTAATCCCATGCATGAGGGCTCTGCCCCCACGGCCTAATCACTTCCCTAAGACCATAGCTCCTAATACCATGGAAGTGAGGATTTCAGCACATGAATGTGAGGGAGATATAAACATTTAGACCGTAACACAGCCCCAGCAAACTAATATAGTCCCTAAAGGCTAAAGGCCTCTTCCGTAATCCTCCTGTCTGGCTCCTCCTTCTGGCATATTTTGTTTCCCTTGACTGAAGTAGAGGATTACAGGATTCTGAAGGCAATTCTTCAAATCATGGGACTTAATTTCTGATCCTGGCAGTCTGAACAGAGCTAACTCTTTATCAATATTCTATACTATGTCTCAGCTGAGCTTGGTGGGATTTGTAGGAGCTAACCAGGTAAGAGACGGGAAAGAGTATTTCAGAGATAAGGAGCAGTATGTGCTGAGACAAAAGCCAAGCAAAAATAAGTTTGGAGAACTACATACTGTACATACTGTTCATTATGGCTGGAACATACATTTCAGGAGGCAAAGAAAGGTAATGGGCTTGGGAGGTGAACACCAGCAAACCTTTTGACTTAAGCCTTCATAACCCTCATAGAAGAGCATACCAGCTGAAATTACCTTCATCAGTATTACAAGGATGTTTCAATAAAATAGCCTATATTTTGTGTGTTTAGTGCTTTAGGTTTGTTTGTTTTTTTTAATATATAAGGCTTTTTGTATAAAATGACATCTGCCTAACAACCCCCAACTAAAATTTCTATGAAGAAGGAAAGAAACAAACAACACGTGAGTAGCAAAAACTGACTAACAGGGACTCTAGTGTCAGAATGTACAAAAGAAATCTTCACTAACTATAAATAAACGGAATATGGGAAAATCAATTAGTTGCTTGCCCCAAGCTGTGCCCTAACCACCCATAAGAAGTGCAGAAAACAGAAAATACTCTATCCCTTCACCACAATCTTCCCCTTGATTTGGGGACCCAAGTCTTGACCAACCAGAAAATTACACAAGTGTTGTTTTATTGTGCAGCCCGAGCACTCTGGTTCCCCACATCTCCTTTCCTTCCCTCCCCTGCCCAAGGATACACACTTAACCACACACAACTCTTCTGTGCCTATTTGGAGAGCTCAACTATCAAGAATGACAGCAGAAAGTTGAAGTAAGCAAGGTGGTAAGGGGAAAAATATGACTATGGTGCTTGCATCTGATGAAGGTAATATCTGATAATAAAGTTGTAGAGGTTAGTACGGAGAGGAAGATCATTGTCAGTTGTATATGATGAGGAGCATATAGCTTATGGCATACTATACCAATATGGGGTATGTGATATACAACAAATGTGGTGAGAAAATCCTATCTCTGCCCTACCAAGGTGCACCAGGTGTATGCCTGAGAGGCACCAGGAATGGATGGAAGTTGTCATCTGCCCTTGACTTCAGGTCTAGTGAGCAGTGAGCAAGGCCAAAGGAAATCAGTGCAGCTCATCTGCTGGGTTGTACTGAATGTGAATAGATACTCATTTGAAGCAAAACACCTAATTAAAAAAAAAAAAAAGCAAATATACACTACAAAACATGGAAAGGGAGCCACAATTCTGCAGGCTCCAAATCTCACCAGACCTTTTAAATTAATCTACTCTAAGAAAAATTTAGAAAACCATTGATTTTTTTGTAGAGTATAAGAAGCCATGTCCTCTACTGAAATGAATTGGAAAGTAATCAACATAATGAGATTTAAAGGACACAAAAATGAAACTTAAAAAGCACAAAACATGAACAGAAGAAACTAGAAAGAATTTTGGTAAATATGGAGGATTTCAAGAAAACTAAAACTTTCATAGCAGAATTAAGAGGTAACGAGGAATCAATATGTAATGTCAAATTTAAGAGGCTTTTACAAAATCTAGAGAAAAATAACCAAGAAGAAAATGAGGATAGTAGATATGAAAGAATCAGAATAGAGATTCAACCTAAGAGGCCTTGGTATTGTGAAAAAGAAAACTAGAAAAAATGGAAAAAGAAATAAAAACGGAAGTCCCAACTAAAGAAACTTTGCAGAGCTGGTACAGCTGTACAGATTGAAGGGACTCAGTGTGATGTAAGCTAAATTAAGAAAAAATGTATTCACATCATTCCAACAAAACTTTTATATTATAAAGACAAAGGCAATTATTCAGGGATCCAGGCCAAAAACCCAATAAAACTAAACCAAAGCAAATAAAGAGAAAATTAATTACAAATGACCAAAAATCAGACTGACATCAGACTTCTGCAAAAATAAATGTCAGAAGACACTACAGCTGTGTCCATGGAACTGCGAAGACCACAAAAATGTAAATGAAGTCAAGTTACATTACGTTCGAATAGATTTGGAGTCAGGGCATAAATCCCTGCTGTCCCATTGATCCATGTGCCTTTGGACAAGTCACTTACATGCCCCATAAGATGGTTGTCTCAATTAAATGAGATAATGCACAAAAAGTACTCAGAATGTTCACTCCATGCCATTTTAACTTGAAAAACTCAGTTAAAGTGGGATTCGAAATCAGGTCTGCCTGAATCTAGAATCAGGCTCACAGAACTTGTCCTCCAGTCCTGATCTGCCTGGCTTGACATTGGAGGTTTGGTACCTACTTTTGTTATTAGAATTATAGTGCCTGCTATGGCAACTAGAACCCACTCCCAAATTTAAGTTGTGAATAGCACTTTGAAGGTCTTGGGGGTAATGTAAAGAACGTGGGAGAAAAGAAATATTTTGTTAGAAGGATCTTAAAAATTGTATTGGTCATGTAAGTCCTATACCATTCAAATCAGGCAATATAGTTAAAAAAATTTCCCTCAATCTGCTTCCCCTGCTGTCAGCATATAATCAAGAATGGGCAGAAAATTTTCTGGTGTCATTTTATCCAGAGGCGTTATCTCATATCATACCTGATATCTAAGAGAACACTACCTGATAATTCCTAACATCTCTGAAAAAATAAATGTTGTGTAATGTGTAAATATTAATGGATCTAGGTTTTTGTTGTTGTTGTTGTTGTTTTGTGTTTTTTTTTTCATCAAAGCGTCAGAAGGTGCTGTAGCCATAAACCTGGACTTCTTAAAATAGTCTGGAAAGAAATTGCAGGAAGTGTAGAAGACAGGAGATGCTTCCATTGTAGTTTATTTGCAGATCTGTGCTAATATCAGATCTTTATATAATTATTAATATTCCTCAAAAGTGCTTGCTACTTCTTGTTCAACTTTCTCTTACCTGCCTAGACCTACCACATCTGATATAGTCATCAGCTTATCTGACTAGCAGTCCTGCATATCCATCACTTATCTGTCTAATCATGTGCCCAAAGTGGCATGAAACTCTGGAGGTCACATGTTCAAAGCCCAATATTGTGATACTTACCCTGACCAAATAATTTCTCTAAATGTTATGTCATATATAGGAAAGCCTTCATGAAGTATAAGCAAAATAAACTAGTTACCTATTTAACTCATTTTATTTAAAGATAATAAAGTCATATGACATTAGAACTTTTCTTTAAAAACCCAGCATATGTATTTCCCAACTTGCTCTTCATTTTCACTTGACGTCTTCTGATGGACAAGATGGAGAAAGATAAAGATACTTAGTTGAGGTTTGGTTGCTAGCAACAGAAACTGTCTTTTGCTAACACAAGTAAAAGGAAATATTTTCAAAGGATATGAATTAACACAAAATTGGAGAAAAATAAACTTCAGAAAGGAATAGAACCAAAGAGTAAGGCAGAGACAGTGGGAGAGAGAGAAGAAGTGAGGGAGGGAAGAAGGGAGGAAGGGATAAATAGATTGAGATTAACTAGAGGGGGTGGGTCACAACGTTGGCTAGGGCAAGGTATGGGACTTTGACCATACCGTAGTCCCATCCATACTGTATTCAAAAGGAAACCAGTAGCTGTCACCCCAGAGAAGAGCATATTTATATATAAATGGAAGGTGGATGCTGGGCAAGCAAATATAAGTGATTTTCAATGTCAAAGTTTTGCTAAAGTACTTTTTAAGCTTTAAATGATTACCTGGTTGTCTCTTGCAGACATATTACTCAATGTAATTTCCACTTGGGAATTCACTGACTATTGTGTTCTTGCACTCAGAACTCATATTTATCCCCTTCTATGTTTTTTCTCTGTTGTAATGCTTTCCATACTTGTGAAGGCTAGAAAGAACCTTTCTGAAACCCTCTTGACACAAAGTTCTAGAACTGCTTTAAATTCTGTTGGTGAGATGCAATTTCATGAGATTTGAAAGGCAGAAGCAGTGGTGAGAGGCCAGTGGCACGGAGACAGTTTTTATTTATTTATTTATTTATTTATTTATTTATTTATTTATATCAACAGCAGTAGCAACTGCAGAAACTGGCAAGTGTTTTTTTGTTTTGTTTTGTTTTTGTTTCATTTTCCAGTGGCCAGAAAGCAATTTGTACTGCCTGATGACAACTTCATAGCTAGGGGAAACTGAGACATCAGCCAGATTTTCTTGCTGTTCCCTGATCTCTGGACCACATCTGCTGAGGCCTGACCCTAGACTTAGAACTTTCTGTTCTAATGGCTTTGCAATAATTCCCTATATCAAAGCCCTTTTTAATAAAGATATACAAAGTAGTTTCTGTTTCCTGCATTGGACCTTAAATGATAGAAGTATCAAAAAGCTTATTCAATATCACTACCAATATAAACAGAGCTTCACTGGACATTCTTTCAGGGCAATCATATTGATCACCAATTTATGTTTCCTTTTCTTGCACAGATGGCAGAATTTTGTTGAGATGCTGACCAGAGCTTCTTCTGATTTGTTATCTGATTTGCCTACAGGTGAGTTCCATTATTTTTTTGCTCCAGAGAGACCTTCCATTTTTCACAGCTATTGTTGACTATGCTGCCTAGTTTGAGTGGTTTGCTTGTTGGGTTTCATCTCATTTCTCTCAGAAATGTAAATAGCTCCCCAGTGAAGGAAAAATGGGGGTTAGAATCACCTTAATGGCTATTCTTTTAGGCCAGTTGGATCATAAAAGGCACAATTCTCCAAGTTTTATCATGAGACATTCTCTAGTGGTAGCCCTTATAGATGAATGCAGTACATTTATGGAAGTTAGTATTATTTAGCAGAATTTCAGGTGCACAGTCGCTTAGATCAAAGAAGCTCATAGCTAGGTATTTATTCCACTGATGTCTCCACAAAAAAAAAAAAGACCTGTGAGATGTATATATATGTTTAGTGTATAGGTTTTTTTGGTAAACATTTTTAAAAACAGAAATAGCAGAAAGATCCTTCGTGGGCTATTTAATTAAATTACAATATAACCAATTGATAAAACGATGCAGTTGTAAAATAACATGGCTGGGTTGCTACAGGAAGATTTCCAAGACATATTATTAAGTGAAAATTGTAACGATGCATTGGGGAAAATATTTAGCAATTAGCAAGTTTTAAATATGACAGGTGAAAAAATATGCATTGATATTAATCTGCTGTTGTAGTTTTTCTATTTACTATATCCATCAACCATTTACTGATTGCCCTTTGGATCAAAATTAAAGTACTGAATGTGCACGCATGTGTGTGTGCGTGTGTGTGTGTCCGGGATTAAATATATCAGTCTGTATCCAAGTGGAAAAACCTAAGAAACTTTACTAGGTATTTCAAGCAGAGGGAATTTACTACAGGGGATTGGTTATGTAAGTATCCAAAGCTGAGGGATAAAAAAGAATATGGTGAGTATATTCATTTCCCAGGGCTGCCATACAAAATACCACAATCTTGGTGGCTTAAAACAATAGAAGTTTATTCTCTCAGTTCTGGAGGCTGGAAATATAAAATCAAGGTGTACGCATGGCCAGACTCTCCCTGAACACTCTAGAGAAGAGTTCTTTCTTGCCGGTTTCAGCTTCTAGCAGCCACAGGCCTCCTTTGGCTTGTTATTGTGTAACTCCAATCTCTGCCTTTGTTTTCACAAGGCCTTCTTCTTTCTGTCTTCTATATATCTCAGTATCCAAGTGTTCCTCTTCTTTATCTTATAAAGACAACAGTCATTCCAAGTAGGGCCTGCCCTAATCTAGAATGACTTCATCTTAACTTGATTACATCTGAAAAGATCTTGTTTCCAAATAAGCTCAGATTCACAGGTACCAGTGATTAGGACTTGAACATATTTTTGAGGAGGACACAATTCAATCCACTACAGGGAGGTAATCCAGACATTAGTAACTGTAGAAAGCAGCTACCACCTTAAGGCTAAGGGAACATAGAGGAAGGGGTATTACTATCAGAATCTAGTAGCTAGTGTCACCACACAGATGGTTCTAGGGTCTCCACGGAAATGCCAAGCAGCTGGAGGAAGGATTTCAGAGGGGATTCCATACAGCTGATTCTTGGACTGCGACATAATTTAAGGCTCTAAGAAGGTGGCTGCACTTGGATCTCTTACAAAGCATCATATTTTCAATGAGGAGACCATTGAAGTGATGTCACGTGGCTGTTCATCTGACCTGAGGTTTCACACGTGGCTAGGGCTGAGAATGCTGAAAAACATTATAGCAGTAGCTCTTCTGATGCTAGGTGGATACTTGATGTGTCCTCACATGGCTTTCCTCTGTGTGTGTGCATCCCTGGTGTCTCTATAGGTCTAAATTTCCTCTTCTTGTAAGGACACCAGTCAGATTGGATTACAGCCCACCCTAACAGCTTCATTTTTACTTAATCACCTCTTTAAAGGCCCTACCTCCAAATACAGTCAGATTTTGAGATTAGGGATTCAACATATAAATTTGGGGTGGGGGATACACAATTAAGACCATAGCATATGGAATAGCAGAAAAATATGTAAAAAGATAAATTGAAGTCTCACACAACTAAATAACTAACTTATATTGGGACACTTATTTTATTTCTCTCTGACTCATTTTTCTCATATCTAAAATGGGCAAAATATAAAAGAAAAATGCAAACCTGCCCTATTGATCTTATAGGGTGATTGTGAGTCTGACAAACAAAATAGGCAACACATCACTAATTTTTATAGGCAACGTGTCACTCTCCAGAACTACAGAGTTGGGGTAGTGTTGCTGTTGCATTGTTGTTGTGATAGCTCACTGCTTATTTACTTAGTCAATGTCTTGGTCTCTTCTTGTTTCTGTACTGCTGGATCTATGATGACTAAATGCTCTTAAGCACTGAGTGAGCCATTTTTTTCTGTCTATTCTTTAGCTCCACAGGTAAATGTTATCAAAGTGAAGGAGGGGCATTATACAGAAACTTAAAAAAGATACTCCTTATGGGTGTGTAGAACTGTGAATTTTCTCTTTCCTAGGACCTCTCTGCACTCAAAGATGCCATACTAACCTAATTAAAATAACTCATTTTATATATACTGCCTTTATTAGAAAATTTATATCATTAAGAATCATAAAAATCCTGGGAACTTGTTTTTCAATGTACATATAATTTTCACATAAATACTTAATATCTGTGACTTACACTAATGACAAGGAGAGTCTACTTTCCAGCAAGCCAAACCTCCTGGCAAGAATAACTAGAAGATTAGATAAAATCCAAAAGAATATTTGTTCGAAGACTCTTACTTGGAATTCAAACTGAACTACCAGACAGAAGGGGGAGAAAAGCTCTCTGTGAAAGGAGGTATCATACAAAATCTCTTAAGTTTTTCATACAATATGTCCAGCTTCAATTAAAAATTGCCATGGATGATGTAAAGCAGGACATAGATTTTGAAATAACTGTAATTAATATGTTCAAGAAAATGAATGACAAGATGGGGAATTTTCAGCAAAGAATTTGAATCTATAAAAGGAATCAAATGGAATATCTACACTTAAATTTATAAAAATTAAAATTTAAAAGCTCAGTAGATGGGTTTAACAGATTAGACATTGCTGATGAGAGGACCAGTGAACTGTGATATAGTTCAATAGAAAATATCCAGATTGAAGCATGGATGAAAAATTAGGATGTAACACATTTAAAAGTATGTAAGAGTCTGGGTGCTGTGGCTCACACCCATAGTCCTAACACTTTGAGAGGCCTAAGTGGGAGGATCACTTGAGCCCTGGAGTTTGAGACCAGCCTGGGCAACAAGGTGAAACCCTGTCTCTACAAATAATAAAGAAATTAGCCAGGCATAGAGGTGCATGCCTGTAGTCCCAGCTACTTGGGAGGCAGAGGTGGAAAGATCACTTGTGCCCATGAGATCGAGGCTGCAGTGAGCTCTGGTTATGCCACTACACTCCAGCTTGTGCAAAAGAGTGAGACCCTGTCAGAAAAAAAAAAGTATGCAAGAGACACATAGGAAATGGTGACAACATCTAACGTACATGTAACTGAAGTCAAAGAAAAATAGGAGAAAGAGAATAAAGATGAAGTTGAAGCAATTATGACTGAGAAGCTTCCGAAAGTAGTAAAAGACCTTAAGCCACAGATCTAAGAAATATGATGAACTCCCATTAAGACACATATAAAAAGAGCTTAGGCCCCTCTAAACATGGTAAGGTCTAAAGTCTAAAATAGTATTTCACAAAAATGAAGTATGATCTCAAATTTGAATCTCTTCACTGTGGAGCCTGTGAACAAGAGAGAAGAAGAAGAGGATGCAGAAAGCAAAGAGCAGAGTTCCAGTATGACTGCTGACAAGGGAAAATTCAAAGGAAATGAGGAGTAGCGTAAGAGGCTCATTGACACCCCTCAAACATTTCTTGAAGACCTATCACTCAAGAAAACAGAAAAATGGTGAAGGCTTGGCCTCCCTTTTACTAAGGAAAAAAATACTCATACTAGTTACTAATTAGAACTACTTCTGTTGAAGGGAAAGAAAAGCAAACTCAATTGGTTTAGACAATATAGAGATTTTGGTTTATTTAGCTGAAAATTCTGGCAGCAGCAAGGGCTGCAGGAATGGTTTGATCTAGCCATTCAGATATCAAAATCAAGGATCTGCCTTCTTTCTGGCTCTCTGATATGCCTTACCTCCTGTTGGCATCATCTTCAGGCTCTATATGGTAGTCCCTCAACTACTTGGACATTCTACAATAGCAAAATAGCTATGGTAGCTATGGCCATCACATCCTCACAGCTCACTCTTTGGATAGGTGTTCTCCTAAGAAGGAGAGAACTTTACTATCTAAGAAACTGTAGCAAGTATTTCTTCTCATATAGAAGCTCAGATTGAGTTTTATGGCCATCATTGAACCAAGACTGTGATTGGGATACCATGATAGGCTTAAACTAATCAGAGATCAAGTTTGGACTTGGAACTGGAGAGTCAGTCCAACCAAACCATAGTGCACTGGGATGGGGTAGGAGTAGTCACCACAAAGCAAAACATAGTTGCTGTCTTCAGAAGGGGATAATGAAGGAGAGAATCACCAGAGGAAAAAAAAAAAAAAAAAGAATGCTGAGAAGCACACACACACACACACACACGAATCAGCTTCAGTCACATGGTGTGGCCCATGGGGCCTTTTAGCCCTGTGAACACTTCACCCATTTCTCTTCCCTTTTCATTCTGCCTCACCCAGGCTCTGCTCTCAGTTATTGCTTGATGCACCAATCACTCCTGCCTCATGGCCTTAGCCTTTGCTGTAACATTTTCCTCCAATGCTCTTTATCCATATATTTTCACAGCTTGCTCTCTTGTTTCTCCTCCATTCAGGGTTTTATTTAAATGTCACTTCTTTAAAGAGGTCATTGATGAATTATCTATCTAAAATGGCAGCTATCATTACTTTCCATCCCCTAATCATTGGTTTTAGCTGTGTTTATAGCACTTATCACTACCTGACATTCTTTGATGCATCTCTTTGTTCTCTCCATCAGAATGCACACTCCATGAAGCAAAGATTCTGTCCTATAGTGCCCAGCATATAGTAAGCACTTAAATGTTTGTTACATGAATGAATTAGTTCAAGCCACAGACGTAACCCTGCCTCTGTTGTCTTAAAAAGGAAACTAAAACATTCATTGCCTCAGTTTCCTCATCTGTCAAATGGGGATGATTTCTACCTCACAGGGATAATTCTTTAGATGATGTGGAAATGTCTGTCATTTCTAGATATTTGACATATATGAGTTTCCTTCTCACAAAAGCTTCATTCAGTAGGCCCACTGAAGCCAGAAGCTTTTATTAAAGTCAGTTGTTCTCTATCCTGGTTTTACTTTAGAATCACCTAGGGAATTTTTTAAAAAGTACTGAGTTGGGTTCTCACCTCCTGAGATTCTGACTTAATTGGTCTGGTGTGATGCCTGAGCACTGGTAATTTTTAAAGCTGCCCAGGTGGGTCTAACATGCAGCCAGTGCTAAAGGCTACTGATTTCAAGTCATTAGTGAGGGCAGACAGGAGCGCTGGCTACGTAACTATCAGAACCCACTGGAAACCCTGTAAAACCTGGCCCTCCAACACCTGGAAATCTCTAGAAGCCAGCTTGGCTTATTTCCTCTGGTACAAATCTTCAACTGGCAGACTAGACAGATGGTTATTATTTATCCTTCTTGCTGTGTTAGAAAGAAAAAAAAATAGCTCTGCCTCAGGTTTTTCAAACAATTTTTACATGTGCAAGCCATTACCTTTTTATATGCTGTTAGGTATTAGGAAGGAGAAAGGGAAGCTTAAAAGAGACCAAGTAGACTAGTATGTATTTTTTCCTAATGGAAGTTTTAGAAGTGCAGACGGTAGAGAGGAATGGGGCTAGGACAAAGTTTATGTTCTAGATCTTATTTTTAAAAGGATAATGCATTAAACAGTGTCCCAAAAAATGTCTGGGACATCATAATTAATGTTAGTTTCTCTTCTCTGGGGAAGCTCGATTTGCTTAAGGGCACATAATAATAATAACACAACAACAGATAATAATACCTTGAATTGAGCATCTTCCCTGTGTTAGGTATTTTACGTAGGTTTTTTTCTTTAATCCCCACAGTATTATTGCAAATTTCTGTAATTTCACAAATGAAAGAATTAAGATCCAAAAGCTTGAAGCTGGTAAAGAGAAGAATCAGGGTTAGATGTTAGGTCTGTCTGTTCATCCTCCTCCCCTTTCCCCACGTACTGCTTCAAGAATCCCTTTAACAGGAGAGCTGTATGATTCAGAGTATTTTGAACCTCTTATAATAAACAGAAAGCTTTTCTTTCACATATTGGTTGAAATAAGCAGTAGCCAATGCTACTAGTTGAGGATGGGTTCTCGTGACAACTTAAACGTTCAACAGATCAAATAAGATCTGCCTCAAAAGGCCGCCCTAACTGGATGCCATCATACTCTTCATTTAGCCACTATTAAGGTTTGCTCTATATAGCATCTGGGGTAGATATGAGAGGATAAAGAAACACAGAGAAAAATTACTCCTCTCCCAGGATTGGAAAAGAATTTGGAAAAATGGCACTAAATGTCTAGTGACTTTATTTTTCAAACTACGTATTAGAACACATGGTCATTTATTTAACATGTATTCATTGAGTATTTAATTCTAATGAGGGGTGCTGGGGCTTCAAAGAAGGTTATGAAATCACATGTCTTCTTCATCAAGAAACTGAGGGAGAACTTTCACAATGATTTGTAAGTTTGATGCTAAAATTCCATATAACAAATGGCTTTTAAATTGATATGTGAATTTATTTGTAAAAATATCCTTACCTAGATAACACTATTAGTTAACATTCACTGAACAGTCGCTGTGTTTCAGGTATTTGCTTTACACTTTCTTTTTTTTTGTGATTTTTTTAAATTATACTTTTAAGTTTTAGGGTACATGTGCACATTGTGCAGGTTAGTTACATATGTATACATGAGCCATGCTGGTGCGCTGCACCCACTAACTCGTTATCTATCATTAGGTATATCTCCTGATGCTATCCCTCCCCCCTCCCCCCACCCCACAAAAGTCCCCAGAGTGTGATATTCCCCTTCCTGTGTCCATGTGATCTCATTGTTCAATTCCCACCTATGAGTGAGAATATGCGGTGTTTGGTTTTTTGTTCTTGTGATAGTTTACTGAGAATGATGATTTCCAATTTCATCCATGTCCCTACAAAGGACATGAACTCATCATTTTTTATGGCTGCATAGTATTCCATGGTGTATATGTGCCACATTTTCTTAATCCAGTCTATCATTGTTGGACATTTGGGTTGGTTCCAAGTCTTTGCTATTGTGAATAATGCCACAATAAACATACGTGTGCATGTGTCTTTATAGCAGCATGATTCATAGTCCTTCGGGTATATACCCAGTAATGGGATGGCTGGGTCAAATGGTATTTCCAGTTCTAGATCCCTGAGGAATCGCCACACTGACTTCCACAATGGTTGAACTAGTTTACAGTCCCACCAACAGTGTAAAAGTGTTCCTATTTCTCCACATCCTCTCCAGCACCTGTTGTTTCCTGACTTTTTAATGATTGCCATTCTAACTGGTGTGAGATGGTATCTCATTGTGGTTTTGATTTGCATTTCTCTGATGGCTAGGCATTACCATTCAGGACATAGGCACGGGCAAGGACTTCATGTCTAAAACACCAAAAGCAATGGCAACAAAAGACAAAATTGACAAATGGGATCTAATTAAACTAAAGAGCTTCTGCACAGCAAAAGAAACTACCATCAGAGTGAACAGGCAACCTACAAAATGGGAGAAAATTTTCGCAACCTACTCCTCTGACAAAGGGTTAATATCCAGAATCTACAATGAACTCAAACAAATTTACAAGAAAAAAACAAACAACCCCATCAAAAAGTGGGTGAAGGACATGAACAGACACTTCTCAAAAGAAGACATTTATGCAGCCAAAAAACACATGAAAAAATTGCTTTACACTTTCTAGTCCATTTAATCCTTACAATAGCCTATAGGTGTCATTATCCCCTTTATACAGAAGAGGAAACTGAGGCACAGAGAGGACAAGTAACTTGCTCAAGGTCATGCAGCTAGCAAGGAACAAAGCCAGGAATCAATGCCAAGGCATCTAGCTCCAGAGATTATACTCTCAACCACTATGGTACACTGCCTCCTTTGTTTAAAATGTATTGATTAAATCATTTTTATTAAAAATAGTGAGACTCAATTTAGAAATAATATACATTTGTTAATGGCATATCTGAATTATGCACTGATTAATAAAGCTGAGGCTCCCAGAAACCTGTGCTGTACAGTCATCCGCAGACTTGCAAAATAAATAAGTCACCAAGTCAGATGGAAGGTACTGAGTGATCAATGAAGGATACCTACAATAAGGCTCAGAGGATTTCCACAGGTCTTAATATTTGTTTGTGTTTTTCCTGCATCCTGTGGAAATCTCTTCTGTTCATGAAGGCAGCAGCCTGCTGCAAGTAGTACCTGGAAAACAGAATCCACTGGATTAGGGATGAGGCTGTTCAACCTCTTCCCGTCCAGTACCACCGACCATTGAAAGAAGCAAGGAAGGAAGATGAGAAAGGTTGTGCCTGGTCCTTTGGGTGCATGTGTGTGTAAAAGGAGGGGCAGAGGTTCTTAAGAGGCAGGACCACAGGAAGACGTCCCTTCAACTCCCTAAGTTACAAAAGCCTTTCTTAGGGCCTTGCTACAGGTTGTTGTCTCTGCTTTTCTGGAACTCTCTGCTCTGTGTGCATCACCATCATCATCTTTGCCTGGATAACTCCTCTTCAGTAGTGATAAGTGCTACAAACACAACTAAAACCAATCCTTCAGGTTGCGAATTTGTGTCACTTCCTCCGAAACCCCCACCACTGTTACCCCGGCCTCCAAAGAAGTTTAAATACTTTCCTATTTTCTCATATTTTTCTTTAGTTTTATTTATAGTAAGTTGTAACTAAATAAAAATTTAGAGTCATTGTTTAACATCTACTTCCAAATCTGAGGTCCACCAGGGTGGGAATCAGGTTTTTCTCACTCATCAGAGTGTTCCCATTACCTAACACAGTGCCAACCACAGAGCAAAGCCTCCATTTTTTTGTTGTTGCTGTTGTTGTTGCCTTGTGTATATGTGTGTGTTAAATGAAGAGACCAAGCTAAACCCTTCCTTTTTTTTTTTTTATTCTTGTTCAGGGAAGAATGAAAAGAAAGCCCCTGCCCCTCCAATGGAGCCTGAAGTCCCCGAGATGTCTCAAAGCAAAACTGAACATATGGTATGCACCTGGGGTATATAGAGTTTGGGGGAAGGTTTTCATGGATACTTGGCCTTTTCTCTGATGCTGGATGGGGCTCTCTCCTGTGGGTTTTGATTTTCTCCCAAACCCTTGATGTCAGACTGTCTTTGACTTCAAGACTCTCCTTGGGCAAAGAAGGAGGCAAAAGAACTACTTAAGTGTGGGTTAGTTTCTGTCCTTGCTGGTTTGCAGAAACCTATTGCCATCACGTGGTGATGGGCTTGCCACCTGCCCCAAGAAATTGGACTTGTAGCATACGTCTGGGTGTCCTTCCAAAGCTTGTGACCGATTCACAAACTGCCATCAAAATAAAGAGTGATTATGAGATCTATTTTAACATCTTAATTCCAACTTCCAGAAACTGAGGGTGACCTTTTCCCCAGACACCACATTTTAAAATGTAATAGCCTCTCTGATTAAAAAGAAGAAAGAAAGAAAAAAATCTGGCAAGCAGTTAAAACCCATTTTAATATTCCCAGCATTTAGCCAGGAGAAGTTGTAGACAGAATTTAAAAACAGCCTGAGTTTTTCTGTTGTTGTTTTTTAAATGCCCGGATTAGAACATAATTCATCTTAAAATGACGGGAGGCCTCCTCATGCACTTCACACGTTGAAATATTTTAGAAAATAGTACCCATTTTGGCAAGCCTCTTGCCATGCAAGAAACAACAGCAAATGCTTTTCTCCTTGAGTGTTAAGTCTGTTGTGAATAAGATTATAAAAAATATACTTTGCTCTTTTATTTTGCTTCTTGTTTAAAGAATTTATTGCATCTCTGCGATAATTGATTCTTCTCACATTCCTGTACAAACGGAATTGATTGTCCCACTTTTTAGAAAGGCAAATTGAAGCAGGGGTCTGGTAAAGCAAGTTTCCTATTGTCCCTGAGAAAATCATTCATTCATTCACTTATTCATTCATTAAACATGTCTTGACAACCTACTGTGTGCCAGCCACTAGCCAGACCTCAAGGATACATTAAAAACTATCTCACAGGCTCAACCTCTGGATCTCTGGTAGAGGTAATATTTGAAACAGACATAGACAACATCCAGTAGGAGTGCTGTGATGGGGAGCTACAAAGAATCACCTCTTGCCCAGCCTGGCGCTGTTGGGGAAGGCGTCCCACAGGAAATAAACAATTAGCCAAGTCTTGAAGAATGAGTAAGAACCCAAACAATCAAGGCATATATGGCAAGAAGGGTTTTTAAAACAGAAGTAACAACATTATAAAGGCAAAAAGGTATAAAACAGCTTCCATTTTTCAGGTTTTTGTGGCCAAAGAAGAAGATATGTATATAGGACTAAAAGAAGATTAGCTGGGTAGATAAGCAATAACTAGAATATAAATGGTTTTGTGTGCCACCCAAGGAATGTGAACTTCATCCAGATACAGTGGGACCAAAACAGTGAAGGATGTATTAGTTACATTGTTAGTTACTTGCTTAAGTCTGATTCAGGTCCCTACAAATCTCCCCTTTTCCTTGTCTTCAGTGGTCAAAGAGAGAGTGTTGAACTATCTAAAGAAATATAAAACTACTTAAAAGTAATTTCTCAGATCCAAGGGCACCTGTGATCTCTCTAAAATTATCCATCAAAATGTATGCAAATGTGCATTAATCTGGTCAGATTTTCTAAAGCTTTCATCTGATTTCTAAAGTAGTCCAATGCTCTAAAAAAAGTATAAGAATCACTATTCTAATTTACTATATGAAAACTTTCTGCTTTTCACAAAATTGATTTTATCAAAGTAGAATTCTTTTTATAGGAATCCGTTAAGACGTACTGGTTGTTTGTCATCCATGTGGGTACAATTTCATATAGCATTCCATGATCTCAAACAAAAGAATTCTTTACATTCCCCAGCAGCAACTTAATCCATGTTTGTTAACCAACTCAGAATTTGGCTTCTTATTGCACTTACAATTCTTTAGGGCTCTGGGATTCTCACAGCTTATATACGAGAAGTTTGAGACAAAGGTACAAAATTGGAAAAATTCAGACATTTGAAAGTTGGGGGAACACAGATGGTATACAAAAGTTAGAGGCATAATTTTATGGTGAATTAATTAGGAATATTTAGATTTCAATGAACAAAACCAACTCTACTAGCTTAATTTATTGGAAGAATAGAGAAGCATATTATACTCTCAAAGGACAGAAATGCAACAATGAACTAAAACCAGAGACTCTAACACCATCAAGACTTCCTATATCTTTTTTCTTCTCTCGTTGTCAGCTTCATATTCTCTCTCTTTCTCAGTAGACCAGCTTTTTCTCATTTGCAGTACACAAAATGGAAAACCTGCTAGAGTTCCAATATCTCACACATAATCACCTCCATTTTTCTCTCACAAATAGTACCAAAATTCCTGGACAATGGGTTTTTGGTTCATTTTGTATTAGATGCCCAGTCCTAAACTATGCAGATAGAACATGGCAGTTCTTTCCACAGCTGTGTGGGTCAGCAGGAAGGGCAATTTCTGCAAAAGGTGGGCTGGGCAGATCAAATAATAGATGCCCACTCACTGCACATGGTAAAGATCAGAATGCCTTATATGGCACTGCTGGGACTGATGTGTCTATTTAATTCTAAAACACCTCTATTTTATACTGGCAATGAATTTAGGATACTAAGATGAGCTAGCCTTTATGCCCTGCTTCTAGTCTTAGGTCTACTCTAAGATGTGTGTGATCTTAGTAAACCACTTGTACTTTCTGGGCCCCAGCCTCCTTTGCTAAATGAACAGGACTGGCAGACTAAGAGTGCTTTAACATCCTTTGAAATGGACCCACAAGCCTAAGATAACATCATTATTGTTTCGATCATCTTTTGTCAAAAACCTCACACTCATGACCCAGAAGTATTTCTTTCAAGAAGTATGAGCATTGTCTGAAGTCTACCCCCTGCAGACCCCACTAGTACAAAACAGAGTAGAACATCATGAAAAGCCTCAGTCAGTTACAAAGTTCTTTGCTTCATGCAAGTCAAAAATGAAAACTGAATAAAAATCATGATGTCACCCTTCTCTTTAGACACACACACTTCACATGTTTGTATCCAGCAAGATTTGGCAGATATGATCTTATGGCACTGAAGATTTGAAGCTCATCCTCTTAGCTTTCCAAACTCAAACCTTGCTATAAATCTTGCTAGTTGTGTGGCCTCATCTTTGGCCAAGAGATTGGAGAAGCTCTGGGTGGTGAATGTGTTGCCAATGCTTTTGTTGTTTTGGTAGAAAACTCCAGAAGAGGAGCTGCAGCCAGAAAGCTCTCCTGCTGAAACTTCAGCCTGCAAAGATCCTCTGAAACCTTTAAAGATCAGGCCAGTCTCCCAGCCCTTCGTGAATCCAGCTGTGAAGAACAAGGCTGAGGAATGTGAGACGTGGATAGACAGGTTCAGGAAGCTGGAAAATGCCCTCTACCTGTGTGATCTGAGTAACACAGGTGAAGTATGAATTGTAAAGCTGGCATAGGTTTCTATTTGTGGTCTAGTCTAAAAGTAGGCACCTCATTTTCTTTTGCCTCTTGAACAAATGATACAATTAATATATAAATCATGTGCCCTGCAATGTGCTGAGCACAATCCAGAAATATGAAGACGAATCAGACAGGAATCCCATACCAGATTGCTTATAATTTCTCTGTATTCCCAATACTTCCTGCACCCTACTGCCAAAAAGTAAACCCACAATCCAATTTTATAATTCCTCTGATTAAAATACCTCAGAGATACCCCACTGATAAGAGGATGAACTCCAAACTCCTTAGCAAGGCAAAATCTGGTCCCTATCCACCTGGCCAATCTCTTCTCCTACTATTGATATTCTCTCAGCACGTCCTGCCCAGTAATAATGAATAACTTGCCTTGCCTCAAGCAGGCCTTGTCTCGCACACGCCTGTGCCATTTCTAACTCCCAGCCTTTCATCTGGGCTCTTTGTTTCCTCTCTACTTACCCCAACCCCCACGAACTCCCCATCTTGTCCCCTGGCTAATCAATACCTAAACATCTTTTATGTTTGAATTCAAACACAATTCCCCTGAGACTCCCAGACAGATCTAGGCCAACTTTCCTATGGCTTCTTAGGATTCTTTAACATCCATCATCATATGCAACATATTGTATATTTTTATTTGGGGGCTTATTACTATCTCACCAGTAGACTATCTTCCTTGTTTATCCCTGGCACCTTGCACAGTTTTGTTTTGAGGAAAGAAATACATGAGCCAGTGTGCGTAAATAACCAAATCCAAGATAGATGGTGATAAATGTTGTTAGAGTATGCTCTGTGGGCATTCAGAGAAAAGTGAATTTCTTCCTGGTGGGGTCATCATGGAAGGCTTTGTTAATGTTAAATTGATCATTAAACTTAAAATGCAGTTTGGTCACAAAGGAATGAAGTAGCCTTTTCTGGCAAAGGTGCAAATGCTGTGTGTGAAGCTCAGTGCAGGGTGCTCAATATAGGGGCTATTAAAAAGAATATTAAATGATAAAGATGGAAATAAAGAATGGGGCCAGATATTGAAAGATTTTAAATGCCAGAC
The DNA here is from genome assembly GCF_000001405.40 of Homo sapiens. NCBI lineage: Eukaryota > Metazoa > Chordata > Mammalia > Primates > Hominidae > Homo > Homo sapiens. The sequence goes on along the minus strand of NC_000001.11, from coordinate 59,996,509 downwards.
CAAGGAATTTGGAGTCAATTCAAAGATAATGAGAGCACGGAGAGTTTCTAAGTAGAGGAGTGGTGTAATGAAGTTGTACTTCAGAAGGATCCTTGATGACTATGTGCAGAATGAAGGAGAAAGTGAAATAAGGGAAAGTGGAAAGGAGAGAGAGAATGAAGTCTAGAACCACATCAGAGTGCTGGGAAAAGAGGGAGCAGATAGAAAAGCACATGGTCCCAAAATGTCTTATTTATTTACATACTGTGGTTCATGAAGAGTTGGTGTACACATTAGTACCATCTAGAAGTAATCATATGACAATAGCAATGTCTGTCTTTTCATTCTCTTTGTGTGTTTTTGTTTTGCTTTGAATTTCCAAAGCAACTTAATTCTAGACCACGAGGAAGTATAATTGCCATACAAAATCCAGGGACTCTTAATAATTATACCAAAGAGAAAAAAAAACCTGAAAATTTTAATTGAAAGATTCATCTGGTTGAATTATAAAGTTATTTATTAAAAATACGTTATGAGCCTAGAACTGTGTTAGAGGCTGAACCAAGAGGAAAACCAGAAAGGATGAGACATAGTCTCTGGCCTCAAGGAGCTTACCTTTAGGTAAGACACAGAGACTAACAATAGTTCAGTGCCAGTAAACAAACAAAATTAAAACACAGCATTAAGTATTACAAATGAAGTTACATGGCTGGGCATGGTGGCTCATGCCTGTAATCCCAGCACTTTGGGAGGCTGAGGTGGGAAGATCACTTGAGCCCAAGAGTTTGAGACAAATGAAGGCACAAATAAGAGTTCAAGAGTCAAAAGGAAAGTGAAGGTATGAAATGAGGCTGACCATCTAATGCGAGGTCCGGGACCAAGAGAGGACTCCAAGAAAGAGAGAACTTGAGCTGAGACTTCAGGTAGAATTTGGACAGTTGGACAGGTCATCCCGAGTTTGAAGTCATCTCCTGCAAAAGTTAGAAGGTGAGAATGAGTATGATGGAGAAGCGAGTACCAAGACAGGACTGCTGGAGGTGGATGTTGGACATACAGTAAAGTTGAGAACCTATTATGAACCCTAAGGGATAGGATGAGGCTTCATTCTTTACCCAGTATCCAAATGTACATGCGGAGGAAGGCATAATGAAAGCTGAGATGGATGACTTAGGGAAGGTACTGGAGAGAAGGAGATGAAAAGATTATTGAAATAACCCTGAGTCTGGGTATTCACAACAGGGCTATGAGAGTGGTGATGAGGTTACAAGCAATAACAAAACATTTTTTAAAAAAATGACATTGCTAAAGAAACAAATGCTTACTTGTGATGGATAATGGATCATAAACTTAGTTGCTAAGACACTCTCCAAAGACTGGGAGATTTCTCATGCTTCTGAACCGTTCTGAGGAGAAACGGAGTTTGTTGACTTTGGAGGCAGATTCCGACAGATTTGAAATGCCTTTCTCATGGCCTCTTCACTATTTATGCCTGTTTTCTCTGTTTCCATGAAATTCATTAGTTCCTCAACAGCCAAGGAATGTGTCAGCCAGATCTGGGAAAATCTACAACTGTCTTTAATGAGGAAAGAGGATTAACTGAGGTCACTTTGGTGGTTTATTAACCCACAGTACTTAGCAGACCACCATAGCCCCATTCTAGATGCTGAGCAGATGATATCTGCTTTGCCCATGGATGAATCACTATTCTTTATTATGTGCAAAGAAATATGTAGGCCAGCATGTTCTCCATCCAGGATGAGGACAGGCCATCCATCATCACATCAGTGCTTCTGGGAACCTACTGTGCTTATTCTCTAATGGGGGTTGTCAACAAAATAGCCTTGAGGAGAAGGGATAAGGAATGATTATGAATAACTAGTCATGTTTTCTAAAGAAAAAAAAACAGTGGTTAAGATAAATGTCTGGGTGAATGTTGCATTTGGAATTTTCCCAGTGAAGTGAAAGCTAAATAGAAAGTGTTTTAGAGTTCAAGGAGGGAGAATGCAATGAGAGCCTGAAAGAAATTCCTCTGCATGAGCCCGGACTTTACATATACTACATCACTAAATTCTCACATCAACAACATGCTGAAGGGATTAGTATCCTTATTTACAGAGAAGAAAGCCAAGCTCAAAGTGATAAAATAATAGCCAGTAGGATGGTGAGCCATAATTCAAGCCCAGCTCTCCATGAATCCCCACTACACCCAGTCCCATGACATACTAGAAAGAGCACACGATTTTGCTTGATTTTTTTTTTTAATCAGAAGATTTAGATTCAAATCCAGACTCCACCCATTGTTGATCCGTAAAAGCCAGTCACTTACATTCTCTTCACCTGTTTCCTCATCTACAAAGTAAAACTGATAATAATAAAACATACTTCCCAGATTTGAGAACGGATCAAATGAGATAAAAGATTGAAAGTTCTTTATATACTGTACAATGAAGTTGATGTTGAAAATGTTCTTATGGTGGGGTGCAGTGGCTCACGCCTGTAATCCCAGCACTTTGGGAGGCCAAGGCAGGTGGATCACCTGAGGTCAGGAGTTCGAGACCAGCCTGGCCAACATGGTGAAACCCCGTTTCTACTAAAAATACAAAAATGAGCCGGCTGTGGTGGCAGGCACCTGTAGTCCCAGCTACTTGGGAGGCTGAGGCAGGAAAATCACTTGAACCCAGGAAGTGGAGGTTGCAGTGAACCGGGATCATGCCACTGCACTCCAGCCTGGGCAACAAGAGCAAAACTCCATCTCAAAAAAAAAAAAAAAAAAAGGATTCTTATTATTTTTTTATTTTGGTTCTGGTTAGAAAAGACAGGCTTTCCAACACTAAGATGGATTGTAAGGGCTATTTTATGCAGCTGTTCTGGGCATCCCCTAATGACAGAGTAAATTAGACAGATACAAATTTCATTCAGTGGACTTTTTGTTTGACTCTAGGCATCTTCTATCAATGGTAAAGCTTAGAAGATAGAAAATACTACTGTGATTCCTAGATGTATTTTTTAACATAACTTTTAATTTTTAATTAAAATATAAACTAAATGCTATCTATTTTAATAAGCAATTACATATATACTGTTTATATATTTTTAAAATAATGTTGATGACATAATTATTATAATTATCCTATAGTAAAATTTCACATTATTGAGTGATTACTAGTACTGGATACTGTGTGAACTTAATATTTTATTGATTTTCACACAATTTAATTACCTCTGTTTTCTTTTCCTTCTTTCCCTCTTTCTTTCCTCTTTTGACATTTATTTATGTATTTATGTATTTATGTATTTATTTATTTATTTAAGACAGGGGCCTCACTCCGTTGCCTGGGCTAGAATGCAATGGCATGATCACAACTCACTGCAGCCTCGACCTCCCAGGCTCAAATGATCCTCCCACCTTAGCTGGTGCATGCCACCACACCTCACTCATTTTTTTTCTTACAGTCATAAACTTATTCCAAATCCATGTCTTATATTTCCAGAGGCAGGGTGTGGAGAAATGGCCAGAGGAAGCAAAGCTAGACAGGACTGAGAGCAGCCATCCTATCCAGAAAACTTCGAAGATGCAATTGGCCAACTCAAAGAATGAGGTTTACATAAATGAAAGGACCACTGTTCTAATAAGAGAGACAGACAATAAATAGGCAATGAACAAACCAGAACAGAATAGAAAATGAACACACTGGAATAGAACAGAATAAATTAGGACCCCACCTATTGTGGCCTACTGTTAAAAATAGCGATTAGAGAGTAGTTGAGAAGGTGGCACCATGCACAATAGTACTTGCACATTTAAAAATGAGTAATATTTGGTATCTTAAACTGAGATGATAAGTATCTACCATTGCCCAACTCTAATGGACTAGTAGTGGCTTTCCGCAAAATGACAAGGCACTGCCTCTGGATTCTTTAGGAAGGAATTTCACCATCACTCTTACAGTTCGCACATATGAAGGAGAGTAAAAGAGGCCAGGCACAGTGGCACATGCCTATAATCCCAGCACTTTGAAAGGCATTAGGGGGAGGGTTGCTTGAGCTCAGGAGTTCCAGACCAGTCTGGGCACATAGTGAAACTTCATCACTACAAAAAATAAAAATATTAGCTGAGAGTGGTGGCACATACCTGCAATCCCAGCTACTCATGTGGCTTAGGTGGGAGGATCCCTTGAGCCCAGGAGATCAAGGCTACAGTGAGCCATGATCGTGCCTCTGTACTCCAGCCTAGGCAACAGAGTAAGACCCTGTCTCAAAATAAAAAATAAATAAATAAATAAATAAATAAATAAATAAATAAATAGACCCCTACTTGAAGCAATCTCTTTTCCCTCATTCCATAACGTACTGTAGTGGTTAACCTTAGGCAATCAAGAGACTTGCAGTCTCTAGGCTTTAGTTTTGCCCTCTGTGAAATGGGTTATTGTAAGGATTCAATTAGTTAATATTGGTGAAATGCTTGGAGCAGTTCCTGGAACATAGTAAATTTTATATTTAAATATTGTTTAATTATTATTGTTGTATCCCAGTTAATTTTCTGAATAACTTCTCTCCCCCACGGGACAGAGAACTTCCAGAGGTAGCAGAAAAATTCTCTAAATCTTCTGTATTCCCAAGCACAGTATCTGACACATAGATATTTGCAATTAGGGGCTTATGAGTGAGTTATTGATCTTCAGTGATGCCGTGGTCTACACTGCGACTCCTCCCAACAGCCATCAAAATCTATCCAATCTTAACATGGAAAGCATACTGACATTGGTATTGGCATATATAATGTGTGGGTACCAGAGCATATCCTGCAGTCATACACATTACCACCTCTATTACGCAGATTCAAACTCTGAGCTATGAGAAGTTAGATGCTTCACCTGTGATTGCACAGCAAGCTGGAGGGAGTCACAGGACAGTCAGTCCTCTGCATCTTTGTATTCCGCAACTACAGATTCAACCAACTGCATATCAAAAATATTTTAAAAAATAGAAATAAAATATAATGACACGACAACAAAAAAAAGTACAAATTTTAAAACACAGTATAACAACTATTTGCATTGCAATTGCATTGTATTAGGTGTTACAAGTAATCTAGAGATGGTTTAAAGTACATGGGAGAATGTGTATAGGTTACATGCAAATACTACTCCATTTTATATCGGGGCTTGAGCATCCATGGGTGTAGGTATCACTGTTGGGGAGGGGAATATTATGGACCTAATCCCTGCAGATACCAAAGAACATCTATAAATACATTTAGAGAAATGCATTTTGAAAATAAGCTGTTTAATCCCTGCATGTTTAGGAATGTGTTTGGAGACTTTAACAAGATAAAAAGAACTCAGGACAATTAGAAGTTACTTTTGCTAGGCACCCCCAGTGTTTCAAAAATTGGCCTTACAAGTTTTAAAGTTACAAAGAAAAGCCTAAATTGCTTTAGAATTTATCTATGGATCTTATTGGATCCCATCTTGTTCTCTTTCCCCTGAAATCACCCTCAGATTCTTCCTGAAATCTGTGATGCATACCCACAGCTATAAATATTTTTTAATATGCCACTTGATTTTTAAGAAGCTTAAAATTGCAAAGTATTAGCATTTAGTCTTTACCTGGAAGTCATTCAAGCTAATATATAGTTTTCTCTGTTTTCCCTCCATCCTCTTTAAAAAACCTTCCTCCTACCCAATCCAATCACAGGAGTTCTGGAGAAGGAACGAGCCAGACGCCTCATTCACAACTACAATCTCATTTACAACCTGTCCCTGAGCCCTCAGAAAATCGACCAGGCCTTGCGCAGATTCCGTTCGGGAGAAAATATGCTCTTGGAGCCAGCACTGCGGTACTTAAAGGAGCTATGATAACAAGCCCATATTGTGAGAACAGATGTTTCCCTTATCTCCCTTTTTACCCAGACACATGTTTCTCCCCAGCCTAAGTGTAGTGGCGGAGGCATTGTCAGAGTGGAGGCCGATGCAGCTATTGTAGATGCTTTTGATTTGGACTTAGTTTCTGGCTATGATGCTCACTCATAAGCAGTTCAAAGTGATCAGAGGAAACCTAGTTTTATCTTTTGATGTGGCAAGAACCCAGCTACTTAGAATCTCCTTCTGTTTTAATAAAACTTATTATTAATATTACATGTTTGATTTTTTCCTACATTGCTAATCAAACTATGTTGTTTCAAACCCCACAATTCCACATAGTAAAAAAAACATTAAATGTTGCCACTTCCCCACAGTGCCTGGAACCTAGTAGACCTATGAACATCATTTTTGGATAGGTAAATCATCCCTTCTCCTGGTCATTATTCTAGGAAGGATTTCCATACCATAAGAAAAATAAAAGTATTACCAATACACTATCTTAATCTTAAGCAGTAGAAGAAACATTTCAAGTGAGGTTTTCTGAACAAGTCCAATATTTTCTGCAGTACAAAACTAAACAACATTACACTGTCTCCAGGGGTATTTTCCAAAAGTCCAAGATAGAAGTTTTGAGGAAGGACTCCTTGGGACAAAGCGTTTTGGGAATAGGTAACATCCTTTGCTCTGCCTGGACAGGAAAACCAGGTGGAACTTTCCATCAGCTCCCATAGTTCTTCTGTTCTTAACATCCCCCCTGACTTTGCACCACTCACATAGCACACAGTTACACACGTATCACACCATACAGGTAGCATGAGCTCATTGAAGAAACACTGGCCTGGAGCTTCAGAGACAATGTGCTCCCAGCACCATCACTAATACTGGGTGATCAGGGTACTGAGTTTCCAATCTGTGTGCCAGACAAAATGAACAAGTTAGGTCAAGGGGAAAATCAAACAGAAAGGCCTCTGAGCATCCCTTTCTATCCATTTTATAAAATGAGGTGCTTCATGTACTCTTATAGACAAGGCCTTAAGAACAAAACTATTTGGATCCACTGAAATAAATGGTCTCTAAGGGTCTTCTAGTCTGACCTGCTTTGGTTTTTATAATCCTTGAGTTGTCCAGAAAAATGACTCTTGAAACCGACTGACCACCCTTTCTAGAACCCTTGGACTTTCTGGCTGCCTTTTAGGTCAAAAGAGCAAGCAAATAGACACGGCTTTCTCATTCTAACAAAATGCCAAGTAAGGACAATTAGAATAGTAGGTCAAAAATTTAATATGCCTTGAGCAACTATTGTGTTTGAGGAACCTGACATACTTTGTTTGGTCTATCTCTGACAATTCAATAAGACAGGTTTCACAGCTCTGTTTCACAGATGAGGAAACAGACTCAGAGGACAAGAAAGCTGTTTGGTTGTGCCAGTTAATATCTGCTAGAAGGTTCGTGCTTCCTGTGAAGGACTGGTCAACTGATACTGAGAAGGTCTCACTTTACCCTTCATCTCTGGGAGTAAGTGGGTTGGAGAGGCAGTTTGGGTAAAAGAAGATCCTAAACCTGAAGTCGGGGTTATTAGACAAAATCATAAGGCCCTGAAGAGCAATGATTTTACCTTGCCCAATTCTTAATATCCAATATCTAGCATAGTTTCTGATAAGTAGCCTCAGCATCCCCAAGCTACACAAATGCAGGGGGCTGCATTTACATAGAATGCAGCATGAAAGGTGCCACCAGAGCTGTGTGACCACAGGTTAAGCATAACCTGTACTATAGTCTTGGCTGAATGAATACTTCTATAAGTAGGGTAACCTTTACCAGATCTAGATCCACAGTCACCCTACTACCCTACCCCCCATATTTCCACACAGAGTAGAAAAAGAATAAATAGCTTCAAAAATAGCCAAAATCTGGCTCTTGCACTTAGCGGGTGGTAGACTTGACAAGTTGCTTAATCCCCCTGGAGTTCAGTTCCTTCATCTATAAAACAGAAGCAATTACATCTGTTTGAAGGATTGTTATAAACATTGAAAGCAATGCCATTTGAACAGTTCTTTGCATGTAATAACGATATACCCTTTTATGTCCCTTCCCTTAGCTGCTGAACATTCAAGAAGCTTCCAAAGTACTTTGAACAACGGTCTATGTGAAATGGCATAGGGAGGTCAGGCCACTACTACAGTAAGAACAAATTTTGAGATGTATCTGCCTTCTAGAGTCAAGTATCAATTGCTTTTGCATCGTCTCCTGGAATTCTCCACTGCTTTTCCCCAAGGGGTGTGTGTGTGTGTGTGTGTGTGTGTGTGTGTGTGTGTGTGTGTGTCTGTCTGTCTGTCTTAAAGAAAAAATTATTCTGACTCTTGTTAAAATCGTAAGGCAGGTTTTACTCAAAACTATCACAATAGTCATAGGAACCACTGCAATGGAGTTTTGCAGTAGGGGAGAGATATTGGGCTCAACTCTAAATTCAACAAGAAAAAGTGGGAATTGATAGACAAGGAGCATTGGGGAGGGGTGTTGGTGGATGGAAATTACTAAGAAGTGCCAGGAAGTCATTATGGTTCAGAATATCATTATGATCTCTATGCTGGAACTTCATGGTTTACTTATAGAAAGTCTGTTACTTTTCTCCCTTTTTTCTCAGAGCTGTGTCATTGTGAACTTCTAATAACCACTGTGTTGGGAAAGTCTGGTGTCAGTCTTGACCAGTGTCCTCCAAAAAAACCTTCCCAAATGGATGTCTGTGGATAGTGGACTGGTTATCCTTCAGTGTGCTCTGGAGATGCTTGGTGTCAATTGAGTATGTCCCAACTCCCCCAAAAACCTCAGGCTTTAAGGATGGAAAGGGCACAGAATGACAGAGGCAGGTTCTCATCAGCTGGGCAGACTCTTTCCCAGCTGTGTGGCCCTGAACAAGTCCCTACTTACCTGAGAGCATCATTCATATTAAATGAGATAATGCATGCAAATTGCCCAGTGCTATGCCTGGCACATAGACATGCTCCATAAGGGAAACTAGCTTATTTTAGTCTTATACAGGATTTCATTTTACCCCATCCAATGGGCCAAATGGTTGAATGCCTTTTCCAGGTACAGACATTTTCCAAGCCCACAGATGGTTCACCGACTGTGTGGTCCTGGAGGGCACAGAATATGTGTTCCACATTCCTGTCTCTCATTCTCTGTCCTGTACTTACTCCACAAAGTAAACCAATGAGGTTGGCATTACCATGCCCATTGTACAGGTGAGAAACAGAGGCTCAGGGTAGTGTATGTACTTGCCTAAGGACTTATAGCTGTGAGTGACTGAGCCAGGATTAGAACCCAGTCTTGCATAACTCCAAGTTCCTCAATGCTGTTGGCCACAGTTAGAGCAAATAAACCATACAATTCTCTTTAGCATGTGTGGTGTGTCCCTCCCAGCAAGTCTGGAGGTGACTGCAAGCCAGGAACAAGATCTTCCTGTCTTTGTGACCAGCGCAGAGCTCAGACGCACTGCCGAGTGGGCACCTGGCAATCATCTGCTAAGTGGAGCCCCCACGGGTACATTTTGAAAACCCAACAGCTTTTTGCCCTCTTCCCATCCTCCAGCTTCATCACTGCCTTCTGGGAACTGGAACAAAGATGGTTTTCAGGACTCTGGCATGGTATGTTCACACTACCAGAAGCACAACTGTAGAGATGGCGCAGTCCAAAAAGTTTGCTAAGTGCTTGCTGACTCTTCTGAGGAATTTCCCAAGATCATTAAGAGAAACAATAACAGGGGGTTTGATATTCTAATTGGGATCAGAGATTGGACAGCTTTGGAGCTGGCCAGAGAACTGTGAAGCTCTGAAAACAAATGCTCTCCTTTCTTCTCTCCCTCTCTTCACTCCTCTCTCTTCTAAGAGCCTTTCAGCTACAGTTCCAATGTTCCTTAGCAACAAAGGCGGGGTTCCCAGAGTCGGGCGTGCCTTAGGAATGCCAGCCATTTCCCTCATTAGCATTCGGGGGCCCTCATCTGCCTGCACAGTTGGCCACGGGACTGTGCAAAAGGCAAAGAGGCTTGCGGGAAGCCCAGCATCAAGCGTGGTTTGTTGGGAATGGGAAACCTCCACAAAGAGTTTTCAAACAAAAGGCATCAATATTATTTGTGGAGCCATCAGACTGCCTGGGGCACAATATGGCTCTGGCTGGGCCACATGCTCTCTCTCCAGGTTCTGTGTGAAGGCTTAATGGGGCTTCCCAGACACCTCTTGGCCAAGAACGCTAGCACATTGGAACGTCTCCCACCTCTTCCCTTCTCTCCTGTGCTGTCTTTCTCCAGACTCAGTTTATCCAGGATGGACAATGGGTGGAATCCATGGGCGGATTCCAACTGGCAGTGGGAGTGCCCGGAGGAGGAAGTTGACAAAGGGTAAATGGTCAGATGGTAGGACAATCGCAAACAGATGGTGCTGCTGGGAATGGATTCCAGGCAAATTCACAGGCAGATTGAGCTCTGACAAAGGCTGATCGAGACTTAGCTGGTGAAGAGAAATTGGCACTTTGAACCAAGCACTTGCTTAAAACACACACCCCACTCTCCCACACTATCTTCAACAGCTACACAAGGGCGACACCTAGCCTGGTTCTGACTCACCCGGATTCCAAAATACTGATCAATAGACCAATCTCTGGAAGATTACAACCAGCAAAACTATTTCTCAACATTCTCATAGAACCAGCCCTAAGCAGGGTTTCCTTCAGCCTGCATATTCTTGGACACCTTCAGGGACATGGATCTCACTACTTGTCTTCTTTTGCTTTCCAGACAGCTCCAGCTTGTTCTTCTAAAACAAGTTCCTCTTCTAGTCCCTTTTTTCTCTCCCTTGTGGCCAAAGAGAATGCAAAATGTGATCAATAATTGTAGCAAAAACTAACTCTGTGCCTGGCCCTTCTAGGCATCAGGGATAATTAAAAAGAAAGAAAGAAGGAAAGAAAACCGTATTTCTGTCCTCCAGAACTGACTTAATTTGGGAGGGATTAGGTGGAAGTGGATTTAGGGGAACAGATGTGTAGGCAAGTGTATTAGTTTGCTAGGGCTGCCATAACCAAGTACTGCAAACTGGCCAGCTTAAACAACAAAACTGTATTACCTCACAGTTCTGGAGGCTAGAAGCCCAAAATCAAAGTATCAATAGAGTTGATTCTTTCTAAGGGCCACAAGGGAGAATCTGTTTCATGCCCCTTCCTTGGCTTAATGTCTTCAGTATTGCTTGACTCGTTGAGGCATGACCTTGATCTATGCCTTCACCTTCACATTACATTCTCCTTCAGTATGTGTCTCTCTCTATGTCAGATTTCCTCTTTTCAATATGGCACCAGTCATATGGAATTAGGGCCCACCAGAACGATGAAGGACCTCATTTTAACTTGATCACCTCTGAAAAGGCTATTCCAAATAAGATCATGTTCTGAGGCACTGGAAGTTAGGACTTCAGCAGAACTTTCACGCAGGGATGCAATTCCACCTATGACAGCAAGTAGGTAAATAACTGTACTAGTGTGATAAGCACTTTCTTAAACTTACCGTGAGAGTAATGAGTGCACAACAGAAAGAATAAACATCTCAAATTGAGTGAATCAATGGGAGCTTATTGGGGGACAAGATGCTTGTGCTCAGCCTGGAATGTTGAACTGGATTCTGCCAGGTGAGTGAAGGCAGATGACCTTTCCTGGAAAGGGACAAGCATATGCAAGCCACATATTATCCCTTTTCCACCTGATGCTTTTTTATGATTTCCTGTCCCCTCCTCCCACAACACACACAATACCCCTAGGTTGTATACACTATGCCCCGCTCTTCCTCGATAAGCCAGGATTGGGATCCTTTCCTCACCCAGGGTGCACTCCTCCAGAGAGTATTGAACACAGGACTCCAGAAATGCTAAAGGCAGCCCCAGGCTAGAAGGACTTGACTTCTGACATTCACATGATTGAAATATAAATCCTCTATTTCATGATGAGTGACTGCCAACAACTGAAGGGGTGACTATTGCCTGAGGTTGGTGGGCATTTCCATAAGATCTTTCAGTGCCCTAACCCCACAAGGTAAGAATTCTGAGTCCCTTGTATCGTCTATTGCAAAATAACTATTGTTCAAAGTTTGCTTCATCCACTTAGGGAATGATACTTTCCAACCTCATTGATGTCAATCAGGCTTGGCCCATAACTTATGACTTATGACTTGCCACCCAGTGAGAGAATTAACTCCATCCTGTTGAGCCTGATCACTGCCTTTTGTCAGTGAAGTTGGGTAGAAGTAACGTCATTCCTAATGGTAGTTTTAAAGGATATTCTGTGGTTCTCCCATGTTCTCTTTTTCTTCACCGATAAGCCTGTGATAGCAGCCTAGAACCCAAAGTAAAGACAACATGGAGCACAGTAGAAATCAACATCATAGACATCAACATGAACCTATACATGAACAAAAACAAGTCTTTGAACATAAACAAAAAATAAGCCACTAAGAATCGAGATTGTTGCCATGGCAGAAGCTTACTGATACACCCTGGCAAGTAGGAGGAAAAGGAATATAATTCCCAACAAGAGCCTTTTAAACGCTGCAGCTTGAAATGCCCATTTGGAATCTTCTGGCTTTCCCTCTCCAACTCATTCATGGAGTCTTTGTTTCTTCAGCAAAATTGGCAGAGATAGCTAGCTGTCCACCAAAATTTGTGCTCCTTCTTTCATAATGGGTGGCTGAAGGTGGAAAGTAGCTGTCGAGCAGGGGCTTCATTTACAGCCCATCTTGCAAACAGACATGGCTTCTTGGCTAGGTCTCACCAGTGGAATGTGAACTGGAGTAATACATGTTCCTTCTGTGCTAGATATTTTAAGAAGCAGCAGGACCTTCTCCACTCTTTATCTTTCCACCATGCTCTTAATGACAAAAACAATTCTGCTTCTTTATTTACTTTCAGATACCTATAGCTGTCTCTCAGAGTGTGTTCCCTGGAATATTAAAACCAGGTGATGCTCTTCCAGACAGGTGTTTAATGTTCAAGTTTGGGAAACACCATAGCCTATATCCCTTCCTCCTTGGTAAGTCTCAATGCCCAAGGACTAACACAATGAAAACAAAACCAAACAAAAAGTCATCTTCTTCTTGTTTAATCCAAGTTCATTTGACCAAAGTAGTTTTTATTTTCAAATATAACATTTTGGCAGTTCTCAGAACCAGTGCTCTGTGCAAGACACTATAGAAAATGCTTTCCTAGGTGAAGTTTCAACACCTTAAGTCTTTTAAGTCACCTACCACACTTACTGATTCAGCAAGCATATTTAAAGCATGCACTATGTCCCAGGCCCTGTGCTCCCAAAGTGTCAGGGCCTCAAGTAGGGCATAGCCTATATGGAATATCAAATCAATATTGTTAAATAAACTGTATACTAATTGCATGGCTGCCATCACTCACCAAATAAGACCAACTGCAGCTTGGCTAACATCTTGCTAGAAACAAGCAGCTCATTGCATCCTTTGACTCACCACTGCCCATCCCTCCTGCCTCATCTGCCACTGTTTTCTCATCTTCATTTCAGCCACATGGACAACTCTTTGCTTCCTAAAGACATTATGCATGTTCCTGACTTTTTGCCTTTGCACACGCAATTTTCTCTTCTTGCAATACCTTTTCTCTTACTTTTAACTGTTAAATTCCTTTTTATTCTGCAAGAACTAGATCAAAGTTACCCTGTTGTATAAAACTTTCCATATCTCAAACCCTGACCTACACCTTCCTCTTTGAACTTCATATGTGTGAACCTCTGAAAAAACAGCCCATCCCAATTAAGTCATATCATCTATTCCCACCAGGGCTGACCTTACTTAACAACACTTTCTACTCCTTACTCAGCCATGGCACCACATGCCCTTAAATTCAGCATGTGGGAGAGAGACTAAAGGAAAAGAAAAGGAGCTAGGAAAGGTATTCCACTCTTTAGGTGCCAGGAGTGGAGGTAGGAATGGAAGAAGTTATAGAGAGATTGATTTTGAATTAATCTGAAAAAACACACTAACAATCAGAGCTGATGAACAATGAAGTAGGCTACTCTATAAGGTTGGTAGCTTCCTGAGAAGGACTCAGGATGGATGAAAATCTGTTCACGATGGGAAATAGTGGTCCCTTTCAAGATGGGTTGTGAAGGATCTGAGAATTTGCCAGGTCTTGGCCTCATGAATCCAATGGCAGAAGAGGAGGGAGAAGGTACCACTACACCTAGGATAAATTCGTGGTCTCTGCTCTTTTATATCCATAATCACACTAGTAACCACATAAACATCTTCTCCAGCTGATTTGCAGTCTGGAAGGCCCTGTCTAAATAAACCCCTGCCATTTATCTGCCATACATCAAACAAAGTACAGTGCACAGTGGGAGTTTCCAGAGCCTGAGATCCAACTTACACTCTGACTTTTGAAGGAGCATTTGGGTTAGATGCTCCTCCAAAACTCGGAGTGTAAGCTGGATGTCAGGCTCTTTAAACTCCCACTCATTATTCCTCCTACCTCCCGGAGGGATGAATTTCTGACCAGGTCAACTGTGATGACCTATGAGTTATCTAGGGCATGTTTCCAAGCATGCCCTTTATCCTCAGAACAACACAGAACAGCCAGGGGTGAAGAGGAACAAAAGAAGAATGGTGACCATCTGCAGATGAGGGTGCTGAGACTCAGAGAAGTTCTGTGACTTTGCTAAAGCTACAGGAGGAACTAGAGATGGAAGTGAAGACCTGCCTTCCTTCTGCACAGCTCTTGTTGCCCATTATTTGCTAGACCTGCCAGTCCTACTGCGTCCTGTCTTATTATCCAGCTTCCAGCAGCAGGTTTGCCCTGTTCCAACAGCCAGGTTGGCAGAGGGTGCAAGAAACTTTGTTGCCACTCAGTGCAGCTTAGGATTTGTTTCCTGCTGCCTTGTGCCAATGTTCACTGAACCTAAGGCAAGGGGAAGGGGACTCTGAATATTGAACACACGCTGTGGGCCAGGTTCTGTGGTCTAATCTAATACTCGTGACAGCCCTGAGAGGTGGGAATTCTTTCTACTTTATGAATGAAGAGGTGAGGCTTGGCAAAAGAGTGGTATAGCCATGGCTTAATCACAGATCTTCCCAGCCCCAAGGCCTGTGATGACCCCCACCCTGGGCCACCTGGAGGAACATGTAATGGCCTGGGTGTAGCTTCATTCTGGAGCTTCTAGTTACTGTGGGCCTCTCCGTCTCAGGAAGGAAAAGAGGAGCTCAGCCCTGCCTATTTCTGTCTTTTTTATTCAACAAGCATTTACTGAGCACCTACTGTGTGTTAGGCCTCAGTGAATAGTTTGAGTGGATTTCCAAAGATATGTCCAGACTTCCTTGCTAATGTTCCTATCCAAACACCACTAGACTTCCTTCCAATACTGACGCTTACCTGGAATTGGTCTGCTGGTAGCTTTTCTCCCTAGTACTTAGGGGATCAGAAAATACATGTCCATTTTCATCTACCTTTCTAATGCCTCAATCTCTCTCATCCTGAGAATGCCAATCAGCCAACACCTTGAATTCCCTCAGCTGTCTCTGGGATCCTGATGAGGCATTGTTACTTATTCCTATATAGATAGCTTAGCTGTTCGTTGACACGAGGCCATCACAGATACTGCAGACATACCACACGGACACTTTAGAACAAAGCATTTGTCATTCTTATCCATCCATCCATTTGTCAGTTCAACACACACAAACCCGTCACTCTGCTTGGTGCTGTGCTGGGTACTGGGCACACGTGGATGAGTAAGGCAACATCACAATCTATGAGAGAAGGCAGACACTAACGCTGTTGAGTACGATGGTGTGCAAGTGTTGTGTGTGAGGAAAACCAGGAGTGCTTAGCCACAGCAGAGAGGCACATGGCTCAGCACAGTAAGAGAAAGGCAGCTGTTGTCAGGGAAGGCTTCCTGGAGTATTTAGGACTAAGCAGAGTCCTGAGAAAGAAAAAGCAATTGGCCAGAGTGGGGATCGGGCGGGGTATTTGCGTGGCAGGGATGAATTTTCTAGGTAGAACGAGCAAGATAAGAGTGACTCTGAGACATGAGTTTGCTCTCTGTTCTGACAATTGTAAACTATGGTTACCTACACACATGAGATGCCAGGTGAAAGTGAAGGAGGCAAAACCAGAGAAAATAGGAGCAGATCTTAAAGACCCTTGATGCTCTTCTAAGACTCAAAACAGGGGGCAAAGGAGTGTGATGTAGTCAGATGAATGTTTTGATTACTTGGGGGCCATTTGAGGAGATAGGTCAGAGACTCAAAAGTGAAAGCAGGAAAACCTACTACATACCACTTGTGTAAATTGGATAAAACATTTAATCATATTGAATTTCAGTCTCTTCATCTGTAAAGTATAGGCCCTTGCAGGAGCTCTTCTGCAGGAGCATTATAAGGGTTGGATACAACATATAGAAAGCCTTACACACAATGTCTGACACTGAACAGGTCTCATAATGGTAGCTGTGTACTTTATAATATTCATGTTCTGTAATAATCTGATCATAAAGACAAAGGAACTTTCAGAGAGATGTGCCTTTCTTAGGAAGGGCATGTGGGATAATGCCATCAGGAGAACAGCTTCAAGGGAGTCATTAACACACACCAGTAAATAATTTATGCATTTGGACCATTTTTCAAAAGCCCTATTATTATTCCTACTCCCTGACTCACAGTGACGCTGGTATTCGCAGCGCATTAGTTAATTTCATGGCCCTGTTGTGAATCTTACAATATTTCATCCCCCTAATTCAAAATATTCATTCCAAGTGGTTCCAACTTCACAAATAAATAATTCCTGTTGGAAAATGGGAGTTTTTCCATCTGCCCAGCCCATTTTCCATCTGTTCCTACAAGCTCATGGCAGGACAGAGCTGGGTCATGAGGCCCTGTTGATTGGTCCTGATTTAAGAAGAAATGGCTTTCTCCCAGATGGATTGCGCGTTAGTGATAAAGATTAGTTTCCACTGTTATCAGTTACTGTGTTATGAGACAGTTTTAAGGATCTGGAAAACAATCGAAAAGTACATGACAGAAGAAAGAAGAGAAGTGTTGTGTTGTCTTAGCTCCCACGATGAGTTTGACATTCTTCTAGGCACCATATACACCATGCATACATCATTTCATAACTGCAACAACACAACAGGTATATGTGATTATGTCTATCTGACACATGAAAGAAGTAAGGATGAGAGGGGCTTAAAAATCTGCCTAAGGTCTCATAATTTGCAAATAAGGGAGCTAGGGCTGATTGCAAAACCCAGGCTCAGTCCACAACACAAGAGATTCAAAAGAGCCTCGTGCTTTAAGAATGGAAAGTATATTGGCCATAGAATTGTGATTATGTTTTTTTTGGTAACCATGTAATATAATAGATGATCCCACGAAATAAGAGCAATTTATTTCAGATCTTTATGTGATGTTGGAGCTAGACAAAGGAAGAGAGTCACTTCCTGATAATCAGAATATAGATAGAGTCTCATCTTAGAAAAAGCAGTGGACTATGAATTGGGAAACTCGAACTCATATTCTAGGATCCTCAGCTTATTGTCTTAACAGCAAGGACAAACCACTTAACTGTCTGGGCTTTGGTTTCCACAACTGGAAAGAGATAGTTCACATTATGTTGCCTCTTCTGTACCTCACAAGGTCTAGAAAGGCACACCTATAGGAAGCATGTAGGACTACAGAGAGTAGTACAGTTTGTCAATGATAACATTTCATGCAAATATTAGGTAACACTTTTATTTCTGTCCCTGCCTGCAAGAAAATAAGGAGCTTGTGTCAGAGTGTAAATCTAGGCAATGCTTCCTTCATTGAGAAAGTCTGGCAACAGAAAAATAGTAGCGGAACTTAATGGTGTACTTAGTGATGTAATTGATTTACTTCATCACAGACTAAGCAAATAGTCCATGGACCAATGCCAGCCTGTGATCTCCATGTTGAGTCTTGCTGTATAGACCACCTTGAAGAAAGCAGCGTGTGAGCATTGATGAGAGAATGCCTGGGAATAGAGTCTCAGATCATTTCTTATGAACTTTGTATGACCTTGATCATCTTGCTAAATCTCAATTTCTTCTTTAGAATGCAGTTAACAATGCCAAATTGGTAGAGTAGTTATGAAGATGAAATGAGAATACATTTGGACCCTTAGAATAGGGCCTAGGACGTATTAGCCAGTGGGGAAAAATTTTACTTATTATTATCATCACCACCATCATCATTCACCCAAAGCATCTGTCCTCCTGGTCTACCACAGTTTGTGGATTCCCATAATTCAGGTATATCCCAGCTGTTTGTCACACATCAAGGAGGTTGTGCCACTGACACTTAGTGAGTAGAGGCCAGGGATGATTCAAAACATCCTGCAATATCCAGGACAGCCCCTCACAACACGGAATTACCCAATCCAAAATGTCAATAGTGCTGAGGTTGAGAATATGAGTCATTCCTTTGGGTTGAGTGAGGTCCCTGGAAATCAGATCAAGATTTAATAACAGATTTTCAGGCATACCAAACTTGTACTTTCATAGAGTATTAGCCCTAAAAGAGACCTTTGATGTTATATGACCCCAATCTGTTTTACTGAAAATAAACTTTAGAAGAATGAGAACTTACCTTCTTTCAATCATCCCTCCTAAAAGCACACTTCCCCAGATGGATTAGAGAGGCCCAAGGTCAAGGCCATCCGGCTACCAAGTGAGAGAGCTACAATTGCATCCCGTGTTTCTGGATCCTGTGGCTGAGGCTAAAGAAGGGGGAAGGTAGGATAGCCCAGGGCGTCTGTAGTGCAGAGACCAAGCCTCCACATCTCTTGACCCCTCACCCCACAGAATCAGGAACAGTGGAGGGAGGTGTCCATAAAATAGTATAGTAGTAAAAAGCACTAGACTTGATGTCAGAAGGCTTGGAAATGTGTACCCTCTCTCTGACACTTTCTCTGTGTTATTGGCCAGTAATATAAGGCATAGAGTCCTAGAACGTTGGCACTGAAATGTCTTTAGAACACTTCAGGTGCAAAGTTAGCAAAGTTCATTCTATCTCTACCTATCTATTCATCTATTGGTCTATTATATATATATATTTCTATCTCTGTATCTCTCTGTCCTTTAAAAAAAAAAGGGTCATGAATGTACTTACCTCATAAAACTGTTTGAAATATCAAATGGGACTAAAAGTGCAATGCAAGTTGTTACTAATGCTTAAAAGTACAGACTTTGGAACCACGCAGCCTGAGTTCAAATCCTGGCTCTGCCAATTACTAGCTCTGTGACCCTGGGGAAGTCACTTAACCATGCTGTGCCTATTTCCTCATATCTAAACTGGTCACAGTAATATCATTACCTGCTTCGTGCTAATATTGTGAGAATTTAGTGAGTTAGTATACCTAAAATGCATATAGAACAATGCCAGGCTCGTACGAAGTTTCATGCAGAGTATTAGCTGTTATTGTAACTAACCATCCTTTGTCCTTGTTCTTCCTACTAAAGCCAAAAAGCCAACCAAGGCATTTTTAAAGTAAATTGTGGAACTCTACAATGGCTAGTAAGAAGGCAAGTTTCTTCTCCCAAATTCTGCCACG
This sequence comes from Homo sapiens, assembly GCF_000001405.40. Lineage (NCBI taxonomy): Eukaryota > Metazoa > Chordata > Mammalia > Primates > Hominidae > Homo > Homo sapiens. The sequence goes on along the minus strand of NC_000001.11, from coordinate 59,977,047 downwards.
CTCACCTTCCTGCCAAATCCTATTTTAGTATTAGGAGGCAACATCGCCCTCTGCTGCCCAGAACTGAAACAGCACGTTCAGCCCCTGTGCCGGCTTCGTTACTCCCGTCCTTTCTGCTCTGCCAATCTTGCCTCCTGAAAATGCGCTTCCCAGACAGATGAAATTGCTTCTATGTACTAATATCATCAGCGAAGCATTTTCCTAAGCAGCTGACTCATGACTTTTTTTTTTGCAATCAAAAGGAACCATCTTTCTAGGCTCTAGTTAGAATGGGAAGAGCTGCCTGTTCTCCAGTTCCCAGTAGGAAGCGACGCTCTGGAGCCCCAGGAACTGAGGAGGGCATCCTCTCCACCTGCAAAGAAGCTGCGGAATTGGAGCGTTATAACAAATTATTCCCATCCACCAATCACTTTGTAATGTGGCTGTTTTCAAGGTAAACTCATTCGTCTTCTTGAACAGATGGCAAAAATAAATAAATAAATAAATTCTGTCTTTGCATATGTGACTCCCTCCAGAAAACTCTATCCCAGATTCAGAAGTGGGCGAACAGGCTTTTGACTGAGATGAGCGCGACAGCTTGAGTAAAGTGGACTGTCTCTATTTCCTCAGAAAGAAGGCCAGCATTCATTCAAAACCTACCACACCAGACGTTTTACGAGTATTATCTCATTTCATCTTTACGACAGCCTTGTGAGCTAAAATTCATCATGCCCAGTAATAATGCAGGAACTGAGGCTCTTAAAGGTTCAAGAATGTGGCCCAAAGCCAAACAACTGATAGATGCTAGGGCCAAGGATTTTGGTTTGGCTCTTGCTGACTCCAAAGTTCACCATACCTCAATGTCTCCTAGGGACTCAAAGTCACACTGGGAAAACGGTGACCTGCAGATTGGAGAGATAACACTAGAAATAATCAGAGAGGAGGAGTGTTTCATGTGTGGTTCGGAGAAAAAGGGATCCTCTATTCCCCTATTCACAGGGAGCTTCTAAAGGGTCTGAGGTGGGACACCCCTCCAACCCTTACCCAATAAAGACCCGCAGTCATCAAGAAGGACTCTGGGTCATCCAGGGCTGCCTAGAACGTGAAAAACCTTCAAAGGGATGCAATGTACTGGCAAATTCTACCAATATTTAAGGAAGAAATAACATCAATTCCACACAAACCCTTCCAGAATATAGAAGAGGAAGAAGGAGCACAGCCCAAATCATGTTTTATCCAGATACCAAAACCAAAGACAATGTGAAGAAATCTACACACCAACAGCCCTCGTGAATATAGACCCCAAATCCTTCACACAATACCAGCAAATCAAATCCAACAATTCGTAAGATACATAATACCAAGTGGGGCCTCTCCTGGAAATGCAAGGTTGATTCAACATCCTAAAGCCAATCAATGTAATTCACCATATCAGCAGACTAAAGACGAAAAATTACATGAATAGACAGGAAACAATGGAGTCCAACTCTGACACTCTCCAGATGAGAAGCCCAAGGACCAGAAGTGAGATGAGATGTCCCAGTGTCACAAATTACTGACAAATCTGTATGTAGAATGCAGCTCTCCACACCACAGAGCCGTGTGAAGCTGCTGCCCATGCTGGGTGCAGGGAAGTCCTTAAGTATGAAGGAGCAGTCGCCAAGAGGCTTCATTCACAGCTCCACATAGCTGTAACTGAAGGGAGGGAGTGGGAAGCAGCTGGCTCCAGCCCACACCAGCTAGAAAATATCTGAGGTTCACAGACATGAGCATCAAGGGAGCGTGAGGTTGGTGGTAGGGGTTATTTTTTCCCTGCAAATTCCCAAAAGAGGTGCAAATTATAACTGCTGAAAATGTGATATAAGGAATTCACTTTTACATATGGTGGCATGTGCCTGTAGTCCCAGCTACTCGGGAGGCTGAGATGGGAGGATCACTTAAGGCCAGGAGTTGGAGACCAGCCTGGATCACATTGCAAGATCCCCATTTCTAAAACAACAACAAAAAAAAATTAGCCAGGCATTGTGGCACATGCCTGTAGTACCAGCTATTCTGGAGGATGAGACTGAAGGATTGCTTGAGTCCGGGAGTTTCAGGCTGCAGTAAGCTATGCTCATAGGGTGCCCCCACTAAGTTCAGCATCAATGTGATGACCTTCTAGAAACCAGGGATTACTAGATTGCCTAAGGAGGGGTGAACTGGTGCAGTTTGGAAACAAAGCAGGCCAAAACCCCAGTGCTGATCAGTAGTGGGATTGTGCCTGTGGATAGCCACTGCACTGCAGCCTGGCAACATAGTGAAATCCAATCTCTCAAAAAACAAAAAAGAAAAGAAATGTACTTCATAATTTGAGAAATACAAGCCATAGTTATTTCTTTTTAAACAGAGTTTTCAAAAATTTGGGGATTTTCATCAAGACACAAGGAAAGGCTACAAATACGTAAGTATAACTAAAATGATAGGGACTCCTCAATCTAACCATCTCCAACCAGGTGGGTTTCAGCTCTGTGACCTTCACAAATGTTCACTCTTGTCAATACCTTACATTAAACCATCCGATGTCCATTTTTTCACTCCTCTTTAGTAACTTGATATCTTGGTCACAATGACAAAACTGATGGTTTATTTACTCTTAGTTGTGACTCTTGGAAAATAATGTCAAAGTCAAAATGTCTTTTTTTCCCTTCCCACCCCAAAATTACATACAGAGAGAGAGAGAGAGAGAGACACTCACACACACACATGCACACACACTTTTCTCCCTTCTCTGCCCCTTTCTTTTCTTGGTTTGGAACTCTTGGGTAAGGTGTATACAAATTCACTTTTGTTTCCGAGGCAATAATCACTGGCCAACTAGCCTCAGCTCCAGAATCTTTAAAGTGAAGTGGAAATTGGATATACTTCTTCTCTGTGTGTTTCCTCTTAAACTAGTCCTTTTAAGTCAGCTCAACTTGTTTTGGAGCGTTATCATTTAAAAGGTACTTCAATACTTAATGCTCCCAGTTATCTAGTATCCCCAATTTACAGACAAGGAAATGAGCACAACAGGGTGAAGTAAGTTTCCTCCACCTGCTCAGTTGGATACAATAGGAGCCAGGCACTTGGGTCATGCTGCTGGATATAGAGGTATTATGGCATCCAACCCAAGGAGGGACATCTCATGGGCAACACTGGGCAAATATATAAATAGTGACTTAATCATAGCAACTATTTAATAGGTTCTTACTGTGTTCCATGCACTGAGCTACATGTTTTTTCTTCAGTAGCTCAGTTAATCCACATAGTCACCCCATGGAGGAGGTGTGATTATCCCCATTTCACTAAAGGAAGAACTGAAGCTGAGAGGGGTCATTTAACTTGGACAAAGTTACACATAACCAGGAAGTGGCTGCATCTTGCAAAGTCAGGGGTCCTGAAAGAGATGCAAATAGCATGCTGTGGGGGCAAGTGTGCAGTGGGAGTGGGGGTGTTAAGGAGGCAGTTTATGGTTGAGAAGTGACCTCATATGCTTGGGGAAGGGTATATCAAATACGATTATTTGGCAGTTGACAGGTATCTTGATAGATGAACCGGATTTGAAAAGGTAGACCTGAATGAGGGAAGAAGAGCAGGTTTCTAGATGGGGCAATGCCACAAACAGAGGCTCAGGGGTAGAAAAGTGTACTTTGTATACAGATCATAATAATCCTGTTTGGAGGGAAGACCAGCTATGAAGTGTTTTGCAAGAAATGTGACACTAAGGGTAAAGAATGGAAGTCTGATTTTATGTAATTTTCCATGTAAATTAAAGTCAAGATTATCCTTGTAAATATCATGGTTCCTGAACTCAAGAAACTTGCACTCTGTTGGGAAGATAAACAACTAAACAAGCAATTACAGCACAGCAGTAAGTTCTATGAAAGGTTAGGCACAGAGTGGTCCTTCTAACTCAGAGTTAACAGAGACATGTTACAGAGTGATGTCCAAGCCGAGAACTGAGGGACATGTGGGTGTTGTCCACACAATGAAGGACACGGGGTACTAAGTAGAGGGAACAGCTTGTGGGAAGGCTCAGACTGGAGTCAGACCATACATCCCTTGTTTGTGAGGGCTGCAGGTGTTAAGCACAGTGGAAGAGGAGAGAGCAGGTGGGAACTGATAACATGTGAGGCCAGGGGCCTACACGGGGTCAGCTCATGATGAGACTGTGTGCCATGTTAAAGAGAGTATGTGGTAAGGCGCCCTGGCCCAGTGCAAGCATGGGCTGGCTTCCCACTGCAGTCAGCAAATCAATTACGCCCTCCACCGACTTTCGCCTTGTGTATTTAGAATGCATGGAGTTAGCCTGCCAAACATCTGCTCTCGCTATTAAGCATGCCATGGTAACCATTGCACTCCCGTGCGTCAGCGCCACCAGGATTGGTAATAATCACAAGTGTCAAAAACGAGAAAGAATGGAGAAGGAAAGCTGTGCAAAATCCAGCGGCAAGATGATTGGGCTGGCAGCTCCACTCCAGGGCCCCCGCCAGCTGCACCTTCTGCTGCCCCTGTTGGGGGCAGGGGAATTGATGCCGCTCTGGCCTCCTCTTGCCCCTTCTGTTGATCCCTTTCCCTGTATTATTCATCCACTGCTTCCACCGACATTGGAAAATGTGCCGTGCCTTTGCCAGAACAACATATGTGCCCCTGCGTCATTGTGTGTGATAGATAAACCCGCCAACAGCTCACCAGACCCAGGGGGCCTCTGGGTGAAGACCCCGCATTGACACAGGCAGGCAGCATGGTGTCCTGGCAGAGGTGCAGCTCTGAAGGCAAACAGACCTGGCTTAGGATTTCAGCCGCGCAACTGCACAGCCTTAAGACCTTGGGCAAAACTCTCACCCTCTCTCAACCCTACTTGCCTCATTTGTGAAATAAGAGGAGGAACACTTACCTCAGGACTGTTCGGGGGCTTAGAGATAATGAATGGGAGATGGCACAGCACCTTTCACAGAAGCAGAGTTCAAGGTTAGCTAGTATGATATTTTTTAAATTGAGCTCTCAAAAAAATGCTAGGCACAATGCTGAGATCTTTATTCAAATTATCGAATCGAATATATATATAAATATTATATATAAGTCTAGTTCTGCTGCTAGAGCCACATATAATAAAATAAGCCTGTTTCCTCTTCCAAACCAAAGCCCTTCAGAAAAGCAGGGCGGGCTCCCATAGCCCTCGAATCCTCTTTTCCCCAGGAAAAGGGTCCTGAGTCCCTGAGCAGGGCTCATGCAGCCTGGTTCTCACACAGCCACTCCCCGCAGGGCACCCTCCACGCTGGCCAGTGTCTCTCTCAGAGATGATGCCCAGGTGGGCTTTATGTCTTTCCTTCCAGCCCTAGGAGTCACTGCATTTCGGGGCGCACACGGAGGACCTGGGCCTGGAGCTGTCAGGGCTGGTGCCTTCATCCGGCACACACCCCATCGTTTTTCCTTCTGTCCCTGGACGCCGCCTCCCAGCCGAGAGCGCGGTAACATGGGCTCCAGCGCCCTCTAGTGGAAGGCGAAGGAAATCTGCGGTCAAGGAGCTCAGGATCAGCGTGGGAAGAGGGAGGAAGAGAGAAAGTGGCTGATTATCTGCGTGAAAATCATAATTATTAAAAATGCCCGCCCAATCCACCCCCGTAGCTGCCGTTAGTTTGTGTCTGGATTGAATGTCAGTCTCGCCAGGTTAGTGTGAGATGGGTGACTTCCCAGAGGACTGCTATTTCTAAAGTCAGTCAGGAAAGAGGCAAGGGTGTCCTCACCTCCCATGCTTTTAATTAAACCTCATTATCCACCTCCCCACCAGCGTTCCTTCAGCTATGCTAAGAATATAAGGAGAAGGCATATTTGAACATATCGGGGCCCAAGCATCAAAAGTAGAGTGATCCCGTTTGGCACAGCTGCCCCATAGGCTCTTGGGGGGGATGGCAGGAAGGGGTATGATGAGCAGGAAGAGAACACCCGAGGCAGTAGTGGGGGATTACTGGGAACAACATGAGGTTAGATAGCAACTTGAGTTGGCGCTCGGGGTTACTGAAATACCCACCACTGGCCCCATCCTCCTGCCTTATGCAAATGAGTGGCTTCTTTCTCTACCAATAACTTTCTGGGGGTCATTGGGCAAGTCGTTTCACCTCCTGGGCAAGGTAGTGTCAGAGGTCCTCCATTCAGTTGTAATATTCAGTGAATATTCAATGAGCTCTAACATCAGATGGTCACCAAATCAATTTCAGCCATCTAGCAGACTGCTGCCAGACTGGGCCACAGGTCTACTGCACTGTTTTTTGTTTTGTTTTGTTTTTGTTTGTTTGTTTGTTTGTTTGTTTTAGACAGAGACTTGCTCTGTCTCCCAGGCTGGAGTGCAACCTCCACCTCCCAGGTTCAAATGATTCTCCTGCCTCAGCCTCCCAAGTAGCTGGGATTACAGGTGCCTGCCACCAGGCCCAGCTAATTTTTGTATTTTTTAGTAGAGACGGGGTTTCGCCATGTTGGCCAGGCTGGTCTTGAACTCCTGACTTCAAGTGATCACTCGCCTCGGCCTCCCAAAGTGCTAGGAAAACATAGAACTAGAACTATCATCAAATATCTGATGTAGCATTGACGCCATGGTTTTCTTCCTTCATGGTAACAGGGCGGTCTTCAACAAGCCAAAAATGAAGAAAAACATGGAGGTTTTTTTTTTATTGCCTTCATTTAGTATCTTTACAATCAAAGGAGTTTACATGCAGGAATCAGACTCAGAAATTACACTGTCTTATCCCTCATATGCAGGGTTATATAATAACAGCTTTCCCAGATTAAAATTCTTCAATGGTTTCAAAATTTCATAAGCGTATCATTGAGAGGTGACAGCGTGCTGGCAGTCCTCACAGCCCTCGTTCACTCTTGGCGCCTCCTCTGCCTGGGCTCCCACTTTGGCGGCACTTGAGGAGCCCTTCAGCCCACCACTGCACTGTGGGATCCCCTTTCTGGGCTGGCCAAGGCCAGAGCCAACTCCCTCAGCTTGCAGGGAGGTGTGGAGAGAGAGGCGCGAGCCGGAACCGGGCCTGCGCGCGGCGCTTGCGGGCCAGCTGGAGTTCCGGGTGGGCGTGGGCTTGGTGGGCCCCGCACTTGGAGCAGCCGGCCGGCCCTGCCCGCCCCGGGCAGTGAGGGGCTTAGCACCCGGGCCAGCGGCTGCGGAGGGTGTACTGGGTCCCCCAGCAGTGCCAGCCCACCGGCGTTGTGCTCGATTTCTCACCGGGTCTTAGCTGCCTTCCTGCGAGGCACGGCTCGGGACCTGCAGCCCGCCATGCCTGAGCCTCCCCCTGTTCCGTGGGCTCCTGTGCGGCCCGAGCCTCCCCGATAAGCGCCGCCCCCTGCTCCACGGCGCCCAGTCCCATCGACCACCCAAGGGCTGAGGAGTGCTGGGCGCACGGCACGGAACTGGCAGGCAGCTCCACCTGCAGCCCCGGTGCGGATCCACTGGGTGAAGCCAGCTGGGCTCCTGAGTCTGGTGGGGAGGTGAAGAACCTTTATGTCTAGCTCAGGGATTGTAAATACACCAATCCGCACTCTGTATCTAGCTCAAGGTTTGTAAACACACCAATCAGCACCCTGTGTCTAGCTCAGGGTTTGTGAATGCACCAATCCACACTCTGTATCTAGCTACTCTGGTAGGGCCTTGGAGAACCTTTGTGTCCACACTCTGTATCTAGCTAATCTGGTGGGGAGGTGGAGAACCTTTGTGTCTAGCTCAGGGATTGTAAACGCACCAATCAGCGCCCTGTCAAAACAGACCACTCCGCTCTACCAATTAGCAGGATGTGGGTGGGGGCCAGATAAGAGAATAAAAGCAGGCTGCCCAGGCCAGCAGTGGCAACCCGCTCGGATCCCCTTTCATACTGTGGAAGTTTTGTTCTTTCTCTGTTTGCAATAAATCTTCCTGCTGCTAACTCTTTGGGTCCACACTGCCTTTATGAGCTGTAACACCGCGAAGGTCTGCAGCTTCACTCCTGAAGCCAGCAAGACCACGAGCCCACCAGGAGGAACGAACAACTCCAGACGCACTGCCTTAAGAGCTGTTAACACTCACGGCGAAAGTCTGCAGCTTCACTCCTGAGCCAGCGAGACCACATAACCCACCAGAAGGAAGAAACCCCGAACATATCCGAACATCAGAAGGAACAAACTCCAGGTGCGCCACCTTAAGAGCTATAACACTCACCGCGAGGGTCCGCGGCTTCATTCTTGAAGTCAATGAGACCAAGAACCCACCAATTCGAGACACATCATGAACCTTGGTTGGAGCAGCTCGGAGAGGCACATGCTCATCACAAAGCTGGCACAGAATTGCTGTCTCAGTGACCTGCATGTGCTGGTTGGTCCCCCCTCGGGCCTTTTACACATGTCCACCCCTCCCACAGCTCCATCCTCTGGTGTCACTGTCCGTGGAGCCACACAAACTTCTCATGCTCTGCAGCCAATGGTGATTAACGGAACTGGGATGCCCCATACTCTGCAAGGAACTCCCTGGAGGGAGAAATCTTCTGGAGTATGAGCCAGCAATTAGCTGCCCTGTTCAGGCTGTGTGCCCACCGCCTCATCTCTTCTCGGTGGGACTCCAGGCCCTCCAAGCGTCCTGACAGCAGGCCTCAGCCATGAGGGTCCAGGTACTTAGGTGTGTGGGAAGATTGGGACCAAGAGGGGAATGGTGGGCTGTTGGGGAGGCAAGACAGAAAAAGCAAGGGTTTGAGGAGAGCGACTAGAGAGAGGAAAAGGGAATAATGTGGGAAAGTCAGTGCCATAAAATAAGTCCAAATATTTTCATCTGACTCCAATCAAATAATCTCATCTCTTGTTTGGGTGCTTTGAAGATCTGTTTTAAAGAAACTTTTCTGGGAAAGGAAAGAGTCAGGCAGTACCAACCTTTTCATGAGAGCTATAGAATGGTTTCAAATAAGCCAATTCAGATTTATCTCTGTCTCCTTTAATGGTATCATCCACAGCTGGAGATCCCCGTGCACAATTACCTGCGTCACTTTCAGTTTACCTTCCTCTTGTCTGGAAGAACAGAGAATTCTTGCAATAGAAGCTTTGTGATATCACAAAGCTGGGGACTTACTGGAAAAATGTGAGACTCACACACCTGGCCAGGTTGGTAGACCGTGCAGCTGTTTGTCTGTTTATATATAGTGAAAAAGTTGAGTCTTTGATCTTGATCTTAAAACACAAATGATTCTGATTTCAGATTTAAGGAAATATAAATAAAACAATTTTATTTAAAAGGCCAGTATTTCAGTACTTACAAATAGCATGTTACAGTGTAATCCTCCCACGTCCATACCCAGTGCAGCCTATTTCTTCTCATGAGATAGGGACATGAAATGAGCTGCGCTCCCATAACTGAGACACAGGAGGCAGAGGCTTTGCTGAGTGTGTTTTCCATCTCATTCAAAATTAGAGCCTAGAAAGCCCAGCCTTGCTCAGGGATATATGCTCAGAAAGACGACACACACAAAGGCAAGTCTGGTCTGCAGAAGGCAGATAACAAGGCAGGTGCAGGCAAGCAGAGGCCCCAGCAGTCTGGAAAGGAAACACAGCCCACAGCACGCCTTGATAACAGAATCCCTGTCCCTGCTGCTTGTGGTAGGCCATGTTAATGCAGCTTAAGGGTTATTTTCTCCTTCAAAGAATAGGTCGAGTTTTAAAACCCCATCTTCTTCCAGCCGACAGGCTCATGCTTTGCCAAGCTCTGTTAAACACTGACTCATTGGAAAGGAACAGCCTTTCCAAAGAGGAAATTGGATGTATATTTGTGTAAACCTCTTTTAAGAGGTTTGCATAAACCCCTTGTGATTACATGGCCTGGAGATTTGTTCCTGGCTTTGTGGCTCCTCGAGCAAGAGCTTTCTTTAGTGGTTATCTCAGCTCATTCTTAAAACTCGTGTAAGCTTTTGTGTCTGGAGTTCTCAGCCTAAACCATAAAACTACATCTGCTCAAAGGCTGGCTGGTTCAGAGATGGAGGCCAAGGTCATATTTCAGGGGAGAAAAACAGAGAAGGTTGGATATACATTGTAAAAGTAAAATGATTTGTTTGAGGAGTAGTTTTGCCTGAAGAGCTTGGATTTCCTTAATCTAAAGAACTTGTGCCTTTCAACCACCCACCACCAATACTTAGAAAGGCCAGGACTTCATTATAAACAACCATCCAGAAAGTAACAAATTCAGTCAAATGTGTTCGGTTTAGTGATATGGGTGAAAATTTATGTCACTTACCTTTTCTGCTTGGCCAAAGTGAATTCAACCAAACTAGCTGGTGTGTGAAGACAGTCACAGATAACGTTCATCTTCCTCTGCTGACGCCTACCTTTTGGCAAAGGTGTTGCTACTAAAGAAATTCAGCTGCTTTTTGTTTTCTTAATTGGCCCCACCTGCATTTTTTCTCATAAAACCTACTTAGTCCTCACCAACAACCACCCAGCAGTTTTGTTACATGTTTGTTCATAGCACATTTCATGTTGCATTAGGCAAAAACAGTGTCATAAAGTGGAAAGAACACCAGCTTTGGAGTCAAAGACCTGTGTTTGGGTCTCAGTTCTGCCATTACCAGCTGTGTAATCTACGTGACTTTCAGTTTCCTCATCTGTAAACTGGAAATGGTAGGAAGAAGAAATATCTACATCATGGGATTGCTTGACAATCCCATAAAAAACTTTAAATATTTTATGGTACCCAGGACATACCAAGTCTTTCATTAATGTCTCCATGAAAGGATATAAGTAGAGAATGCCAGGAAGGCCTTTGGAAAGAGATAAAGTTGAGGAAGGAGAGGAGTGCTCTAATGAAAAGTTTAGTTAACATGAAAAGTCTGGGCTGAGCTTATGTTACCATAAGACAGAATCAAGCTTAACCACTATTTCTCTCTGCCACCATCTTGCTCCTGGACCAACTAATGACAGGACAAGTGGGATCTATGATAAATGTGAAGGTAGCATCAGATCTTAAACATTACAAGCCTTCCAAAATAAATTAACCCTGCCACACACTAAGGACAAGAGAGCTTACCAATGGTTTCACAATTTACTCAACTAACATAAAATCACAAAGCTTCATGATCGTCAGAATTTGGGTACACCCAGGCTGGGCATGGTGACTTACACTTGTAATCCCAGCACTTTGGGAGGCTGAGGCAGGTGGATCACCTGAGGTCAGGAGTTTGAGACCAACCTGACCAACATGACGAAGCCCCGTCTCTACTAGAAATACAAAAATTAGCTGGGCACGGTGGGGGGTGCCTGTAATCCCAGCTACTCGGGAGCCTGAGACATGAGAATAGCTTGAACTTGGGAGGCAGAGATTGCAGTGAGCCAAGATCACACCACTGCCCTCCAGCCTGGGCAACAGAGTGAGACTCTGTCTCAAAAACAAAAAAACAGAATTTGGGTACACCCTAGTAATGCCACAGCACCAAGTACACCACTGGTCAGGGCTGTCAATCCACTGAGCGTTCATCCCAGGACAACCACACAGCAAGTGCAGGAAAGGGGTACTTAGGAAAGTCCATGTCGTCAACTTTGCCGAAGCTGGGCCACTCTGACAGTAGATGACAACACACTGTATCTCTTATGCTCTGTGTTTCTTTTCCCAAATGTGACAAATGTCTTGTATTTGTGTCGTGGAGTTGGAGTAGCCCAGGGCTCAGCCCTCTGAACTCTGTTCTTTATCTACATTCACTCTCTAGTTGACTTCATCTAACCCAGGGCTTTATATACCAGCTATATTCAGTGTCCTCTGGTTTATATTTCCAGCCTCACCCTCTCCTGTCAATTGCAGGCATCCAGCTCCCTGTTTAATATCTTTACTTGGTTGTCTAAGAGATATCTCAAACCTAACGGTACCAAAAGTGAACTCCTAATTCTCCACCAACATCGCTACTGTTAAACTTGCTTCACCCTTTTTCAGAAAATGACAATTCAGCTCATCTAACACATTATAATTACTCTTTACTCCTCTATTTTTCATATACTCATAATTATGTTATCAGTAGATTCTATAAACTCTCATCTCAGGATATATCCTCAGTCTGACCTATTCTTGTGATCTTTCATATGTCATTCTGGCCTAAGCTTCCATCATCTCTCATCTAGATTATTACAATAGACTCTTAACTGGCCCCATGTACTACTCCTGCCTCCTCCCAATATAAATTTCTCCACATAGTGTGAAGAGATATTCTTTAAAAGCTAAGCCAGATCATGTTATTTCTCTGCTCAAAACTCTCCATTGGTTTCCCATGGCATTCAGGAAAAACAAGAAAAAAAGTTTACAATCTGAAAGGTTGTAATGAAACTGTAATGTAACTGAAATTTTACTAAATTAATCAGACTGTGAACTTTTAAAATGCAAGCTTATCATATGGAATTTACCTTTATTTTCAGGAGGAAAAAACTCAGGACTGCAGTGGACATTTGTCCAATTGGTGGCCAACAATGAGCTTTGAGTAAATTTTCTATATTGAAGGAGCTTCTCATCTTATGCATGCCATCTCTGCAAATTAGAAGCTGGGACTCAATTTTCCAGTCTCTCTTGCAACTAGGATATAGACATGTGACCTGTGCTCTGGCCATTAGTTGCAGCCTTTTGAGATTTTCATTCACAACATAAAATGCGAAAAAGCAGGCACTGACTGAATCCATTCCTGGAGTACGTAAGTAGCAGAAAGTGATGATGGTGAGCTTCTATGGACATTAGTGCCTGACATCCCAGTACTGTGGTAGTATTCACACGCTTGGTTCCCACACTGTCAGTGCCAGGCAGAGGTGAGATTGCAGCTAAACACATTCCAGAAAGGTGATTGCATCTTATCTGACCCTATTCTCTATCCAAATTGGAGGTTCTTTGACCTACCCAATATCTTCTCATAAATTTTACTTGAACCAGTTTAAATAAGTTTTGGCCATGATTGATCAGACACTACGCCTGTCAGTAAGTCAAAAAAATTAAGAGGCTGGTCTTGTGTTTTCAAAAAGAGACACATCAATGGGCTAAATAGACACAGACTGTCATCAGTAGTCTCTGATTTCATTTTTTTTAGGTATTGAAACATGATAAACTATGGTCATTGTCTTGCTTTATAAATTCCTATTATAAATTTTAATTTATAAAATATGTTTTTACTCACAGAGTATAACAGATAATTTTATTTTTCATGTGAACTGTTTTGTTAAACCCCAGTGTCTAGAAGTGTTCTAATAAAAAATGTTAAAGCTGTCTTGTTTGCAGATGAGAAAACAGCTTAGAGAGTTGTTTTTCCAGGACCTGATAGCTATTCATAGACATATCCAGGGCTACACTTGAGGCCGCCTGACTCCCAATTTCATGTATTTTTTATTTCAAGATGGTGTCTCAGTTGAAAACGGGTTGAACAGATACCTGTACATCTATGTTCATAGAAGCATTAATTACAATAGCCCAAGGGTCAAAACTACTCAAATGTCCATCAATAGATAAATGGACCAACACAATGTAGTATATACATACAATGGAATATCATCCAGCCCAGGAATGAGGTTCTGATATAAGCTGTAACATGGATGAATGTCATCAACATTATGCTAAGGGTAGTAAGCCACAAAATGACAAATGTATGATTCTTCTTTTATGGAATATCTAAAATAGGCAAATTTTCAACCACAGAAAGTTGATTAGAGGTTACCCAAAGATGCGAGAGGAGAGATGAAGGAGTTATGGCTTAACGAGTACAGAGTTTCTGTTGGGGTGATGAAAAAGTTTTGGGATTACATAGTGCTGATGGTTGTACAACCTTGTGAATATAATTAATGTCTCTGAATTGTACACTTAAAAATGATTAAAATGGCAAATTTTTCATGTATATATTTTCCCATAACTTAAAAAATTAAGAATGTAATTCCAAACGCCACTGAACTATGCCCTTTAATTGGGTGAATTGCATATCTCAATGTGAGATGATACATACATAGGTATTTGAATTATATCTCAATAGAGCTATTTAAAAACAAAATGTTCTGGTGAAAATGAGAACAATTTTTATAATACATAATACTTTTATAATACATAAGCATTAAAATATTCAAAAAGATGGTGTCTCATCCATATTCACTCAATGGAGTCAGCTTGTTGAGAAAAACAAAAGCATTCAGAAACTGGATGGTTGCAAAGCTGGAATGGACTTTTCTCAAAGATTGATGGGATAATTGGTTTGTTTACTCTATAGTAGAGCCAGATGTCATGCACTTTTAAACTTGTGAATTACAGTGTCAACGTAGTGTTCTGGTGGATGTTAATCTCAAGGATACCCAGATTTTAATCCCACCTCTGCCATTTAGTTGGTGTGTTGCATTGTCACTGGTCAATTCAGCAACACCAGTTGTATCCCTATTCAATTATAACATTATGACTATGTCAATGTTGTTCACTGCTGAGCCTAGTAGTTTACTCTGATTACATTTCCATTTTTACAGATTTTTTGTCTTTCTTGAATTGTTAATTGACTATTTCTCTGTTTGTTTGATTTTCAATCTTACCAGCTCTAATTCTTTGCTAGCTCTCCAAGAGTCTACTCTAAGTGGTATTTTTCCCAAGACAAAATGTATAAACCAAAAGAATTTTTTTCCCCCTGGAGTCATCCCTATTGGAGCTCTTCTCCTCTGGTTCCTTTTTAGCAATGTTTCTTCTCAGGCTGGCTACATGGCTGCCATCCTGGGCTTCCCTTTGCTGCTGTCTTACATTAGGGACCCAGAATTATGAGTTACTTAGGTTATAGGTTTACATACTTTTAGGTTTGTCCCATTGACTCAATGCAACATATCCTTCAGTAACTTCCTAGGCAGCAATTTCTGTATGATAAATTTTTGGGAAACATGAATTTCTAAAATGTTTCCATTCTGCCTTCATTTTTTAATATAGCCACAGCTTTATTGAGATATCTACATACCATAAAATTTACCCATTTAAAATATACAATTAAATGTTTTTGGTATATTTCCAAAGTTGTACAGCCATCACCATAATCTATTTTTAGAACATTTTATCACTGCAAAAAAAAAAATCCCTTATCACTAGCATCACTCCTTATTATCTACCTCATCCTAGTCTCTACAGATTTCCCTATTCTGGAAGTTTCATATAAAAGCAATCATACTATATGTGGCCTTTTGTGCCTGGCTTCCTTTGGTAAGCATAATATTTTGAGGTTTATTTATTTTGCAGCATTTATCAGTACTTCATTTCTTTTTATTCTATTGTTTGGATGTGACAGATTTTTATTATATAATTATAATATTGTATGGATATGACACATTTTTAATATCCACATTAGTGGATGGATAATTGGGTTGTTTCTACTCTTTGGTTACTCTGAATAATGCCTCTATGAGCGTCCATGTATAAATTTTTATGTGGACATGTGTTTTCATTTTTCATTATATATAGCTGTGGAATTTCTGGGTTATATGGTAACTCTATGTTTAAGATTTTGAGGAACTGCCAGAATGTTTTCCAAAATGGCTTCACCATTTTTCATTCCTACCAGCAATGTATGAAGATTTCATTCTGTACACATTCTCACCAATACCTTAGTTGTATGTCTTTTTTATTATAGCCACTCTAGTGGGTGTGAAGTAATATCTCACTGTAGTTTTGATTTGCATTTTCCTAATGACTAATGATGTTGAACATCTTTAATGCTTCTTGGGCACTCATACATCTTTGGAAAAATATTTATTTAAATCCTTTCCTCATTTTTAATTGTGTTATTTGCCTTTTAATTATTGAGTTATGTGACTTCTTTGTGGATATGAATTCCTGATCAGGTATGATTTGCAAATATTTTCTTTTATTCTGTATGTTGTCTTGGCACTTTCTTATTGGTATCACTGAAACACAAAAGTTTTTAATTTGGATGAAGCCCAATTTATCATGTTTTATTTTATTGCTTGAGCTTTAGATATTGTCTCTAAGAAATCATTGCCTAACCCAAAATTATGCAGACTTACTTCCATGTTTTCTTCAAAGAGTTTTATCATTTTAGCACCTATATTTAGGGATATGATTCACTTAGTTAATTTTTGTGTATAGTATGAAGTGGAGGTCAAAAGTCATCCTTTTTCTTATGGATATCCAGTTCCACCATTTGTTGAAAAACCTGTTCTTCCCTCATTGAATTGTCTTGGCACTTTGGTCAAATCCTTTATTTTATTTTCTTTTTAAGATGATGGAGTCTTGCTCCACCCAGGCTGGAGTGCAGTGGCACAATATCGGCTCACTTCAACCTCCGCCTCCCAGGTTCAAGTAATTCTCCTGCTTCAGCCTCCTGAGTAGCTGGGATTACAGGCCTCTGCCACCATGCCCAGCTAATTTTTGTATTTTTACTAGAGTCGGGGTTTCACCAAGTTGGCCAGGCTAGTTTCTAACTCCTGACCTCAAGTGATCCACCCGCCTCCGCCTAAATCCTTTATTCTTGATTGATAGTTTGGCTGAGTATTCATTCCAAAAATATGTATTAAGCCCCTATTAATTTCCAGTCTTGCTCTAGTCTCTGGGTATGCAGTGGTCAAAGACTGATAAGCCTCCTGTACACAGGCACTATCAGTGCCTTGGACCATTCAGTGTACTTTCCCCTGTGTATCTACATCTGAAAGTGCCGTGGAATTAACACTTTCCTGCAGCATCTCCCAACCAATGGCTGAGAAAAGTTAATTTGTATAATTTCTCCAGCTCTCTCTTCACTCGGATGGGGTAATTCTATAGCATTGGTCTTATTCCATTTCCCAGAGTTTCTCCATGAGAATTAGCTCTAGTCATTCACTATGATAGTTAACCTAATAATGCATCCTTATTGGCTGTTTTCCCTTCCCTATATCACCTTTGCACTTTCCTGCCATTTTTCCCTACAATTTTCAAATAAACTCTGCACTCAAGTGCTTATCTTGGGGTTTGCTTTGGGAAAAGCCCAAATTAAGGCATTCCTTACTTCCAGGAGCTTGCATTCTTTTTATTATTATTTCAATAGGTTTTGGGGGAGCAGGTGGCATTTGGCTACATGGATAAGTTCTTCAGTGGTGATTTCTGACATTTTGATACACCCATCACCCGAGCAGTGTACACTGTACCCAGTGTGTAGTCTTTTATCCCTCGCCCCACTCCCACTCTTCCCCCGGAGTCCCCAAAGTCCATTGTGTCATTCTTATGCCTTTGTGTCCTCATAGCTTAGCTCCCACTTATAAGTGAGAACACATAATGTCTGGTTTTCCATTCCTGAATTACTTCACTTAGAATAATGGTCTCCAACTCCATCCAGGTTGCTGTGAATGCCATTATTTTATTCCTTTTTATGGTTGAGTAGTAGTCCATGGTGTGTATACATATACATATGTATATATATGTATATGTGCATATATGTATATACATATATCACACACATATATATCACATATATACATATATAGCACATATATACACATACATACATACATATATACACATACATATATATATATCTCTCACATTTTCTTTATCCACTTATTGATTGATGGGCATTTGGGCTGGCTTCATATTTTTGCAATCGTGAATTGTGCTGCTATAAGCATGTGTGTGCAAGTGTCTTTCTCACATAATGACTTCTTTTTTTCTGGGTGGTTACCCAGTATTGGGATTGCTGGATCAAATAGCAGATCTACTTTTAGTTATGTAAGGAATCTACACACTGTTTTCCATAATGAGGGCTTACATTCTGGTGGAGAAGGTGGGACTATAATACATAAGGGATTTCTTTGAAGAATTTTACTATACAAAGAGCATAGGAAGAAAATAGCAGTTAGAGACATGGAGTTAAGAGATGTTCTTTTTCATGTTTCATAATATTAAGGCATGCTTGTGCACTTAAGGAAATCATCCAACATACAGGGAGAAATTAATCATGCAAAGGACAAGGGGCCTAATTGCAGGAGGGAAATCTTTGAGAAGGTGAGCGGGATCTGAGCATACATAAAAGCAATGGCTTTAGGAGCAGGGCCAGATGAACAGGAGGAAAGCAAAAAATATATAAAATTACAGGTCATAGAATCTAAGCTAGTTAAAAAGTGGGCAGATAAGGTAAGTGAATGAATTGCAGGAGCATAAAGTATTGAGGCAATCAAGGAATGAAGTTTAGAAGAAAATAGAGAAACTAGAAAGGAGAATGGGATACTAAAAACAGATTTTTGGAGGTTGTTCACATAGAGACAATTGCATGGTCTAGAGTATAAGCATGGAAAGTGTGGCTAACATGAATAGAAGATCAGATTCTTGACGGTAAGGAGGTTAAGGACCTAAGTGATTAAGGTGTTGGATGGAGAATGAATCGTATCTGTAATGTGGTGGTTAAGAATGATGAAAAGAGGACATGTGGAAAAAAAGAGAGTAAGTTACATGCCAAGTCAATGAACAAGAGCAGCAGACAGCTAGCTCGATGGTGACTAACTGCAGCACTCTGGAGTGGAGGGGACTGGGGCTTCCGGAGAACTGGGATGTTCTAGGAAGGAAAGGCAATGAGAAGGACCCCTGCCCACTTCCAGTTCCAGTGATACCAGGACCTGGGAGGACAAAAACAGTTAACAGAACTGTAACCAAATGACTATGGGGGAGGCGGTATTCCCAGAGGAGAACCTAGTTTCAGTTAGAGCAAGAAATTGAAGCCCTCCTTTGGACAAGAGGTTAAGGATATGGAAAATTTTGTTGATAATAAACTGTGAATTCCAAAGGGCACAGTGGAAGGATTGGGGCATTGGGTAACGTGAAATGTTTGGCAAATCTGGATGTACAGAATGTATAGGGATACAGGTCTGGATAATGTGGGAAGATCTAAGAATGCAGGGCTTCTGGGGACAGTGTTCAGAGTAGTAAAGCAGAATGAATGTGTCCTGATGTGGTCTGTTAGGAGAAATTGGGTAATCAGTTCTAATTTTAGCTTCCTTCATAGAACTGTTATTTTAGGCAGTTTTTAGCAGTAAAGAGAGAAATATTCAGAGACCATATTGTCTTGTCAAGAGCACAGAGATCTGTGTTCCTTACCATCAATTTAAATCCTGCTAAGGAGTGTGCCAAGACAGTATTCATGGTATTGCTCCATAATTTCCTAGTATTGCTTCCAGAAGGCTAATGCCATTATTCTATTTTATTCTTTGAGGAGCATCTCATTCCCATCCTATGGTGTCTCTTAGAGTAATCTGTTTACCCCAATGCTCTGAAATTTTAAGACCGTGTGTCATTGTGTGGGCCTTTTTTATTCATTGAGTTCAATACTTGGTAAGCCTTTTGCCTTTTCAGTCTGGAAATGAATGTTCATGTGTGTGTGGTGTGTGTGTGTGGTGTGTGTGTGTGTGTGTGTGTCTGTGTGTCTGTGAATATTTCTCATAATGGAACTTTCCTTGTTTATCATGGCTAAGAAGGATGCACTTGAAAATGGATTGGAGGATATGAGTGAATGGGTAGAAGGGAAGTGAGGATTTCACTACAGGCCTTTACTGAATCCTCCTGGTTTTAGTGTAGCAGCTCTCCCTCAGGGTCTGCGATGCCTGGTGTTGTCAAGTTCAGAGCTCTTGTGCTTCAGTTTATCCACAGAGCATATGTCCTATTCTTTGCTGGAATAAAGAAGAGGTAACTGCCTGGCTCAAAGGAAATAGGATGACTTGTTTACAATATAGAAATAGCCTCATGCCCCACCCCCACCTTCCTTGGTAGCTGGTCCTCCAACTTCTAGATCTTTCCAAGATTCTGCTATGTTAATGGAATTTCTTTTTGCTGCCATTTCCCTTCTGCAGATCCTACTGTTCAGCTGTCTCCTGTCTTTCAATACCTCCATCCCCTTTCCCTCTGTGAGCTGGTTACCTATCATTGCGTTGAACAAATCATCCTAAAACTTAATGGTTTAAAAACAAAAACAATTATTTTCTTTCCTCTCACAGTTTCTGTGGGCCAAGAATTCTGGAAGCACCCAAGTGGGGGGCTCTGTCATGCAGTTTTAGTCAAACTGTACTGGAACAGGCATGATGGGGATAGGCCAGCATCGCCCTCCATGCAGTCTAAGGGCTTTTCCATGTGATCCCTCCACATGGGTCACTTTAGTGGCCTGAAGGTAATAGGGCCTCTTACATGGTGGCTTATGGCTAAGATAAGCAGAAGCTACATGTGTGTTCTGACTCAGCATCAGAAGTCACCAAATGCTACTTCAGCTTTCCTATTGTTCCACCAGTTAGCAGATTCAAGGGGAGGGACATAGAAATTCCACCACTCAATGAAAAACAGATAATTTCCAGCATGTTTTAAACTGATGCATTCCTTTTAAAATTATTTTTTTCTTATTTCTTTTCAAGAATATGAGGTTAGAAACAGCTGTCATTTAGATCATGAATATCAGTTGCCAGCCTTTGAAACAGCAGGTAAAGTAAGTTGGAATTAATTAGCATTTAGAAAACTTGTGCACTGTATCACACCAATGCAAGAAAATGCCTGTTGTTTCTTGCAAATTACTTCGTCTATTAAAATTAGTTTGGATAGAAAGACAAAAACATAGCCAGAAGTTGAAACATTGAAAAAAGAGAAGAGAGTCCTCTTCTCCTTCTAAAATACTGTACTCATATTCATAAGTTCAAAGGTATCATCAGATGAAAAATACGTCTGAGTTTATTGCACTCAGGAGCACACTATAATTTCACATTCTGATGGAACATCCAACACACACTTCCTTATGACCATCTCTAGCACTGACCAACACAATGGCTCTGCAGAAATTTCTTTTCTCTTTACTTTTTATTTGAAAATAATTTCAAAGTTGTAGAACAGTTGTAAGAATAAAGATAGTATATCGAACACCCAGATACTCTTTACCCATTTTCACTTACTATTAACATTTTGATCTATTTGCCGTTTGTTCTATAATTTGAGTGCCTCCTCTCTTTCTCTTTCCCATTCACTTTCTCCCTATATATGTGTGTACCTAGGTAGGCATACGCATGTAACATATGCATATGTATACATCTCTGTATATATAAATGCGTAATAGCTTTACAAGCCAAGTGAGAATAAAGTTGCATGAGGTCATGATGTGTGCAACTTTACCCTCAAATGGTTCAGAAAAAATAAACACACATGCACACACACACACATACACACACACTTGATGTCCTTTATAGCATTTTTCCATGTGTCGTCTCGTTAGTTTCCTGTATATTAGAACATTTCCCCAGCCTTTCCTTTTCTTTTAAAGCAATGACATTTTGAAGAATACAGCCAACCCCCTTCTTCACTTTTTAAATAGAACCTTCCTCATTTTATCTAATGTTTCCTCGTGCATACATTAAGTTTATGCGTTCTAGCCCAGAATACTACATACATGATGTTGTATTGTTGTCTGGGTACCAAAATCAGAGGCATAGGATGTGTCCCTCATTGGTGATGTTTATTTTAATTACCTGGTCTTAGTGTTGCCCAGTATCTTCACTGTATGGTTGCTATTTTTTCTTTGCAAGTAAAAAGCAATCAGTGGGCAGGCACTTTAAGATCATGAAAATATCCTGCTCCTCGTCAAAATGTCCCCTTAGATTAAGCATCCATTGATGATTCTTGCCTGAACCAGTCTTCATTATGATGATATTATTAAATGATTAATTTCTAGGGCCATCCCTCCTTCCTATCTACAAGTTGGCACTCAGCATTCTCTCGTAAGCAAGAACCCGTCCTTATCCATATATATATGGATATATATGGATATATATATATGGATATATATATATGGATATATATATATGGATATATATATGGATATATATATATCCTTATTCGTATACATATATATGCATACATACACACGTGCATATGCACATATTTTTTATTTTTTTAATTATTTATTTATTTATTTATTTATTTATTTTAATTTTGGAGATGGTCTCACTCTATCACCAGGCTGAAATGCAGTGGCATAATCTTGGCTCACTGCAACATCCGCCTCCCAGGCTCAAGCAATCCTCCCACCTCAGCCTCCCAAGTAGCTGGGACTACAGGTGCATGTCACCACACCCAACTAATTTTTGTATTTTTTTGTAGAGAAGGGGTTGTGCCATGTTGCCCAGGCTGGTATTAAACTCCTGGACTCAAGTGATCCGCCCACCTCATCCTCCCAAAGTGCTGAAATTATAGGCATGTGCCACCATGCCTGGCTACATTTTAAATATATAAGAAATCATGAGGCCAAACATACCTCTAAATGTAACCCAGCTTCACTTGATTTCTTCATGCCTTCCTGCATTCCATAGTTTTTTGTCTCCTCCTTCATAATGAGAATCTTGGTTCCCCAAAACATTAACACATTTACTCATGGGTTTGATCCTATAATATATTTAAAATATTTCAAAAATTGTTTTGCCCATATCTCTGCAACAAATGAAACTACTAATAAGAGTTTAGGCTTGGTTTGCATCCCCCCCCGACCCACCAAGACTGAGGATATATTATTAAGTATTATGTTCTTGTATTCCTTAGATGATTTCTCCCCTTCAAAATGGTTATTTAATTCATTTGAAATAAAATAGGTTCCTTTGTTCACTCTTCATTCATTTGTATGTCTTGTCATCTGCTGTTTTCTCCACTTCCACTCATGTTCAATGTTATATCTTTGCTCTCATATTAGTGGAGTTTGGAGGAGATGTAGACAGATAGGTACATTACTCACAGTATTAACTGAACCAAAGTGATTTTTAAACATGTAAAACAAGTTAAATGTGTATTTGTCACAATAGACTTAGTTGTGCAGCAAAGCAATCACAAAATTTCAGCACTTAACATAGTCTTCCTTTTTCTCATTCATTCTACGTATACTGCATAGATGAGCTGCGTAATTGCAGTCACCCAGAGACCCAGGCTGATGGAGGAGTGGATGTGACACACTTCCGTGAATATCAGGATGGGGGAAGTAGAAAGTGATAAATAAGACACTGACTCAAAGATTTTACTGAAGCATGACATATGTTACTTCTCACATTTTATTGGCCATGTCTAACTTAAAAGTGGGCTGGAAGGTGTAATCCTACCATGTGACCATAGGAAGAGAGAACATTTGTGCACAGAGCTATCAACTGCAACAATATTTCTGGTCCCAAGTTCTCCAGTGTCTTTCTGTCACTCCTAAAATAAAATCACACTCCTTACTATGGCCTAAAATCTCTCCATGATATGACCCTTACTACTACCACAGGCTCATCTTCCACTGCTCTTCCCTTTGGACTGTACTCCACACTAGTCTCCTTGCTATTTTTCAGAATTACCAAATTTTTGCCACACCGAAAACACTTTGCAATGCTTCCCCTCTCTGGATCACTTTCTCTAATACCCTCACGTGGCCTACTGCCTCCATTCATTTAGATCTCCATTCAAATGCCACTTCCCCACAGAGGCTCTTTATGACATATGTTACTGCTCACATCTTCTTGGCCATGTCTAACTTAAAAGCATGCAGGAAAAGTGTAATCACCCTCTATAAGCACGCACACATACACACACACACACACACATATACACACTGGTGTCTCTCTCTATCAACTTATGCTACTGCCTTCATACCAATTATCACTGCCCGATATATTATCATATAATCATTTTTTCATTTACTCTTTTTCTCTAGAATAAAGCAGGCTGTTGTCATGGTGTTTATATACATTATCACCATAGTTCTAGGACCTAGAACAGTATCTAGCACAGAGGGGGTGCCCAATAAATATTTGTTGAATGCATGATTAAATGCTTCCCACACTAATAATTAGACTAAGCCCAATCACAAGCCTTATTTAGACAGGTGCTGAGGACTTAGTGAGCATTCAAGTAGAGAACTTCCCTGGGCTCTGACACAAAGGGCAGCCACCCGTTGTCATAAGTGGTTTGACCTTCCTCGCCTATGACCTTTTGCATCATGTGTATCCCCACACTTGGAAGAGCTACTAAGCAGGCCAGAGGAGAGCTTTTCCTTGACCTTCCTAGGTTTTCTCTAACTCTATGGTCTTACTTATTTCTCTGACTACATATGTTTGCATTTCACTCTTTTCCAGTTGCTGAATATCCTTTCCATGCCTTACTTACTGTGTACCTGATCCTGTTTCCCTAAAGCAAAGCGAACCATTCATTTTGCTTATTCTACTGCATGAATGCACTTAATCATTTTCATGCAAACAAAAGATAGGTAGAGGAGGGACCATGCCTTGCTGGCTGCTATATCTCCAGTGCTTCTATGCATTGGGTGTGTCCTGGTGCACAGTAGGACTCAACACATATTTGTTGGATGAACACATGAATAAATGATGACTCCCAGTTTATATTTGCTATACATTGATGGAGTACTTGTATTTCTGATATACTGTGCCAGCTGCTGAGGACTCAGAAAATAACTAGTCTTTATTCTGGAGTTGTCCTTGTCTTCTCTGGTTCTGCCTGGCTTGCTGAGCAGCAGTCTCCCCCTTCTGGGAAGGGTTCTTCCTAATACCGCTTTCGGCTGCCCTCACTGCCTCCAACACCAATTAGACAATGCCTGATAACTTCACCTGGCATTCTGTATGTTGTCTTCTGGATTCCCCACCCCTAACAAGTCCCATGCCTCCTCTTGAATCTGCCATTGCTAAGCACCAGCTGATGATTGCCCAGACAGAAGCCATCTGCTGGTTATTAAGGAAAGTTAAATAAGCAAATATGCTCCAGGGAAGTTTAGAAAAAAAAAAAAAAAGCATACGCATAGAGAATTGGCAACTGGTTGACCCCTGTGACACAAGGTTCATTGTGGCTATGTTAGGCATGCGTCCCTCAGGATTACTCAGCTTACTGGCTCATGGGAAGCCCTTCTGATGAAGCCTGCCCTCATGCTCCTCCCTAGCACAAAGGCAGCCCCCAGCACTTCATTAGATGCTTCTGTCATTCACTCTATCTGAAACACAGTCTCATTTGGGACCAGGGTGGGCCTGGTTAAGTGCATAGGTTTGGTGCTAGCCTTACAGTATTTAGTGAACTTTGTATTGGGTAGTCAACAATGAACAAAACAGACCCTACCCCTGATATTATGAAGAAGATAGTAGAGTGGTCAAAGCCATAGTTTCGATGACAGAGATGGGAAGTGGGGTAGGAGATTTGATTAAAAGCGCTGCTCAGAGGGCAATAGGGTCAAAAACAAGAATGTCAAAACTGATAGTTAAAAGCTGAGCCAAAGATATGGTATTACACCAAGGGCCAGAAGCTAGCTGGACATGGCATGTGGAAAGAGCAAGGTCGGGAGAGAAGACAGGAGGGTCCTTGGTGACTAATAAGGATGGGATTAAGACCCTCAGAGCTTACTTTCAGTCACCATACATTTCTTGGTGCACTGAGAGGTCAGAAGGGGTTTTCAGAAATAAGGTAGGCTCATTCCATGACCAGTCATTTAGTATTTGTTAATTACTACTATGTACTGGTCTTACACTATATGATCCAAGAGATAGATAAATAGGACCCAAGCCTAGTTACAGGGTTCTTAACAGGCTTACAGGGAAGATAAGGACCACATATATTGATTAAAATATTAAAACACTCAAGGTTCTGCTTCAGTTATCTGATTTTTTGCTTTATTATTTTTTTTAAATGTGAAGAACCTTAAGAGAAATGCTATGAAAGTTTAAGCTGTAGGACTATTTCAAGCTTAGAAAAACAGGGAAAGTGACATTTTTCTGGGCCTTGAAAGCCATGTGGGAATTGGACATAAAACCATGTAGTCTGGAGAAGGATCAGAGATAAATAAAAAGGAAGTTGTAAAGCAACAGAATGTAGAGGTAAAGAACATGAACACTGGTATTGAACTGATCAAGGTCAAACCTTGGCCCAGCTACTTAGCTGCTGAGTGACCTTGGGCAAGTAACTTAACCATTTCTATGTCAGTTTCCTTAGCTAGTGTGGAAATTGTTTTCAAAAGTGGCCACAATTCCTCCCATGCTCCTTACAAAGGTACGTTGCCATTCTTTCCTTCAAGAGGGGAATCTAGCTCCCCTCCCTTCCATTTGGGCTGGGTATTTGCTTTGAGGAATAGAATCTGGCAGAAGTGGTGCTATGCTGGTCCAGGCTCAGGCCTTAAGAAGCCTGGCAGCTTCTGCTTTCACCCTCTTGGAAGCCAGCCAACATGGAAAAGAATTCCAGCTAGACCACTGAACAGTCAGAGACCATGCGGACAGAAGGGACATGTGGAGGAGAATTGAGGTGCCCAGCAGACAGCCAGCATCAATGCCTCAGATGTCAAATGAGACCGTCTTGGACCTCCCCATCTTAGTTGAGCCACAGCAGGCAGTGCACACAGGACTGAGATGAACAGTCCAGCTGAGCTCTGCCCAAAGTCCTGGCCCATAGAATTGGGAGCAAAGAAATGGCTTTTGGTCAAGCCACTATGGTCGGGGGTGATTTAAATTACCCGCTTCATTGTAAACAGCCTAACTATCTCCTTTGTTCACTACCTCATTACTGCAAGAGATGGCAGAGTTTGGTTAGCAATGCAGAAAAATCTCCAAGTATTCCAGGTGTAAAGAACTTACCCATCCACTTGGAAAGCTGGGAAGCAAATGTCAGGGAGGCCAACACTGAAGATTCAGCCTGAGGATCTGAAATGGGCTCTAAAGAGCTTGCCATCAAGTCAATGAAATATGAAGAGCTCTGGGAAGCTCTTGATTGTGCTGTCCTGTTGCAGCAAAGCAAATGGTCTTGACAGCTCACAAAAGAACCTCTCTGAATTCTGTACCTGTACCTACTTAGGGCTGCAACTGACTGGAGAAGAGCAGTGTCTCCTTCCGTCATACCTACCAAATATCCTGTTTCTCCTACTCATTGGTAAGCTCTAACCCAAACTGTATGGGAAGGAGATTCTCGGAAATGGAGTCCATGGCTTCTTAGAGTCTTTAGCTGGAGTGCTAATAATACCGAGTTGACAATGGACCATTCAGCTCAAAGTGCAATTCATTAGTTGTTAGAGAGTCTTGACCTGTTCAGGTCTTTGAATTGGACTATGCTTCTTCCCCATTCCCAAAAGTTTTCACCAGGTCAGATGATACAGAACAACAACAGGAGGAAAAAGAAAAGAGCATCCAAAAATGCCAACAGAATATTCCCCTCCTTCTTCCTTGAAAGTAGTAAGGCAAACAATAGCAGAAGTCCTGGGGTGGTACTGAGAGGGTGGAGCAGAATACTCCAGGTGACTGGAGCCATTAAAAAAAAAAATCCCTGGCAAGAAGACTTCTGTAAAGGAAGGGAAAAATAAATATCTGCTGAGAGCTACTTCCACTCAATAAAATCTTGCACTTGTTCTAAAAAAAAAAAAAAAAAGCTTCCAGTCACAGATCAAGATATCCCACTAGAGAAATTAGGACCTGCTCCCTCTAGTGATTGGGGGTTACCGGGGTTTACTCATGATGGAATTGTTTGAGACTTTATGGAATTAGCCTGCAGACTTTATGGAAGATATTGGTGTTCACTTATTTACTCCACAAACATTTTTTGAACTCCATGAACTTGGAAAGTTGTCAAGGATATACAGTTTCTTCCCTCAAATCTAACAGTAAATTGATACAAATAAGTCAAAAATATACAATACACTAAAAAATAAGTATATTTAGTCAAAGGGAACATAAGGATTTTATCCAAATACCACATGAGGAAGCAGTCAATTCTAGGAGTCAGGGGTGGGATTTGGAAAAACTCAAAGACAAATAGCTTTTATATCCATACTTTTGAAAAATGACTAGAAATCCATAGCAGACAAAGAGGATCAAGGACATTCCATGCACACGCAAAAACATAGAAATAGGAAATTATGTGGTGCTCTATGGACCCATAAGTTGTGCAATAGGTCTGAGATCAAGTATGTCAGTAATATAGGCAACAACAGAGACAGGGTAGAAGGAGGAGTTGGATCAGCCTGTAAAGACTTCTGAATGCCATCAGGAGAGTTTGAATTCTGTTCTTTTTCTTTCATTTTTTTTTTCAGAGATGTGGTCTCACTATGTTGCCCAAGCTGCAGTGCAGTGACCATTCACAGGCACAATCATGGCACACTACAGCCTCTAACTGCTAGGCTCAAGCCATCCTCCTTCCTCAGCCTCCTGAGTAGCTGGGACTACAGGTGTGAGTCACTTCACCCAGCTTGGATTTTCTTCTTTAAGTCAGTATTTTCCAAAATGGGTTTGCATTTGCACCAAGGGTTGCACTACATTCTCCATCAGGATGCTGAAAAAAAATTTTGATAATGATAATATTGCTACAGCAGTCCTTTAAATGAAATACCCAAATAAACTGAAGGTAGAACAACACAGGGTTTAACTGAGGTTTTCAAAAATAATCAAATGCATCCAATTGCATTGCTGTCATCAAAAATATGATTATTAGTGCAATAAGGTAGTGTATACTGTTAATATTAGGTTGGTGCAAAAGTAATTGTGGTTTTTGCCATTATGGCAAAACCTTTTGCACCAATCTAATAACAATATGAGTATTAATATTTTTCTATCTTAATTTTTAATTTTTATTTTTGTATGTTTTATAACATAAATAATTTATGACCATAGTAGTACAGTTATATGATTTATAAATGCCTAAATAAGTTTATGTTGTTGGTGCATGCTGCAAAGTATTTTACTAATAGATGTGCATACTCAAAACATCTGAAGGCCACTCTGGCAAGTGATGGACAGCCATCAGGGGATTTCATATAAAACAGTCTCTTACTGTGAGTTTTTGGACATACCATTCTCATAACTGTTTAGAGAATAATTGAGGGAGAAAAGAATGGATGCAAGGAGACCACTTAAGAATAGTCAAGGTGGGAAATAAGGGTGCCAGATTAGGTGGTTTTGATTATTTAAACCTCTTGAAATAAAATGCAATTAAGACTATGTTAAAGCAAAGGGCACCAACTTTCTAGTGGGCACCAACTTTCACTAGAAAAATGAAGATTCTCCATTTTCATCCTGACAGAGAATCCTGTGCAACCCCTGGTGCAAATGCAAATCCACCTAATCTTAGGGGTCTGGGAGATGCAAAACCGAAAGAACCATTGCATTCTTCCCAAAATGACTCAGGCTCTTAGTGGCAGAGACACAAGGGTTACAGATAATTTTTAAGCTAAGTTTTCAAATATTATGGATACTTCTTCCAGTAGAAAGGGATGCATAGGGCATTCCAGCCCACAAGATTATACATGCAGAAGCACAGAGCAATGAGTGTGCCTCCCTCATGGAGGAAATAAAGATGCCCTTAGATGGAGCCAAGGATGGGAAGTTAAGCTGGCCCAGATTATGAACAGCTAGGAATGCTGTGCTTTCTCAGGAATTCACACCTTATCATACAGTCAGTTTAGACAATGAATATTCTCTAGAAGTTTACTGGCGTGATCACTCTCATCGATGGCCTTAGATCTGGAGACATAGTGGTTGGAAAGAAACATGAAAACAGCCAAGCTCTCCTAGCAACTCTGGGAGTTGGCTTACTTCTGTAGTTGCACCTTAAGACCACATGGGGGCGGACTCAACCCATCGCATCCCAGAAGCTCTCTGGCTCAGCTGAGAACGTCAGATTTCACCTAAGCTCTCCAATTAACTGCACTCTTGGGTGCTGTTTTATATTGCCTGTCTTAAGGGGAATGCACTTTTTCTGCAGTTAATGATGCTTTATGGGTTTTCGCCAAATAGTCTTTGGGATTCTCCAGGTCAAATACTAATCTATTCTTTTGGTGTTTTAGTTTTCAAACTACACAGATGACATTCCATGGGATTTGGCAGTGCAGCCACTGACAGACCATGCACTGTTTTGCTTTACAAAATGTAGCACATTGTGTAGCCTAACCTCATACCTCTATGTTGTAGACAAAAAAAAATAAGTCTCAAGGAGGAGCATAGCACAGTGGAGAAATAAAAGTAGCTAGAGAGAACAGCATACAGGTCAGGAGACTGCATGAGTCTGAATCCTGTCTTCATCACTTAATGGATGAATAGTTTGGGGCTATCCTTCACTTCACCCCTATGTCTTCGTTTTCCCATCTTCCTCAAATTAAATTAGTTTTTTTTTTTACAAAATGCTTTTAAAATGCTTCAGAAGTTGCCAGGAATTAATAAGAACTATATGCATTAGGTATTATTATTTCAAAGATTATTATATTTATGCATATATAAGAACTATATGCATTAGGTATTATAATTTCAAAGATTATATCTTCATATTTAGAAATTGTATTGGTGCTATTGTAAATATAAAAGTTATTTTGTTATGTGTAAACTCTAACATTTTTACCTTATGAAATCTAATCTCTTCATCATCTTTTAAAACATTTGACATTCCTTAATGTCTCTTTCAGATTGCTTTATTTTCTGTACTTCTTAGAGTGTGAAGTTTTCCCTTACATTTTGTGTCTCTTGACTCAGTCAACAAATGTTTGCTGAATATTTACTGTGTACCGATCATTGGCGACATAGCAGTGAACAAAACAGACAAAAACCTTTCCCCTCATGGAGCTCACATTCTAGTGTGGGGAGCAGAGGAAGAATAAACTATCAGTGCATGTCATATGCTAAATGAGAATTAATGGTGTAAGAAAAAAATAAAGTAGGAAAGAAAGGAGTTGCAGTTTTACACAGAGTAGTCAGAAAAAATTCTTATTGAGGTGATAATTTCTGAGCAAAGACCAGAAAGAGATTAGGAAAAAGGACATACAGCTATCTTGGGAAACAGCTTTGCAGGCAGAGGAAAGAACGGAGCAGAGGCTCTGAGTCAGGAGGGTACCTGGCACATTTAAGGAGGGCAGGGTGCCAACAGTAGACTAAAAGAAGGTGAGAATCCTAGATCAAGTCAGAGAGATCACAAAAGCCAGGCCATATAGAGCCTTTCAGAACATCATGAGGATGGTGGCTTTTACTTTGAGTAAGATGGGAAGGCATTAGACAGGTACTTTAGCAATGGAATGGCATGATCTGATTTTGTTTTTAAACTCTGGCACGATTGTGCATGAATGTTCACAGGGCAGCCATAAAAGCAGGAAGACTGTTAAAGCAGGCTTTTGCCATAATGGAGATGAGAGATAAGGATGATTTGTGAAAAGATGCTAGCAGTGGAGGCAGTGAAAAATGATTGGCTTCTGGATAGATACACAAGGTAGACTGAAGTAGATTTGCCAATTAACACTTGAAGTATAAGAATGAGAAAAAATAGGATGATTCCAAACTTCTTAGCCTGAGAAGCCAGAGGATGGAGTTTTCATTTCTAGGATGTAGAAGACAGAGAGAGGAGCAGGTTTGATAGGAACCTATTCAAGTTGCCAACAGGACTTTTCTCGTAATTGGCTAGAGCAGCTGATTCTCAAGTGTATAATGAAAATTGAAATTTAAAGAATAGCCAGGAAATTCTGAAGAAAAGGAAATTGGGAAGTATGGGGACTAAGTCTAAAATTTATGGAAGATAATAATTATGCTTCTATAATTTAAAAAAGGCTCATATTAGCATATAAGTAGACAGAAAGCTCAATAGAGCCCATGGAGGCCCCAAATAGTTTTAACTGGATAGATAAGTAGATAGACAGATACATAGATAGATAGAGAGATAGATAGATAGATAGATAGATAGATAGATAGATGACAGAAAGAGATAGAGAGAATTTTACTTTCTGATTAAGATAGCATTTTAAATCAGTAGGAAGAAGATAGATTAGTTAGCAAATTGAATAGCCATGGTAGAAAAAAAAAATGAAGTTAGATCTCTCTCTTCGTCTCATAACAAAATAGTGTCAGATGGGCCAAAAATATTACAGCAAAAATTAAACCACAAAAGAATTCAGAGAAAATCTGGCGACATAATATTATTGCAGTAAAAATGCTGTTCTTAACCATTTTTTTAACCATTTTCTTAATTGTGTCAATTAAGCATGACACAAAGCTGTGAAGCCCCACTCCCCAAAAAAGTTTGATAATTCTGGCTACATTTTAAAAACAAAATTTCTACATGGTAAAAATACTATAGTCAAGGTCAAAGACCAGAAAAAATGTAAAGAAAATACTAGCAACATAAATAATAGATAAATATCTAGTTATCTTAGTGTATTATGGGATATACAAGCCAACAAGAAAAGTATCAACTACCCAATAGAAGAAATCTGGGTGAGGGTCATGATTTCAGAAAAAAAATAAATGCAAATGGCTTTTTTTAAAGTGGCATTTAAAATAATGCAATTAAAATAATGCATTTTTTGAAATTTAAAATTTTTTGACCTTTAAAATAATGTAATTAAAAATAATAAATAATAAAATTGAAACTAAATGTCATTTTTTACTAATCCAACTGGCAAATAACCACAAGCTCTGAATTGGCAAGCAAGGAAGAAACAGATATTCTTGTACGTAGGAAATAGAGACTCTTGGCAAGGAAATCCAGTCATATTTATCGGTATTTAAATGAAAATACCCTTTTGCCCAATAGTTCTCCTTTTATGAATTTGTCCTACAGACATACTCAAGAATTTTTAGGCCAGGCACAGTGGCTCATGCTTGTAATCCCGGTAATTTGGGAGGCCAAGGTGGGCAGATCACTAGAGTCCAGCAGTTCAAGACCAGCCTGTCCAACATGGTGAAACCCCGGCTCTACTAAAAATACAAAAATTAACCAGCCGTGGTGGCGCATGCCTGTAGTCCCAGCTACTTGGCGAGCTGAGGCGGGAGGATCTCTTGAGCCTGGGAAGTTGAAGCTGCAGTAAGCCGAGATCACACCATTGTATTCCAGCCTGGGTGACAAAGTGAGACCCTGTCTCAAAATAAATAAATAAATATGACTACAAACACCTTCTCTGAAGCATTGTTTATAACTTTAGACAGCTAGACACAATACCAATGCTCATTGTATGAGACATTATAGGTAGTCATTTTTTAAACTATAGAAATCTATACATACTTAAACGGCTAAGATATTTTATTAAACTAGAATTGCAAGGCTTAGGATCATATCTCTAGCAAGCAAGCAACAATTTGTACATTAAAGGGGCCACTAAGTATACAAATGCATATATGTATATATGAAGCTACATTTTGAAGGAATTACCTTTAGTTGCTGTCTCCACTTCAACTCCCATTTCTTCAGCATACCACAATCAAGCTTCCTTTCTAGCCACTCAACTGAGATACTCTGAGATCACCAGTGACTTCCACACTGATAACTCCAAGTACCACTTCTCTGTTCTTATCTCATTTTTTCTCCGCAAATTCAACACACTGACCAATCCCTTCTTTTTGAAGATCTTTTCTCTTACATCCTTGGTGATGATGTCGGACTTTCCCTTCTTTCCCTACAACCCTTTGTGGGGGGAAAAAAAAAAAACTGCTTCAGATATTTTCTGCAATACTTTTGAAAGCTCTTGAACTCAGTTATCTTGCTAAACCCAAAATCATGGCATATACTCATCGAACTTGCTAAAATTGACTGTTTCCTTGCTAAACTTCAACTACAGACCATACTTTCCTGGACTTGTTTACCTGTAGCCTGTCTAATTCTGACCACTCGTGCTAATCTCTGCATTGCCCCAACAACATATTCCTCTCTCTCCATCCGTATTTTCTCACAAGAAATCTATGTGCCCAGAAAACATCAGCTAATCACCAGGGGTGAGGACGAGTTGTACTTCCAGGCCCTCCTGCTAGCAGTTATGAAAGGTTTCCTCTCTCTTTCTCCATTCGGCTGGTCTTTATTTCAGGGCTCTTGCTGGCTCCTTCTCCTCTCTTCTACTTCTAAGCTTTGGCAGATCTAAGAGTCTTTCAGTACCTCTTGATTCTCTCTCTATATTCTTCCTAGGTGATTTCGTCCAGTCCTGTGACCTAAAAATACTTCTTCCTAAATCATCAGACCTGAATAATCAGCTTTCTACTTGACACGTCCACTTGGATAACTAATAAATACATCAAATTTAAAATGGCCAGAAGAGAATTCTTTATTGTTCCACTTAAACCTGTTCTCCTTTCATTTTTTTCTCATATCAACAAATAGCACCACCACCCAAAATTGAAACATTAACTATTTTTACTTAGTTGTTAAAAATTAGATACTTTACCTTTAGTTTCTTCATTTTGTAAAACGGGGTTCATAAGAGTACCTACTTCAGAGGATGGTTATGCAGTTAAGTGAGTTACTCTGTGCCCAGCACATAGTAGGTTCTTAAAAGATATGATTGTTATTATCATTATTTTTTATTACTCTCTTCTCATCAACAAGCTCGTTTTAACTCTACTTCCAAAAACATTTCTTGAATTCCATCTGCTTTTCTTCCCTCCCTCTGCTACTGCTAATCTAAGCCAATGCCATCCACCAACCTGTTCACTGCAATGATCTCCTAACCTGTCTCTCCTACTTCTGCTCTCACACCTACAGTCCACAATCTTTAAGGAAATTTAGCAGAAAAAAAAAATCAGATCATGTCACTCCTTGATTAAAAAGCTTCAACGGCTTCTAATCAAACTTAAAATATAAACCAAACTGACCCTGGCTTACACATTCCTTGTCCTACCTGATGTCTATCCTCCAACCCTGAAACATTGCCCCACTCCTCCCTCTCCTTCACACACTCTGCCCCGCCACAGGAATATGCCAAGATTCTTCCCATTTTAGGAGAAGAATCTTTTAGGCGAATCTTTACACTATCTAGTCCTTCTTCATGGAATGCTTCCCCCTCCCCTCAACTATAACTAGCTCTATTTCTGGCTCCTTCTTGGCATTCAGGGGTAAATTGCTATTCCTGCTCACAAGACCCTCCTAGGTCACCAAACCTCAAGCAGACACCAGTCACTTTCTTTCACATAGCTTTATTTTATTTTTCTGGATAATTCTCTGAATTATCTGATTTTTAATTTTTGGTTTATTGGTTTATTATCAGCTGCCTCCAGCCAGAACATAAGTTTCACAAAAAATGTGGTACAAAATACAAAAAATAAAAAAAGGTACCCCTGTATAAGGCACTTATCACGAATGGCGCTTGCAACACTGAACGTTGTTCTGGGTGAGTCAGTGTGTGAGTGGAGAGTGAATGTGAAGACCTAGGACACTACTATACTTGACTGTAGGCTTTATAATTTTTTCCATCAATAATAAATTAATCTTAGCTTACTGTAAGTTTTCTTATTTATAAACTTTTAAATTTGTTGAACTTTTCACTCAATAGCACAGCTTAAAACACATATTGTGCAGCTGTACAAAAATGTTTCATTTCTTTATGTCATTATACATGTTTTTCTATTTTTTATTTTTTTTAAACTTTTAAAACATTTTTATTAAAAACTAAGACACCAGCACACTCATTAGCCTAGGCCTACACAGGGTCAGAATCATCAATATCACTGTCTTCCACCTCCACATCTTCTCCCACTGGAAGATCTTCAGGGCAATAACAATGCACCTCTTATGATAACAGTGCCTTCTTCTGGAATACCTTCTGAAAGACCTGCCTGGGACTATTTTACAGTTAACTTTTTTTCAATAAGTGGAAGGAGTACACTCTAAAGTGATGATTAAAAAGTGTAGTAAGTACATAAACTAGTAACATAGTTGTTTATCATTAGCAAGCATTATGTACTGTACATAATTATTTGTATTATACTTTTATATGACTGACAGCACAATAGGTCCATTCACATCAGCATTATCACAAATATGTGAGTAATGTGTTACACTATGCCATTACAATAGCTACAACATCACTAGGAGATAGGAATTTTTCAGCTCCACTATAACTGTATGGGACCACTGTCATATAGGCAGGCCATCACTGACTGAAACATCATTTTGCAGTGTGTGACTGCACATAACCTAAGCCAGGCCAGCAGAAGACACTCTCCTCAAAC
The DNA here is from genome assembly GCF_000001405.40 of Homo sapiens. Classification (NCBI taxonomy): domain Eukaryota; kingdom Metazoa; phylum Chordata; class Mammalia; order Primates; family Hominidae; genus Homo; species Homo sapiens. The sequence continues at coordinate 59,941,167 of NC_000001.11, read as the reverse complement.
TTTGAAGTGCTCAAAAATCAGGAAAAGGTGTGTTAGAGTTCAATCTGTCACAGAGTACATTGTTGTTAACTATAGTTACCTTACTCTGCTATCCAACATTAGAACGTATTCCTTCTACTGAACTGTATATTTGTAACCATTAAGCTACCTCTCTTTCTCCTTCATCCCTTTTACCCAAACACACACCATTCCAAGACTCTGGTAACTATCATTCTACTGTCTACTTCCATAACGTCAACTTTTTAAGCTCCCACATATGAGTGGGAATATATTTGTCTTTCTGTGCCTGGCTTATTTCACTTAATATAATAACTTCCAGTTCCATCCATATTGCTAAAAATGACATGATTTCATTTTTTATGGGCAAATAGTTTTCCATTGTGTATATATACTACATTTTCTTTATCTACTAATCTATTGATGGACACTTGTCTAATTGTACTAACAGATCAATAGATATATTGATTTCATATGTTTGCTATTACTAATAGTGCAGTGGTAAACATACAAATGCAGGTATCTTTTTGATATAATTATTTATTTCCCTGTGAGTATGCACTCAGTAGTTGGACTGCTGGATTGAAGGGTAGTTCTATTTTTAGTTCTTTGTGAAATCTCCATACTGTTTTCCCTAAAGGTTGTACTATTAGTTTGGTGCAAAAGTAATTGCAGTTTTCGCCATTAAAAGTAATGGCCATTATTTTAATAGCCCTTAAGAGTTTGGCTGGTATCCAAGATGCAAGACAGTAGGACAGGGCACCAGTCAGAGTCATGAGACCGCCTTTCCAGGACTTAGCTACCAGATGACTTTTCTAGACACAGCCTGCATCAGAAGGGAACTTGCTGCCTTGAAAGGAAAGATCCAGTCCAGGAGTCATCACTTGCTAACTGAAGAGTCCTTGGGCCCTTATAACCAGCAGCAATACACAGGTAGTAAACTGTGGGCCTTGGGTGAGACTCTGCGACTTTCTGGCTTTAGGAGAGACTTAGCAAATTCCCAGCGGTGGTGGCTATGGGAAGAAACTCCTTCTTCTTGAGAAAAGTGAGGGAAAAATAAAGGGCACTTTGGCACCTTAAGTTCCAGCTCTGCCGCAGGGGGTAGAGCACAAAGTGAGCTCTTGGGAGTCTGCAATTCCAGGCCTTGGCTCTTGGATGGCACTTCTGGACCTTCCTTGGCCCAGGAGGGAACCCACTGCCCTAAAAGGTGAGTCCCAGGCCAGGCAGCATTCACCACAAGCTGACTGAAAAGCCCTCAGGCCATAAGGAAACATTGGTGGTAGCCCAGCAGTACTCTCCATGGGTCTGTGGTGGCGGTGGCCATGGGATAAGGCTCTTCTGCCTTTGAAAATAGGAGGGAAAAATGGGAAGAGCTATGTCTCGTGGTTTTAGTTCCAGCCCAGGTGCAGTGCAATAGAACGTCAGGTAGACTTCTAAGGCTTTTGACTTTAGTCCCTGGCTCCTGAACAGTACCTCTGGACCTGCCCCAGGCTTAGAGGAACTTGGCCCCTGAAGGGAAGAACACAAACCTGGCTGGCTTTGACATCTACAGCCCCAGAGCCTTGCGTAAACATAGGTGGTAGCCAGGGAATGGTTATAGCAGACCTTAGGTGAGATCCAGTGCTGGGATAGATTAGGTCTGAACCAGTGCAATCCTAGTGGTGGCGGCCACAGGGGTGTTTTTGTCACTCCACCCCCAACTCTAGGCAGCTTGGAACAGAGAGAGAGAGACTCTATTTGTTTGAGAGAAACTAAGAGCAGAGAACAAGAGTTTTTTACTTGTAAGCCTGAGAATTCTTCGAGATCTTGTCTAAGACCATCAAGGCATTACTTCTATGAGCCTGCAAGAACCACAGTGTTACTGGGCTTGGGGCGCTCCCTAATGCAGATACAGCTACAATTACAACATCTAAGTTTTTTCAGATACCTGGAAATTCTTCCCAGGAAGAACGGATACAAACAAGCCAAGACTGTGAAGACTACAATAAATACCTAATTATTCAATTGTAGGGAAAAGAAAGAGAGATCAGACTGTTACTGTGTCTGTGTAAAAAGGGAAGACATAAGAAATTCCATTTTGACCTGTACCCTAAACAATTGCTTTGCCCTGAGATGCTGTTAATCTGTAACTTTGCTCCAATCTCTTTGCCCCAACCTGGAACTCGCAAAAACATGCATTGTATAGAATCAAGGTTTAAGGGATCTACGGCTATGCAGGATGTGCTTTGTTAACAAAATGTTTACAAGCAGTATGCTTGGTAAAAGTCATCGCCATTCTCTAGTCTCGATAAACCAGGGGCACAATGCACTGCGGAAAGCCGCAGGGACCTCTGCCCTGGAAAGCCGGGTATTGTCCAAGGTTTATCCCCATGTGATAGTCTGAAATATGGCCTCGTGGGATGGGCAAGACCTGACCGTCCCCCAGCCTGACACCCGTGAATGGTCTGTGCTGAGGAGGATTAGTAAAAGAGGAAAGCCTCCTGCAGTTGAGATAGAGGAAGGTCTCTTTCTCCTGCCTGCCCCTGGGAACGGAATGTCTCGGTATAAAACCCGATTGTACATTTGTTCAATTCTGAGATAGGAGAAAAACCGCCCTATGGTGGGAGGCGAGACATGTTGGCAGCAATGCTGCTTTGTTACTCTTTACTCCACTGAGTTGTTTGGGTGGAGAGAAGCATAAATCTGGCCTACGTGCACATCCAGGCATAGTACCTTCCCTTGAACTTATTTGTGACACAGATTCCTTTGCTCACATGTTTTCTTGCTGACCTTCTCCTCACTATCACCCTGCTCTCCTACCACATTTCTCTTGCTGAGATACTGAAAATAGTAATTAAATACTGAGGGAACTCAGAGACCGGTGCCAGTGCAGGTCCTCCGCATGCTGAGCGCCAGTTCCCTGGGGCCACTGTTCTTTCTCCATACTTTGTCTCTTTGTCTTATTTCTTTTATCAGTCTCTCGTCCCACCTGATGAGAAATACCCACAGGTGTGGAGGGGCTGGCCCCCTTCATTCAATGTCCAGAGACAGATAACCATCCACAAATATGAAGACAATCCAGGAAAACATGCCTTCACCAAATGAACTAAATAGGCACCAGGGACCAATCCTAGAGAAATGAAGATATGTGACATTTTACACAGAGAATTCAAAATAGTTATTTTGAGGAAACTCAAAGAAAGTCAAGATAACGCAGAGAAGGAATTCAGAATTGCATCAGATAAATGTAACAAAAAGATAGAGATAATTAAAAAGAATCAAGCAGAAATTCTGGAGCTGAAAAATGTAATTGACATACTGAAGAATACTTCAGAGTCTTTTAATAGCAGAGTTGATCAAGCAGAAGAAAGAATTAGTGACCTCAAAGATGGGGTATTTGACAATACACATCAGAAGAAACAAAAGAACGAAGAATAAAACACAATAAAGCATGCCTAAGAATCTAGAAAATAGCATCAAAAGGGCAAATCTAAGAGTTATTGGCCTGAAAGATGAGATAGAGAAAGAGATAGGGGTAGAAACTTTATTCAAAGGGATAATAACAAAGAGCTCCCCAAACCTAGAGAAAGAGATCAATATCCAAGAAGGTTATATAGAACAAGAAAATTATAGAACGCTAAGCAGATTTAACCCAAAGAAGAAGATTCCTAACTGTGTTTAAGTTAGTTCCCAATGAGCTTGGCACACAGCCTATGGCTAACACTAATTACTCCCTTAAATATCGATTTTCCTTTTTTTTTTTCTTTTAGTAATAGAATGCCTTGGGTTTTAATAGACACATGGCTGCTAGCTAGAAACTACATTTGCCAGTCTACCTTGCCAACTAGCCATAGCCATTATTACCAGATTCTGGACAATGGGATATGAGTGTAAGTGATGAAGACAATTTTCAGATCATGGCTTTCAAAAAATAGATGCTTGCCATTTTAATGTTTTTCTTCCAATAGACTAGAATATGGCTGTTGTGCTGTTGAACCAGATATGCATTTGGGGATAAAGACTCCATCATAGGAAATGGAGAGGTAACAAGATGGAAAGCAACTGGAACCCTGGAGGGTTCGTGGAACAGAACCACCTGTCTGGTGGCAGGACCAGCTGCCAATCTCTGGAATGTTCTGTCAGAGATAAATTTTAATCCTGTTTGAATCACATGCATTTGGGATCATTGCTACAGCAGCTTACCCTATGCCTGAGCTAATATTCAGTACTCTCATTGCTTTTTATAAACCAATAAGTAACCTGAGTTACTCTGAGTAGAAATCAATTTGTATTTATGATATGTGCCCATAATAACTGAACATTTATTCCTAAAGTTAGTATGTAATCTGCTTGACACCTCACTGGCCAGTTAACAATTCCTTTGAAAACTGGTTCCAGATATCACTCCATCAGGGAATATCTGATCCCATGTCGTGGGACAGTGAGCCTTTGACCTGGCCCTTGATGTTTGTGCAGAATTTCAATATTTATTCTAGGCAGAGACAGCAGGGGAAAAAAACAAAAGTAAATAATCAACATAGAGCAAGGTACAAAAATACCTAATGTCCTGGAGGAAGTAGGACCTAAATTGAAGATGAACAGGATTTAGATTAATAGAAGGACTAGAGACGGCACCCCAAGGAAATCCAAGGTGCATGTGTTTAAGGGAAAAAATATTTATTCAGATGAAAGGGTGGAGTCACTGGGGCTAAAGTGCATGGTTCAAAATAATTGATGATTCAATCAGAGGGCTAGGCGGAAGAGCAAGTGTGGCATGATTATGGAGTTTTGGGAGACTAAGCAGAGGTGTTCACGTGTGACGCAGGGTAAAGGAATTCACTCCTGATTTTATAGTTTAGGAAAACAACACAAATTCTGCTGTCAAGCACAGATGGGTTTGATTTTTTGCTTTGCCACTCACTGGCATTTTAAACTTGAACAAATGATTTCAAATACACAAACTTCAGTTTCCTAATCTTAAAAATTAAGACAATAGCACCTACATCTGAAGTCTGTTCTAAGAATTTAGTGAAATAGTTACTGTAAAAAGGCCCATTATGACATTCAGCACATAGGTAAGTGGTGGATTAATATTCACATCTCAAGTGTAAGAGAGTATATTCTGGGCCAGACGCAGTGGCTCACGCCTGTAATCCAGCACTTTGGGAGGCTGAGGCAGGTGGATCACCTGAGGTCAGGAGTTCAAGACAAGCCTAGCCAAACTTTTTTTTGTACTAAAAACACAAAAAAATTAGCCAGGCATGGTGGCAGGCACCAGTAATCCCAGCTACTCAGGAGGCTGAGGCAGAAGAATCACTTGAACCTGGGAGAAGGAGGTTGCAGTGAGCCAAGATCGTGCCATTGCACTTCAGCCTGGGTGACAAGAGCAAAACTCCATCACATAGAAGAAGTAAAGTTTTTCCAGGCTGAAAAGATGATATCAGACTGACATCCTGATGATATTGAGTCTTTCTACCCATGTACGTGGAATATCTCTTCACTTATTTACACCTCCTATGATTTCTTTCATCAGAGTTTTGTAGTTTACTTAATATCTATTTTTACATGTTTTGCTAGATATATAACTATTTCTCTTTTCTTTTCTTTTGGGTTATCTTTTATGTTTTTCTGCTTTATTGAAATATAATTGGTAAATAAAATTTGTATATATTCAAGGTGAACAATGTGATGCTTTGATATAGGTATACATTATGAAGTGATTACTGATATCAAGCTGCTTATCATATTCATCACCTCATATAGTTACATGCATGTGCATGTGTGTGGTGAGAATACTTAAGATCTACCCTCTTAACCAAATTTCAAGTACACAATGCACTGTTAACTATAGTCACCATTCTGTACATTAGGTCTCCAAACTTATATGTCTTATAACTGCAGGTGTGTACCCTTTAACCAACATCTCCCCTTTCCCCACCTGCAATCCCTAGTAAACTGCCCTTTCACTCTGTTTCACTGAGTTTGACTTTTTTGGATTCCACATAAAATTGAAATCATACAGTATTTGCCTTTCTGTAGCTGGCTTACTTCATTTAGCATAATGTCCTCCACATTCGTCCATGTTGTTGAAAATGGCAGGATGTCCTCCTTTTTTAAGACTGAATAATATTCTGTTGTGTATATATATATATATATATATATATATATATATATATGTATATATATATATATATATATATATCCCATTTTCTTTTTACCTTCATCTATCAGGAGGCACTTAGGTTGTTTCTATATCTTGGCTGTTATAAATAATGGGATAATGAATATAGCAATGCAGTTATCTCTTCAACACAGTGATTTCATTTCCTTTGGATATATAACCAGATGTGGGATTGCTGGGTCATATGGTAATCCTATTTTTAATTTTTAAAAGAAACTCCATATTTCATAATGGTTGTACCAGTTTGCATTCCCACCAACAGTGCACAAGGATTCTATTTTCTCCATATCCTAGCCAACCCATATTATCTTTTGACATTTTGATAATAGTTATCTTAACATGTATGAGGTGATACCTCATCATGAGTGTGATTTGCATTTCCTTGATGATTAGTGACATTGAGCATCATTTCATATACCTGTTCACCCACTTGTATGTTTCCTTAGTAAAATATCTATTCAAGTCATTTGCCCATTTAAAATCAGGTTATTTGGGGATTTTTTGCTATCAATTTGTAGGAATTTCTTACATATTTTTATATCAACCCCCTATCAGATACACGATTTGCATGTATTTTCACTGCATTGATTGTTTCCTTTGTTGTGAAGAAGCTTTAGTTTGATATTCTCACTTGTATGTTTTTGCTTTTGTTGCCTCTGCTTTTGATGTTATATCCAAATCATTGCTAAGACCACTGTTATGAAGTCTTTCCCCTGTGTTTTCTTCTAGGAGCTTTAGGGTTTCACGTCATATGTTTAGGTTTTTAATCCATTTTGAGTTTATTTTTGTCTGTGTTATATAATAAGGGTTCAATTTCATTCTTTTACATGTGGTTATACAGTTTTGCCACACCATTGTTGAAGAGACTGTCCTTTCCCCGTTATGTAGTATTGATATCCTTGTTGAAGACCATTTGCTCATATATGCATGGATTTGTTTCTGGGCTGTCTATTCTGTTTCATTGGTCTCTAGGTCTGTCTTTATGCCAGTATCAGATTTATTTGGTTACTGTAGTTTGTAATGTTTTGGAATTAGGAAAGTTTTGTGCCTGCAGCTTTGTTTTTGTTTCTCAAAATTGTTTCACTTTTTCAGGGTCTTTTGTAGGTCCATATAAATTTTAGAATATTTTTTAATTTCTTCTGCAAAAAAGGAAAAGTCAAGAGGATTTTGATATGGATGACATTAAATCTGCAAATTAATTTCGGTAATATGGACATTTTAACAATATTAAGTCTTTCAATCTATGAACATGGGATGTCTTTCCATTTATTTGTGTCTTTTAATTTTTTTTAGCGATGTCTTGCAGTTTTCAATGCACAAATCTTTTGTCTCCTTAGTTAAGTCTATTCTTTTTAATGCTGAAGTAAATTATCTCTGTTCACAGATGACATAATCTTACATGTAGAAAACTCTAAAGATTCCACACACCACCCCCCAAAAAACTGTTAGAACTAATAAGCAAATTCAGCAAAGTTTTAGGATACAAAATCAACATGCAAAAATCAGCTGTGTTTCTATACACTAACAACAAACAATCTGAAAGGGATATTTTTTAATCCACTCTGATAGACTATATCTTTTAATTGGTGTATTTAGATTATTGACACTTAAAATGATTATTGATGTAGTTGGGTTAATATCTACCCTATTCTTATCTGTTTTCTACTCATTGCTCTTGTTTTTGTTTCTTTTCTGTCTTGCACTCATTTTTAGCCTTGTGTCATTTTAATTGAGCATTTTATATGATTCTGCTTTCTTTCCTTTCTTAGCATATCAATTGTATTTCTTTTATTAAACTTGTTTAAGGTTGCCTTAGAGTTGGCACTACACATTTCCAACTGATTGAAATCATTTCAAATAATACTATACTGCTTTATGGGTAGTGCAAGTACCTTATAATAGAATTTTTCTGATTTGTTCCATGCATTCTTTGTAACATTGCATCATTCATTTCACTTATCAATAAGCTATAATCACTGAATACATTGCTGTTATTTTTACTTGGAGCAAACTTATCTGCTAAATCAATTAAGAATAAGAAAAATCCTTTGGGAGGGTGAAGAGGGCAGATCACTAGAGGTCAGGACTTCGAGACCAGCTGGGCCAACATGGTGAAACCCTGTCTCTACTAAAAATACAGAAATTAGCCAAGCATAATGCCATGTGCTTGTAATCCCAGCTACTCAGGGGGCTGAGGCACAAGAATTGCTTGAACCTGGAAGGCAGAGGCTGCAGTGAGCCATGATTGCACCACTGCACTCCAGCCTGGGCAACAGAGCAAAACTCTGTCTCAAAAAAAAAAAAAATAGAATAAGAAAATAAAATATTTATCTTACTTTCATTTATCTCTTCTCTGGTATTCTTCCTTTCTGTATGTATATCTCAGTTTCTGGCCTAAATATTTTTCCTTCTTTCTAAAGAACTTCTTTTACTAGTTCTTGTAAAGCATGTCTACTAGTAAAAAACTCCCTCAATTTTTGCTTTTTACTACTTCTTCACTTTTTTGAAGCTTAGAAACTTAGAACTTACTTTTATAAAAGCATGTTGACAAATATTGAAATGTTATAGTTGCAATTTGAACATTATTAGATGAATATAAAACACAAAACACTCTAAATTGAATCTCCTATGGCTGACTCAATTTAGATATTATTTTATATCTTATAGAAAAAAACTTTCAGAGTTTTGTCAATGCTTATAGCATGTATTATTACTCCTCAATAAAATCTTCATGAAATCTCAAAGGTTGATAGTAAAAGTAATGATTTTTTTCCTATGGAATATCCTAAAACATACCTGTATAGATTAGCCTTCAGACTTTCAGGACGTTAAAAATATACAGAGTACCTCAGAATACTTTTCACACACTTAGGTTAAATTTGCTTACAGTTATGACAGAAATAACTTCAACTTTTATATAATAAAAAATAAATCCTAAGCAAACATAAAAGTTATGATGACCAAGTTACTACTTAGTAAAAATAATACACCACATCAATTAATGTTTAAACTAAATCCTTAAAGCATTCAAAAAACATTTATGGCTTCTAGTTGTCAAACAATGTATCTATGTTGTGGAAGAAGATGTAAGATCACTAATAGAAATTTTTAAATCTCAAATTATCCTGATTTCTGAAATAAGAAATTTGCAAAATAAGAAATTATCATTGTTGCTTGGGAAATACGCCTTACTTTTTTATCTCAAATTTCCTTTAAATTTTTGGTATATAATTTAATACCTAGAAGTATTCTAGCTAGATTTTATGTTAATATGTATAGAGTTCACTTTTTTGGATAAACAGGTTTTCAACAGTTTTTAATGCTGAAAATATAACTTCTTAGTTGTAATCACAAGTAATGATTGATTAATGGGTTATTGGTTTATTCAGAAATGTGGGTGGCATAAGGACCAATAAAGGGAATAATCTGATAATTTCTCTCTGTTATTCTGCCCACTAGTAATACTAAGACAATATGTTATATATGTTCTACTCAGTTTCACTTGTATTTTTCCATGTGTGTGCTTTAATTTAAAAAAAATGTACACAATGTCAAACTTTTTTTCTTCTTCCTTTTTTAAATATCAACTCAATGATTTGGGGGACTGGTTAATACAATGCTGAGAACTTGGTTGGGCTCCCAGAGGAAAAACTAATGATAATATGGGGTCCCTCTAAGACTAGGCTCCCCAGAATTTCTAAACTCTGAATCTTATTCACACTGAGCATCTAGCAATTTGTCAATTACAGCTTAAATATAAAATTTCAATTTTGAATTTAAAGTTTAAATTTTCCTACTGTGGTACTGGTGGTTTCTGCTCCCTAGGCTCTGATCCATTAACCTGTGATTGTTTGCATTTACCCGGATTGTGTGTCTCTAATTTTAGGAGTAAAAGTTTGCCCTGTTATCTTACTTTTCTTATCAATCTAAGAAGAGTTGTTAACTTTCTGTTTGTTCAGCTTTTTTCTTGTTGCGAAGACAGGAGTGATGACTTCCAAGCTCCATTCACACTGGACTGGAAACCAGACATATTTACAAATACTTTGTATAGCAGTTAAAAGGAGAAAGGAGAAGAAATACGCATTTATGCCATCTTTTATGATTGCATAATGAACTTTGCAATTTGTGTTTCCACGTAGTGTCTAATTACTGCCTAGGGTCATTTTCTTTCAATCTAAGGACATTCTTAAGTATTTGTTAAAGTCTGCTAGCAATAAATTCTCTCATTTGTTGTATTTTTTTAATCTGGAGATAGCTGTTTTTTCCTTCATTTAAAAAAAAATAAACCATCTGCTTCATATAAGATTCTTGGCTGACACTTTTTTTTAGGGAGAAAACATTCACAAATCATATATTTGATAAGATTAATATACAGAATACATAAATAACTCCCATAATTAAACAGTAAAAAATTAAACAGCCCAATTAAAAATTGGCAAAGAACCTGAATACACATTTTTCCAAAGAAGATATATAAATGAACAACCAGAACATGAAAATATACTTAGCATCACTAATTATTAGGGAAATTAAGATCAAAATCACAATAAGATGCTACTTTACACATATTAGGATGAATAGTATAACAGAAGATAACAAATACAGATGAAGTGGTGGAGATATTGAAAATCTTGGGCACAGCTTCTAGGAATGCAAAATGGTGTAATCACTATGAAAAACAGCATGGTAGTTCCTACAAATATTAAGAAATAGAACTACCATATGATCCAGCAACTCTGTCTCTGGGAACACACCCAAAAGAATTGAAAGCAGAATCTCAGAGATATTTACACACCCTCATTTGTAGCAGCAGTATTCACAAAAACCAACAGGTGGACACAACTCAAGTGGGTTAACAGTTTTCTGAGTTTTTTTCTTTTCTTTTAGCACTTAGAATATATCATCCTACTGCCTTTTGGTCTCCGTTTTCTCTAATTACAAGTCGGCCGTTAATCTTTTTGGAGTTCCAACTTACTGAATGAACTATTTCTCTCATGCTGCTTGCAGGATTTCCTCTTTGTCTTTGTCTTTCAGTATTTTTACTATGATGTATTTGAGTGTGGATTCCTTTGCATTTATCCTACTTGGAGCTCACTGAAATTTTTGGATACATGGATTAATGCTTTTCGTGAAATTTTGGAAATTTTACAGCTATTATTTCTTCAAATATGTTTCTGCTCTTTTCTCGCCATTGTATTCTATGGTATTCTGATTACATATATGCTGGTGTGTTTAGTGATGTCCCACATTTCTCTGAGATTGTTTGTTCTTTTTTTCTGTCTCTGTTTTCTATGTTGCATAATCTATATCAAGCTATCTTACAGTTCACTGATTCTTTCCTCTTCTACTTTACATCTACTGTTGATCCCCTATAGTGATTTTTAAAATTTCAGTTATTGCAATTTTCAATTCAAAATTCCACTTTTTTATAATTTCTATCTCATTATTGATATCCTCTATCTGTTGAGACATTGTCTCATACCTTACTTTACTTTCTTCACCATGATTTTGTTTAGTTCTTTGGACATATTTATAATTAAGTTGCTTTACAGTCTTTGCTACGTTTGACATCTGGCTCTCTCACAGGCAGTTTCAGTTGCCTACTTTCTTTCCTGTGCTGGGTCACACTTTCCTGCTTCTTTGCATGTCTTATCATTTTTTGGTGAAAACTGTACATTTTAGATAATATATTATGGCAATTATGGCTAATGATCTGCTCTTCTCTCCCAATTCTTTTTGTTTGTAATTTCATTTGTTTACTGACTTGACAGGACTGACTAATTTAGTGAAACATATTTTCCCCACAGTGTAAAGCCTCTGACATCACTTACCTGAGGGCATGGACTTGGGTGTACACACAGTCACAATACAACGACATTGGTTTTAGCAGGGCTGTCTTTGACTTTTTCTCTGTTCTGTATTTAAAACTGTCTGCCCCTGTTGGTATTACACACAGTCTCTGCTGACTTCCAGCTGATTGCTCTACTGTTTTCAACAATGCCTTGGGGCATACATTACTTCAAAATTTGATGCAATTAAATTTGGGCTTCTTCTCAGGAATAGTCTTTGAGGCCAGACTTTGAGATTTGTTCTGGTCCCAAGAGGGTTCTTCCTAGCTAACTCTTGTGCTGACCGACTTTGGTAAACTTCTAGTTAGCCTATGGTTTATCCTCTTGTTCTCATAGAATTACCAGCCTCCTATTAATTGCTTACCACCAAAATCTCTATTGTTTCAGGCATTCATCTCTGGTGTTTGTGGCTAACCTCTCCCAGTGTGGAACCTCTATCTCATGAGAAAGCTGGGATGAGGGCAATTATGGCCCGGGGTAGGTATTATTTCTGCCTTACAAGTCAGGGCTGGATGGAGGAGGATATCCCTAGACCTCTTAGCCAGTCTTGCCTAGAATAGAGCTTCTGCAACATGACATTCTGGGGGCTGGGTATAAGAAATGCTGGCAGTTTTTCCATCTCAGGGAGATACTGTAGCCTTCATTTGAGAGCTAGGGAAAGTGTTCTTGGATTTAACTGTCTAGAATGGGGTTTCTGTCACGTTGATCTGGGGACTAGGAGAAAGAGTGAGTTATGGCTCAAATGCCACAGACTCTTACTGTGTTTACTAGCATTTAGTAGATTCTTCTTAAATAAAATTTATTTATTTACTGTATGCCTTTAGAACAATTTTCAGGGACTTAAATTATTTTAGTTTTATAAATAATTTTTAGCAATCACAATTTTTTACTAGGAAGAGGTTCTGTGGGGTTTCTCATGCTGCCATTATGGAAGTCATTCCCCTGCATCATTCTTTAATGCAAAAAATAAAAAGGAAGGAGAGATATAACAAACCTGACGTCCACTGATACGGGAATGAGCAAATAAATTGTGGCATAGTAATAGAATACTATCCATCTATTAAATTAAGTGAATTAGAGCCACATATATCAGTCAGGATAAATCTCAAACACATAATACTGAGTTGTAGAATAATTCGTGTAAAAATATCATATATAAATATTAGAAATATTGTATGGATGCATAACAGCTGTAGTAAAACAGGAAAATGTGGACTAGAAGGATAAAAGCTAAGCTCTGACTAGTATTTCTCTCTGGACCTTAGAAAGAGAACAAGAGACTTCAACTCTCATTTCATTTCTTGCTCACACCTGTAATCCTAGCACTTTAGGTGGCTGAGGTGGGCAGATCACCTATGGTCAGGAGATTGAGACCAGCCTGACCAACACGGCGAAACCCCATCTGTACCAAAAATACAAAAATTAGCCGGGCATGGTGGCATGTGCCTGTAGTCCCAGCTACATGGGAGGCTGAAGCAGAAGAATCGCTTGAACCCGGGAGGTGGAGGTTGCAGTGAGCTGAACTCCAGCCTGGGCGACAGAGCAAGACTCTGTCTCAAAAATAAAGAAATAAAATAAAATATTGTAAGCAGAATATGTGACTCTATGTTGAGTACATGAGTGTGTACTATACTATTCCTGAGCTATGTTTCATGTTTTCAGTCTCACCATTTGTGAAACCCAAGCAGGCACTCACCAGATGGTATGAAAGGCTGGAACCTGGAGGTCCCACAGTCTTGGGGCTTTGGAGAGGAGCCTAATAGAGCAAACCAGCAAGGATCGGAACTAAGACATTCCTTCAACAAATGTTAATTAAGCACTTATTATGGCTGCTGCTCAGTGCTAGCAGCTTTGGTGTAGTGCCTTTTAATCTTCCAGACACTTTCAAATACAGGACCTCGTTTAGATGTGTTTCAGAAGGGTGGATTTATTTGTTCACCACATACTTAGTACTTAACTTTTCTGTTTCCTCAACAGCAAGATGAGACTACCGAGAGCTTCTCCTTCATAATTTTGTCAAAATGAAATAATAATCTATGTAAAGAGGCGGATGTGCTGCCTGGCATATAGTAAGAGCCCAAGAAATGTTAGGTACTGCTGTTGTTATCGCTGTTTACCAGGCACAGTTCCAATCATAGGAGAGACGGTGATTGAACCGAACAGAGGCTCAAATGTCTGTGGCGCTCTCAGTAAACCCATGAGCTTTCTAAATAGAAAAGAAACTGCTCCTAGCCTGGCCTTTTCTGAGACCGGTGCGTGTCCTCCCGGGAATCCAGCGCCTGGCATCTTCGCAGGGTGCTGCGAAGGGGCGGGCTGGGAGGCGGGGCACGGCTGGGAGCGAGGCGGGGCGGGGACCGTCGCCTGCTGGGACCGCCGCCTGCTTGGACCGCAGAAGAGCAGGAGGACGTCTGAGCCATGCTCGCGGCGATGGGCTCTCTGGCGGCTGCCCTCTGGGCAGTGGTCCATCCTCGGACTCTCCTACTGGGCACTGTCGCCTTTCTGCTCGCTGCTGACTTTCTCAAAAGACGGCGCCCAAAGAACTACCCGCCGGGGCCCTGGCGCCTGCCCTTCCTTGGCAACTTCTTCCTTGTGGACTTCGAGCAGTCGCACCTGGAGGTTCAGCTGGTAGGAGTGGGAGAAGGTGCCTAGCGTGTCCTGACCCTAACTCTGTTCTGCAGCACAAGGGACGTTCCGGCAACGTGGGTGGGGTGGGGGATGAAGGGCAGGAAGAGGTGTGGCTAACGCTGGTAACCTGGTAAAACCCACTTTGAGTTTCATTTCCTAACCCATTAACTGGCATGATTCCACCTGCACTTTCTAGGGATGGAATATTATTAAATGTTTACTATTTGCATGTTGTCATGTTAAACATTACTGGAACACCTTACTTGTAATGTGATTACCTTGCCCTCTTTTATATGATTGTCCTTAAAAATGCTATACTTTCTTTCTGAGAAACTTCATTTCCCATACATAAAATGGTGATAATACTACCTCAATCTTGATCATTTCTCAACTGAGTTATTCCCACTACACTAACTGAGCCCTCCAGCTTCAACCTCCTTCCCTTGCAGTGCACTCTCACTAAGTAATAATTTTAAAATGTTCTTCCTCTGCTTAAATTTTTGCCAAACGGTGTTCAGACTCCTGACTGAACCACCTGGGACCCTTCTTGATGCAGCTTCTTTCCGTCTCTATACAATAATCTCCTATCAGGGCTCCCCGACTCTGGTGACCAAGTTCTTTCAAGTTCTCTCAGACATCAAACCCTATCTCAAGAAACCAATACTGGTTTTCCTGCCACTCAGCACAGGTAACTTGCTGAGAGACAACAGTGTGACAAGTGATTATGAAGATTAGATAAAATAGTGAATGGTCAATACTGACATATAGTTGGTACATAACAAATAGTAGTTCCCCTTTCCCTGCACATGCCTGCAGTACTTTAAACACATGGCTGTATATTGCCCTCAAATATTGATAGACAAAGTTTTATCACTTTATGGGAGAAATACCCAATTGGTAATACTAAGTGACAGAATTAGCCACAGAATGTTAAAACTAAGCCCCCAAACCTGTGTCCTTATTTAATTAATATGTTGTTTAATTTCCAAGTATGTGGAGATTTTCTTGTTATCATTTCTGTTAATTATTTCCAGTTTGACTCCATTGTGGTCAAACATCATACTATGTACAATTTCAGTTCTTTTAAATATGTTAAGGTTGATTAAATGACACAAGATATAGTCTATCTTGATAAATGTGCCATGGAGGCTGGAAAAAATATGTATTTGACTATTGTTGGGTGGAATAATTGATATAAATTATTGTTGGGTGAAGTAATTGATATCAATATCAATTTGATTTTACTGGGTAATGATATTGTTTGGTTTGCCTATATCCTTGTTGACTTGTTATCTACTTATTCTATCAATTACTGAAAGAAGAATGTTGAAGTTTCAAAGGACAGTTGAGAGTATCTATTTCTCCATTCAGTTCTAGTAGTTTTTCCTTCATGTATTTAGAAACTCTGTTGTTTTGCACATACACATTTAAGATTATCATGTCTTCTTAGTGAATTGATCCTTTTATCCTGTAATGTCCCTCTTAATTCTTCATAATTTTATTTGCCTAAACTGTACTTTATCTGATATAATATAGCCACAACTTTTTTTCTGATTAGTATGTGCATGGTATATGCATTTCTATTCTTTAACTTTTAACCTTCTTGTATTATTATACTTGAAATTAGTTTCTTGAAGGCAGCATATACTTGGGTCTTTTTTTTCATTCTGGCAATCTCTGTCTTTTAATTGGTGAATGTAGACTATTTATATTTAATGTAATTATTGACATATTAAGATTTGTCTACCATTTTATTATTTATTTTGTTTTTCCTGTTTTTTATGCCTCTGTTTTCCTTTTCCTATCTTCCTGTGAATTACTTGAACATATTAAAAATAATTTTATTCTTATTTATCTGAGGTGTTTTTTAGCAGCTCTGTTTGTATTATGTTTTACAAGTGATTGCTCTAAGGATTACGATATGCAGATGTAGCTGATTGCAGTCTATTAGTGTAAAAATTTTACTACCTCAAGTGAAATATAGATATCTTGCAACCATTTAGGTTCCTTTACCCTCTCTACTTCATAATTGTTGTAAGTGTTATCTCTATATACATTGAGAACTACATCAGATAATATTATAATTTTGCTTTTGAATGTTAAATGCAATTTTGAAAACTCAAGAGAATAATAGTCTATTGTATTTACTCATTTATTTACCCTTTTCATTTATCTTTTTTCATTTCTGATGTTACAAGCTTATCATATCCTTTCAGATCTGAAGAACTATCTTTAGATATTCTTTTAGTGCAGGTGTACTGGCAAGAAATTCTCTTAGCTTTCCTTCATCTAAGAATGTATTTATTTCACCTTCATTTCTGAAGTATATTTACACTGGACATAGAATTCTAGGTTGACAATTCCTTTCATTCAACATTTTAAAAGTTTATGCTTCTTCTTTTTGGCCTCTGTGGTTTCTGTTAAGAAATCTACTGTCATCTGAATTGTTATCCCCCATATGTAATGAACTTTTTCTCACTGCCTTCCTTCAAGAAATTTTCTTTGTTTTTGTTTTTGTTTAATTTTCAGAGGTTTAGTTATGATAGATCTTGGTGCTACTTTCTTTGGGTTTATCCTGTTTGGGTTTCTGAAAATATAGATTTCTCTTTTGCCAGTTTGAGGGAGCTTCTGCCACTCTTTCTTCAAATATTTTTCAACTACACATTCTTTTTCCTCTCTTTCTTGGACTCTTGGATACTGATGGCACAAATGTTAGGTCTCTTGTTGTGCCACGAGTTCTTGAAACTCTGTTTTTGTTGTTTCCAATGTAGTTTCTCTGTGTTGTTTAGTTTGAATATGTTCTTCTGAGCTGTCTTCAAATTCACAGATTCTGCTATCATTACCATTCTGCTATTGAGCTATTTTACTGAATTTTAAAATTTATTCTATTGTATTTTCAGTTCTAAAACTTTCACTTGGTTCTTCTTTATCTTTTATTTCTTTGTTAAAATGTCCTAATTTTTTGTTTGTTTTGAGACTATTCATAGTTATTGGAAAAGCTTTATAACAGCTGCTTTTAAATATTTAATTATTCTATATTTCTAACATCTGTGTCATCTCACTGTTGGTGTCAACTCACTCAATTGATGTTCTCTTGATTCTTGGTAAGGTGAGTAATTATGGACTATATCCTGGACATTTTATATATTTGTTATAAGACTTACCCTGGATACTATACAGATCTTTTATTTTAGCATATAGCCTATTTAGATTCTGAATGCTCACTTTTGTGGGTGGCAGTTCAAATATCAATGCAGGTTATAAAGCCTCTGCAGTGCTATTCTGGTCTACTCCACTTTTATTACCCACTCCCACAGGAGCCCATCTCACATTCTCATCAGTGCAAGCTGGGGAAAAGGAAGATGGAACAGAAGACAGGGATCCCTCTGGCATAGTAGCTTATGCTTTACTACGGAGGGAAGAGAGTCAGAGATCTGCCTATATCTCCTCCAAGGGGAAGTGCACCTCCTTATTACTGTAGAAGAAGGCTGGAAAGCCTAATTTGCCCTCTGACTCCTGCAGGGAGTTTCTTTACTTCAGCTTAGGAATAGAAGTCGCAATTCAGCTCACAGACTCAGCAGAGAAGGGTACTACCTCATTATTGCAAAGTAGGCTGAAAGACAAGGTACTATCCATGTACTCCAGTGCTATAGGACCTTTTAGAGTTGGGAAGGGTCAAATGTTTTTCATGGTATTTGCCTCCACAACAAAGAAGTAAAAAGGCTAAATGGTTTCTGTCCTGTTGGGTTTTCCTTTTCCTGGTCCTTTGGCTAGAGAGAGTAGACTTTTCTTAAAGATATTTTTGTCTGTGTTAATTGGTGTCATGATTAATAGAAGTAAAATGGAATGCTTTTTTTCAACCTTATCTGGAATAAGAAGCTTGATCTGCACCTTTGTTGTATTCCTAAGATAGGTGTTAAAAGAGGGGTTAAATGACTTGCCTAATGTCACAAAACTAGCCAGTGACAAAACTGAGACTGGGATCTCATCCTTGGCCCTGTGATTTTCTTATCACACTGTCATCATTTATTTTTATTTTATATAGGTTTGCATTTTTATGTTTCTGGGTGTAAAACAAATGGAGTTAAATTATGAAATTTAGTTATAATTAAATTTACATTCTTGCAATTGGGAAACATTAAGTACTAACTAATAGATCTTACATAAGTATTTTTATGTCAGTTTTCATTTCATCTTCATGATGGGCACACAAGTTAGGTATGATCTGGTGGTGCTTCCATTTTACCATGGAGCAAAATGACTGAGAACGAACAGTGAACTGCCCGGGTTATTCAGCTAAATAATAACAAATAAGGATTTGAGCCCGAGACTATTTGATTTGTATACCTATTGTGGGATCTGGCCAGCAGCCTGCAGTGCAACAGGGCTCTTTCTTTGTTCCCAGGTGGATCGGCAGGTCGAGAAATAAAAGATACACACAAGATAGTGAAAGCTGGGTCCAGGGGGGTCACGACCTTCTGGACCTGCGATGCCGCCAGTGCGCTGGATATACCAGCATTTATTATTAAGTTTAGTGAGGATGGGGGTAGGTTAGTGAGGGATTTAGGGTTGTTTGATTATGAGGTGAGATGGTCACATGGGGATGAAGTAATTCTTTAACATCAGTATGCAGAAGTACAGTATACAGAGATAAGAATTTACAATATAGTGTGTGCATCAGCAATTTCTAACAGAGCCTTAGAACAGAAACACAGTCTATCCATAACCTATGATTAGCAAGATATTAATCAGCATGGTTAATCTTGCCATGGCTCTTCTAGGTCTCTTTAGGATTAAGGCATACTCCTGAGAATTTTTGGTCTAACCGGTTGTCTAGCTTCACGTCCTGTTTCTACTGATTGTTTGCAACCAGCTTTTGCTAGACAACCGGTTAGACCAAAAATTCTCAGAAGGGAGTATGCCTTAACCCTAAAGAGACCTAGAAGAGCCGTGGCAAGATAAGGGCGTTTATAACCCTATCTTATCCATGTGAACAGGTGCCCCTCATGGGTCCATTTATAGGCTCTCCACAAGGGTTGCATTCCATTCCCAGAGCTATGATCATCTGCTTTTCTGGGATAGGAATCTTGGTGATGTGAAACCTCCCTGACTGCATGTCCATTTATAGGCTCTCTACAGGGGGAAGCACATCAGGCACTGTTGGCTCATTCTGGCAGCCCAACCTGGCATTGTCTTTACACAATCCTGCATGCAATTTTGCATTTACAATAATCAGGAGCATTTCATCTTTTATTCCGTAACAATAGTTTCAGGGGGTCTCCCTACATATACCCATTATCTACTTTATGTTGCCTGACTTTTCATGACATGGTTAGAGGACAATTGATGTACTCACATGTTTATTCACTCAACAGACATTTATTAAGTGCTTATCATATGCCAGGCAAAATACAAGGCTGTATATGACTAAATGTATACTGTACACTCTTGGTAACCAAATGAGATATAAGGAGATTGGATCACTGAATGGAAACCCTGGGGATAACCTTTTGTAGAATGTTGGAAGAAATTGGGCTAAATTTTAAAGGAAATTTTGATTTTTGGCAAGTGGCTAAATGGAGTAAAGGGACAGAAGATTTTTAATAGGGGAAAATGGTCTGAGCCATAATAATTTTATTATTAATTTTAGTATTATGATTACTTATCACAACAATACTAAACATGGGAACTAATAAAGTCTATAAAATTTGGAAACTAAGACAGAGAAAAGTTAAATAACTTTCTCCCAAATCACACAGAAACTAAGAAGCAGAACCTGGATTCAAACAAGTTTGTATAATTTCAAAATCCAAACTCTTAAGCACTCCCTTACATCACCTCCCCTACTCAAACATCTTAGAATTCTGATTGAAAACCAAACAAGATCCAAAATATTATACCTGATATTAAGACTCTCCTCAGCCTAGCTCAGATTACCTTGTCAGCCTTGTCTCCCATCTCCCTTATCAACTGAGAAGATGCTTTTCCCAGGAGCCTTCCTCAACCCTGGTCCTCTTATGTGGTTCTTAACTTCCTCCCATCAAATATTTTATTGTAAAGAATGATAATAATGAGAAGTGATTATTTATCTATATGCTCCATTAGATTGTTAGCTTCTTGAAGTGAAGGACTTGTTGCACTCCCCAGCACCTGGCATTGACCTGCCACATGGTCAGTGCTCTTTAAATAATGAACCCTATGCTTCAGTCAGACAAGGTAGCTCTCTTGCTCCCAAACACCTTCTGCATTTCCCCTTTACATCTGTATATGGTGTTCTCACCATCTAGAATGCCTTTGATTTCTTACTACATGTTTTTTATTATCATTGTGGTTTGGGGGTTGTTGGTTTTTGTTTGTCTGTTTTTTGGTGGCATCCTGACTTTCATTTAAGATCTGGCTCAGATACCATCTACTCTTTAAAAAGATATTTTTCTTATATCTGTGGTGGAAAATCATCTCTTCTTGCGATAGCTTTATGTCCCTCTCTATCAGCATAATAACACATGTCATCTGCTGTGCATTCCATTTTTTTTCTGCACAGTCAGTCTCTCCCAAGAGACTTTGACACTTTAGGAACACATCATATCATATTGATCTTTGTATTACCTCCATGTATGATATGCCAGTGCCAGAAGGTGCCTGGCAACTCTTAAGCATCTCATAAAAGCCTGTTAAATTGAACATGAATTTAATCTCCACAGCCTGTTCTCAGAAACCAGCGCAGCCCCAAGAACTACCTGTGAGACCATTATTCTTGGAAGGAGTTCATGGGCCCCAGAGGACTGGTAACTCCTGAAACTGCATGCAAAGCTCTTTATGTGTATAGCTGTGTATGTGTTTACTAGAGATCAGGTCTATCATATACATTATATTTTCAAAGGATTCTATAACTCAAAAAAGTAAAGAACCACTGTTTTAAAGCTTTATTTCCCATTTCCTTGTTTATTTTTTTTTCTTTATTGGATAAAAAAGCTTTTTGACTGTAAAGGCAACAATACATACACAGTGAGACAACATATTAAAATACAGTTTAAGGAGAGAGAGAATCTTACCTGTCTTTGTGCCTATCCTGCCACCACTGTGCATGCGTGCACACGTGCACATGTGCACACACACACATACACTCAGCGGTACCTCTATAGGACCTTGGTGGATATCTTTCCAGATTTGTATGTAAGTGAAAATAAAATTATATTTCCAACTTTTTATTAGAAATTCCACGTTATCAATGAGAAAAAAGTTGAATACCTTGATACAGAAATGTTTGAAAGACATAAACATACGACTTTAAAAATACAACATCCAGATTGAGGGACAGATGTTAAACCTCAGAGAAATATAGAAACAGCATGCATTTTTGTGCCTCTTAGGATCTCTCTCTCTCTCTCGCTGTCACACACACTCACAGAGGCACAGCTCAGGGGAACAGACCCTCTGACCTACTGCTGGTAGGAGTGTGAATTAGTACACTCTTTTTCTGTTTTTCTTTTCCTCTTTTCATGTCTTTGTTCTGTTGGTTATTAAATTTAAGAACTTAGATTCAGTGGAATCTCTGTAAACTTTATATCTCTTGGTAGCCATGGTTCAATAGTTCAGTCTCTTCTCCCACTAATCCTTTACTTCTTCCTCTTTACTGTAAACATTTATTTTGTTCCACCCTTTTTTAAATGCTTATGCTACATTTGGAATTTTTATTCCTAGCATTACATTTCCTGTCTCCTATTGCTTTTGTTTGACTTTTATAGATTCTGTTTCAGTTCTTTTCTTTTTCTATTTTCATTTCTGATTTTAAGACTGTTTTTGCCTTTCAAAAGGCATCTTATTTTTATCTCCTTTTGTTTTATTCTGTTAAGGTTTTTTTTTTTTCGTGGCTCATTTAATGATATACAATTGAAAAGTGTGCCCTGCCTTACAAAGTCTTCTCAGAGGCCCTCTGGGTCATTTAATCTTTCTAAAGAAATGGATAAAATGACTGACAGGGTGCACGTAAGAATTGTTAGACATCGCCATCCTCATCCCAGGGCTCCTACCCCGTGTTTAAACAGTTGATAATACCATACAAGTTTTTTATCTAGTTCTGTTTAATTCGAAATATGCAGTGGCAGAGAGTTGGTAGAGATAAAATTCTTAGGAAGTTTATTTCAGTAAATAGTAATGGAGTTCTGAATCCCTCCCAAGTACAAGCTAAGATTCTAGGCTGTATACTTTGCTAGTTAGAAGTCATTTTTAACCTGAGATTTTTCAGCTCTTCCAAAAACATCCTTATTTAATGTCCTAAATTAGTCAAGAAATCCTTCTTGTCAGGCCTAAGAAGTTCATCCAGGAATTCAGCAAGGGTACATTAAAAAAATTGCTTAATGTGTATGGTCCCATTACTGCCATTTCTTAGAAGCAAAGATGCTTACTTTAGGAGCAAACTGACTTGAGATTGAATCTCAGCTCTGCTTTTCCTAGCAAGACAGGACATGCTGTGTAGGAGATAAGGACTGATGGAGGACTCTGGGCCAAAAGAATACAAGGACTGAGTTCAGGCTTGGACTTTAATGTGGGAGCAAGGTGGTGGGATAAGACTGAATCCACTGTATTTGCTCCGATGGGGACCATTAGGAACAGGACTCTAAGAGGAATATGGTGGAGTGTAAGTGCAAAGGCATCTGGATTGTGGAGAAGAGGCCACAAACACCTAAAGGAAATGAAGCCCTTCGGATTGTTACCACTGCCTGCAGCTAGACACAACCCAGGCAGAAAAAAGGCAGGGGCAGGGTCTACCTGGGACCCTCTGTTGAACAGATACATTAGGAAGGATTTTGATTCGTGACCATACACTGTCCTCCAACCTACATTTGCAGATATTTGCACACTTGTGCACATTCATGAACATACACATCCCCATTCTCCCTCTCTCCCACCCCAACTCTCTCACTCTCACTCATTCTTACTTTCACTCTGTCACTCCCACTAAACTCTGTCACTCAGGTTCTGGAGCCATCTTGGGCTCACGTCTTTGTCCTCAAATCTTACATAATGCCTGGGAAATTCCCTGCACCACTCAATAGCTTTGTCACCTTTGCTGTGTTGTTTCAGCTATAATTCATTTTCTGTCTTGAAAGATAAGAACTATTACTACTGTAAGGTGGTTGTGAGATTAATGAGATAAAATATGAAAGGTGCTTAGCAATGGCTGCCTATGACCATGAGTGCCTTCTTCCCACACACCAGTGGGTTCCTGTCCCCTTTGCCACCATAAGAATGCATCCACGGCCCTCTGCACACAGAGCTCTTTCATTCCTCGGAGACTCGCTGGGTGGCTGTGCGCCTGGAACAAGAAAACAAAGTGCCTTTCACATTGCTGCTCTCATTCTTCCTCACAGAACCTTAAGAGAGAGGAATAATTTTCTCCCTTTTATAGCTGGGGAGTTGAGGCTCAAAAAATAAAGCAACTTCCGCAAGAGCCGAAAACGATTGAACTATACAGCCCAGATTGTCACATAACTCCAGAGCTCGAGGGCTTTCCTCCATGCCTGGCACCTGCCCTAAAATGCACCTCGTATTATCTAGCATACGTTTCTATTATCTATGCCCAGTCTAGGAAGGGGGCATTCTCATTTGGTTAAACAGATAGTTATGATTTACTAAGAAGTCCATACTTGGTACACCAGATTAACACTAATCATGTCTCAGCCTTCTTAAGTGGCTGAGACATGATTAGTGTTCAGGTGAGAATTCAGATGTGCTGAATTCTCTCTATTCACTAGACTCTAGGATGCTTGGGGTTAGAAATCTTGTTTACTATGTCTATATATTGAGACAGGCTTTCACTCTGTCACCCAAGTTGGAGTGCCATGGCACGATCATGGCTCATTGCAGGCTCAAACTCTCAGGCTCAAGTGACCTTCCCACCTCAGCCTCCTGAGTAGCTGGGTCCACAGGCATGTACCACCATACCCAGCTAATTTTTATTTTTTTGTAAAGACAGGGTCTCACTATGTTGCCCAGACTGGTCTCGAACTCCTTGGCTCAAGCAATTTGCCTACCTCGGCCCCCCAACGTGTTGGGATTACAGGCGTAAGCCACTGCACATGGCCAGAACTTATTTATTTTATTACAGTTTTATCCTCATGCCTTGCTCTAGGGACACATGATAGATGCTCACTCAGTTCATGTTGGTTGAATACATAAATAGATATTTATAAAGAAACATTCACATTCTGAAGTGAATTGAATCTGAGCCTTGTTGAGAGAAGGAGAAAAGGAAATAAAAGCATTCCCATGAGACCAATGTACACTCACTCACACACACACACACACACACGTACACACACAGACACAGACACACGCACTCCTCTCAATATGATCCCCTCCAGCTACACACATCCTCCATTTCTGAACACATGGACATGTGCATATTCAACTGTTACGATTTAACTATTTTTCAGTTTGTGAAGAAATATGGGAACCTTTTTAGCTTGGAGCTTGGTGACATATCTGCAGTTCTTATTACTGGCTTGCCCTTAATCAAAGAAGCCCTTATCCACATGGACCAAAACTTTGGGAACCGCCCCGTGACCCCTATGCGAGAACATATCTTTAAGAAAAATGGTAAGTTTCTTGGCCAACGAAAGGTGAGTGTTTGATGTTGATAGTCCTATAATCTGTTAAAGGCACCTTGGTGACTGTAATTTTCCAACACTCCTAGAAACCAGCCCCATAATAAACTTCCTGCCACTAAAGAAAGCTGGATATTCACATTTCCTGATTGAAGTCACTCCCTGAGAAGATTTGATAAGATCATCCCTCACTGGGATTTGGGAGAAACCACATGCCCTGCCCAAACCTACTCTGGATGCTTTTATAATGAAGTAACCATGTTACCCATTTATAGCAGAGGAACGTGTTCTCTCTGTTTTCCTCTTCCAACCCTCTCTCCTTAGGAAAATGGATGTGGATCTTCCTCCTCCTGCTGCTGCTTCTTCCTGTCTCTATTTCCTTATTCTCTTTCATTAAGGTTGTGTCACACAGAGGATCTTGAGCCTTCTGGTCTATGATAGAACAGATTGGCATGAACAGATTGGCATGAACACTTAAAATTACCATTAAATATAATGAAACATTTAAAAATTGAAATGAAAATCTCAAATCTATTATTCTATTAAATCACCACTTTTAGGTATGAAGGGGGCCAGCCCTTCCACACCTATGGGTATTTCTCCTCAAGTGGGACAAGAGACTGAGAAAAGAAATAAGACACAGAGACAAAGTATAGAGAAAGAAAAGTGGGCCCAGGGGACTGGCGCTCAGCATACCAAGGACCTGCACTGGCACCGGTCTCTGACTTCCCTCAGTATTTATTAATTACTATTTTCAGTATCTCAGCAGGAGGAATGCGGCAGGAGAGCAGAGTGATAGTGGGGAGAAGGTCAGCAAGAAAACATGTGAGCAAAGGAATCTGTGTCACAAATAAGTTCAAGGGAAGGTACTATGCCTGGACATGCACGTAGGCCAGATTTATGCTTTTCTCCACCCAAACATCCCAGTAGAGTAAAGAGTAACAGAGCAGCGTTGCTGCCAACATGTCTCACCTCCTGCCATAGGGTGGTTTTTCTCCTATCTCAGCATTGAACAAATGTACAATCGGGTTTTATACCGAAACATTCCATTCCCAAGAGTAGGCAGGAGACAGTGGCCTTCCTCTATCTCAACTGCAAGAGGCTTTCCTCTTTTATTAATCCTCCCCAGCACAGACCCTTCACGGGTGTCAGGCTGGGGGTCGGTCAGGTCTTTCTCATCCCATGAGGCCATATTTCAGACTATCACATGGGGAGAAACCTTGGACAATACCCGGCTTCCAGGGGAGAGGTCCCTGCAGCTTTTCACAGTGCATTGCGCCCCTGGTTTATCAAGACTAGAGAATGGCAATGATTTTACCAAGAATACTGCTTGTAAACATTTTGTTAACAAGGCACATCCTGCACAGCCCTAGATCCCTTAAACATTGATTCCATACAACATATGTTTTTGTGAGCTCAAAGTTGGGGCAAAGAGATTGGGGCAAAGAGGTTGGGGAAAAGTTACAAATTAACAGCATCTCAGGGCAAAGTGATTGTTCAGGGTACAGGTCAAAATGGAATTTCTTATGTCTTCCCTTTCTACATAGACACAGTAACAGTCTGATCTCTCTTTCTTTACCCTACAAGGTGCTTTTCAATTCTTAGAAATATTTCATCAGTTAATTCTATATCCATTCACTGTATTATCTGCCTTGTGAAGCATGGTACTAGGCATGAGTGATGGAACAGTCAGAAGAATAGATAAAATCCATATCCTATGTAGTTTATATTCTATGCAGAAAGAAAAATAGTATCAGTTAACTATAATAGAAGCCTACAGTGTTATGAAGTCAAGTTCAGGATGTACTTATTAATGCAGTCCTGGGATGCAGAAAAAGTAAATAAATATTCATTTAATAAACTGGTGAAACAATCTGGCAGACAGAATAGAAAATGAAAAGCCCCTGAAATGAAAAGGACAGGGAACTTGAAGAAATGAAAGGTGGCCAACATGACAAGCATGGGGATTAAAAGGAGATAATTAAAGGGAGATGAAGCTACTGAGCTTGGCTAGGAATAGTTCATGCAGGTTCCTGTTAAGGACACTAGTTGTTATCCTAACATTAATGGAAGCTCTTGAATGGCTTTAAGTAGAGAAGGGAATTATATTTACACTGTATATTTTTAGGTTTTATTTAGGCTGCCATTCAGAGAATAGAAGAAAAGGAGCAAGGGACTTTTGTAGCATTTTAGGTTACAGACAGTGGTAGCTCAGGCTAGGAAGGTCCAATAGCAGTAGGGAAATAACAGTAGGTTAGTCCAAGATAGTAGCAGTGAAGACCTGGATTTGAGATATCCAGGAAGGTACACCTCTTAAGACATGATGATGTAGGTGCAGGGAGAAGGAGGTGTTGAGGTGACACTCAAATGGGTAGATGATGGAAAGAAGGAACACTTAGAAGAGTATAAGGTATTTGGTTTAGTTGGGCATGGGTGAAAAGTCATATGGAGAAAACTGTGAGTTCAATCATGGATATGCCGAATTCAAAATACCTTTAAGTCAGCAAAGTGAGGCAGGCAGCGTTGTATATATGCTTCTGGAGCTCAGGGACAGAAATAGATGGTCACTATCAATAGATGTTATTTAAAATTTTAGGAGTTGATAAGATTTCCCAGAAATAGAGTATAGGGTGAGAAAAAGAAGAGGTTTTAGATGAAGAAGAAGTTCCTGAAGAACTCCACCATTTCAAGATTTAATAGAAGATGAACCAGCAAAATATATAGGAAGTTGCTGGCAGAGAATTAGGACGAAAATCTGGAGACAGTGGTATCCTGAGCACCACTGGAAGGCAGTATTTCAAGAAAGAAGTGTCTACTGCTGCTGCAAGTAAGACGAGGTCAAAAGGTATCCGGACCAATTCAGTGGGTGAGCAGGCCATAGTCAGATATTAAAAGGTGTTGAGGAGTGCTCTGGAATTGAAGAAATTGAAAGGAGTATGGCATTACCTGTGTTATAAAACAAATGATGGTCTGTCAAACACACCAAAATTTTTTTTTCTTTGCTTGTACTCTTCTTTCTGTATGGAACTTTCACTCCTCCTTGATCTCTTGATTCCTTACATCATCTTTTAATGTCCAGGTTAGATAGGACCTCTCCTATAAAGCCTTTCTTAGCCTTAGCCTCTTTAAGAGTATGGGCATTGTCTTAACCATTAGTGCATTCCTAGTGTTTAGCATAACATAAATACTTAACTTTACTTATGTAACTAATAATCAAAGCATGGGCTTTGGAATAAGGCAGACCTGAAATTGAATACCTGTTTAGTTGCTTACTTACTGTGAGACCCTGTAAAATGCATTTTATCCTTTATCCCTTGTTCCTCAGTTTTTTCATTAGTAAAATGTGTGGGGTGGTAATAATTGTACCTATCCCAGAGAGTTTCTATGAGTACTAAATTATATAATGCACAACAAAATGCATATTAAAGTGCCTGCCATTGCAAGCAATCAGTAAATATTAGCCATTATATCCATTGCTTTGGGATTATTTCTCTGGGCAGTTTTCAAGTGCCTTAATGATCTTCTCCTGTCCTTCATCTGATACACATTCCCATATCATTTGCTGGATATTCATATTATGGAATCAGAATACTGTAATGTTGACTTTCTTTTTCCCAGGATTGATTATGTCAAGTGGCCAGGCATGGAAGGAGCAAAGAAGGTTCACTCTGACAGCACTAAGGAACTTTGGTTTAGGAAAGAAGAGCTTAGAGGAACGCATTCAGGAGGAGGCCCAACACCTCACTGAAGCAATAAAAGAGGAGAACGGTGAGCATTGCATATGACAGAGGTGAGAGACTGTGGCCCATTTGTTCATTGGACAGATACTTACTAAGTGAGTAAGTGCTTGTTCTATGCCCAGCACTGTGCTAGGAATGGAAGATAGAACAGTGAACAACTCTGTCCTCAAAGAGTTTTAGAAGTAAATACACAAAGATGGGCACTAAACACATTACTGAATTTAAGCCCTGGTCCGCAGTTTGACTTCCCTGGAGTTGACTGAATACTTGTTGTATGTCAGATGCAGTGTAAGGTCATGTGGCCAGCTCCTCATATATGGTTCTGCACTAGGTATGTCTTATGCCATGTAAAGTAGACTCTCAGTAGGAAATGGAGACAAATCCATCAGAAGGATCCATCTTGCCCTTCCTCCACCTTCAGGACAGCCTTTTGACCCTCATTTCAAGATCAACAATGCAGTTTCCAATATCATTTGCTCCATCACCTTCGGAGAACGCTTTGAGTACCAGGATAGTTGGTTTCAGCAGCTGCTGAAGTTACTAGATGAAGTCACATACTTGGAGGCTTCAAAGACATGCCAGGTAAGGCAGCTGTCTCTCCATATCTTTGTTCAGTAAATTGGGGCCGATGTCAGCCACAGATGGGTTTTTCCTTTTAGTTTTTTTTGGGTTTTTGAAGTTAAAATATAACCTTTCAAAACTAATTTCAACACAAACTTATTTGAAATAAATCTATTGACTTTAGTTTTTTAACTAATATGGAATATTTATATGCAAAAACCATTTCTAACATGCATGTAAAGTACAACATGTTATATGACATACGCCTATCCACCTATGTTGTTCTTTTTAAAAAGAAAAACAATATTGCTGTTGCCCTTGAGTCTCTCCTCTCTGTGTCCTTCCCCAACTCGTCCATTTCCCTCCTCCCTCAGAGGTTCTCTTCTGTATCCTCTTTCTTCCTCAGCAAGTTGCTTTGAGAGTCATCTGTGCTGGTTGCTCTTTTTTAATGCAGATTAGTATTTCATTGTATGAATGTGCCACTTTTTGTCAATCTGTTCTGTACTGACGGACATTTGTTTCCAAGTTTTGGATGCTATGAATAAAGCTGCCATGAACATTCTTGTACAAGTGTTCTTGTGGTTACATCCACTCATATTTTTTATATCTGTATCTGGAGATAAAAGAAGTTTAAAGATTGCCAAGCTCATTGCATTATTTGCCTGCCCACCAGCACTTAATATCATCAATCTTCTAATTCCATAGAGTGTAGCCGTTTGGAGTTCAAACTCACTTCTCCCTTGGTGGGCCCTGCACCACAATTTTTGTCCCTCTAAGCCTTTGAGTCTTTGTCAAAAACTCTGCTCGGTTTCTTGGTTCCTCAGACACTTTTTGGAATTTGGAAGACATTTCTGGGAGCTGGGGGGAGGGGGGAGAAGTTGACCCCAAGTATTGAGTTCATACCCTGGGCTTTCTTCTTCCCCTAAGCCTTATCCTGGAAACTACCTCACTACCTTGATTTGTATGTATGTGTGCTTAAATGTTTACACATGTATCTTTTTCATCTTTTCTTGGTGTTCTCAGTAGAAAGAGTGCCCTTGAATTACACAGTATGCCATTATCAAAATTTTTAAAAATTTCCTTGGTTTAAGAAAATGACTTTATTTTTGAAAATTACAAATGTGTATAAAAGAATACAATCATGAATCACTGTGTATACTCATCAGTGAGCTCTAACAATTATCAACACATGGCCATTTTCACTGTATCTGCATCTATGCCCTACTACCACATTCCCACTGTCCCTGAATTATTTTGGAGCAAATTACAGACCTCAATTATTTGATACATAAATATTTCAGCATATATTTCTAAAAAGACCCATTTTAACAAAAATAAAATACCATTGTGCCTGAAAAATATGAACAATAGTTATTTAATGCCTTCAAACACTCAACCAGTGCTCAGATGTCCCCAGATGTCTCATAAGTATTTTTTTTTGGTGGCAAGCTGTTGCGGTGGTGAGAAATGGTCCAAGGCTGGATATATTTTTGACAGAGAGCTGAACTGTTTTGCTAGAGAGGTGAGAGAGAAAAGAGGGGTCAAGGATAACCAAGGTTTAAGTGTGAGCAAATAAAAGAGACGGAAAGAGAAGATGGTTTCTGTTGTCTTAAAAAGAAAAAAATGGCACCATGTTATCTGCATGATTGTTTTGTTTTTCTCAATTAGCTCTACAATGTCTTTCCATGGATAATGAAATTCCTGCCTGGACCCCACCAAACTCTCTTCAGCAACTGGAAAAAACTGAAATTGTTTGTTTCTCATATGATTGACAAACACAGAAAGGATTGGAATCCTGCAGAAACAAGAGACTTTATTGATGCTTACCTTAAAGAAATGTCAAAGGTGAGAAAACCAAAGTCATTTTGTATTTTGTTCTTAGAGCACAAATAGAGGTATATTAGTTTCCAACTGCTGCTGTAAAATATGATCACAAACTTGGTGCCTAAAATAGCACAGATTGATTCTCTCACAGTTCTAGATATCAGAAGTATGAAATCAGCTTCACTGGGTTACAGATAAGGTTTTGGCTAGGCTGGATCTCTTTGGAGGTGCTGGAGGAGAATCTGTTTCTATTACTTTCCCAGCTTCTAGGAGCCGCCTATGTCCCTTGGCCTGTGGTCCCCTCCTTCATCTTCAAAGCCAGAAGCACAGCATCTTCTCTTCTCTCTGGTATCTGCTTCCATCCTGACATACTTTCTCTCTGACTTTGACCCTCTTATTTACCTCTAATAAAGACTATTATGATAACACTGGGCCCACTGGAATGTTCCAGGATAATCTGCCCATCTCAAAATCCTTAACCACATCTGCAAAGTTCCTTTTTCCCTATAAAGTAACATCCCTAGGTTCCAGACATTAGGATGTGAATGGATATCTTTGCGGGTCATTACTCAGCCTGCTACAGGAGTAAAAATAGGGGCAATATTTCAGAAAATGTAGGGTAGCATTAACTCAGGATTGATGATGCAATTAGAGATAAAGACAAGGGTTAATAGCATTTGGTTTGAGGTCCTGTGAATGCCCAAATACAGCCCTTTCATCCCCCATCCCCTACCCTTTACTGTTATTTGGAGGTATACACAAAGGGGGAACATAGCAGTTAATCCTCAAAGCTCTGTTCTATCATTAGTTGGGCCTAGACCCAATGACCTACCATTTTCGCAGCCCTCATAGAGAACACAAGTAAAGCTGAGTTGGATGCCAGAGTTTAAAGGCCAACTTTATTAAGGCCTGAGTTGGACTTTGCCTTCCCTTCTGTTTTGTACCTTTCACTTTCCAACATTATAGGCCAGAGGTGAGGAAGAAACCAAATGGGATGCGTGACCTTTAACACAGTTACCCCTCTGGTTAACACATATCACTGCATCAATACTGTCATCTTTACACATCAGGAATTGGGTCCTACTTCTGGAGTGGAAAGAATGGTGGATTTCTTTCCCTCTTATTTCACCTTATTGGTATGACATTTATAGAAGTATTGTTTTCTCCTCAGAGGAGGAGACTCGCTATATGTTGTGCAGGTAAGGAAGGGATCATTAACATTAAGAGCAACATTGGACAAATTGAAGTTTCCAGAAGATGATGGTAAAGATGACAGAGTATCATGAGGAATGGTTGGTAGAATCAGTGAGTTTCAAATTGGAAAGAAAAAGGTGAATGAAGAGATATGAGAATTGTTGTTCATAAGAGAAATTCCATTTGCCTTTTCTGTTATCAGTACAAATGTTTGTTGAGTATTTGCTCTGCGTCCTTGCATTCATATAATTCATAATGCCCTCTTAAGAGGTGTGCACTCCTATTTCCAGTATATAAAACAGGAAACTGAAGAACAGAGAGGTTAAGTGACTTGCCCTAGGTCACACAGCTGCTAATTGAAGTGGTTAATATTGGAAGCCAAATCTGTCTCGTTCACATCCCATTCTCCTTTCACTGTACTAAAAGCTTCCCCAAAATTATAGGCATAAGAAAATAATTGTCTTGATTTTCATCCATCCAAAGGTGTCCAGCACTTGGGGCAGGACAATGCTAATGATATTGCTGTAATAAGAGTCTGCCTTCTGAAGAGGCCAAAGGGAAAATTGTTTCTTTTGGGGACCTTTTCTTCCAAATGTCCTCCTAGGATGAAGCCCCTTTGTGTTACGGCAATCAGGAATCCTCTGAATAAACCAATAAATAACATCAAACATTGTGTTTTCTAGCACACAGGCAATCCTACTTCAAGTTTCCATGAAGAAAACCTCATCTGCAGCACCCTGGACCTCTTCTTTGCCGGAACCGAGACAACTTCCACAACTCTGCGATGGGCTCTGCTTTATATGGCCCTCTACCCAGAAATCCAAGGTGAGCATGTCAGTGAGTAAGCCTGAACCAGGACAGAATAGTGCCTCCTGGGATGTGCTGCCTGAAGTCGGGGCCAGAAGATAGCATTGTAGGATGAAAAGAGAGGCAGAACAGTCATGAGTGATGAGGACTTGGAAACTGCACATTCTTCATATTTTCTGTCTGAATTGTGATGGGCCCAGGTAATACAAATGTAAGAGAGAATCCTTGTCCTCAAGAAGCTCAGAGGCAAGAGGGAAATCAACGAAGTCAGTCGACATTGAGATAGTTCCAGGAAACAGTTAACTTTCTGATGTGAAAGTCTAGTTGTGTCCTTCCCTTCTTTTAAGTGATGCCTTCCAATTTCCTCCAGAATAATGTTCAAGCACTTTAGTCTGGTATATGTTAACCTCCGATATGCCCCTTCTGCCTGTCTAGCCTTGGCCGCACCTACCCTCCATGGTGGCCTCACTAAGTGACACGTCACTTTCTTTGCAGTCTATATTTATGCCTCTATGTCGTGATAGATGCTTTTCCCTCTACTTGCCCAGTTTTCCTACATAGTAAACTCCTAGCTCTTCTTGAAGAATCTGTTCAAGTACTACCTCTCTAAGATGTTTCTGTGCTCCCCTAGGAAATTATTAGCATTTTCTCCCTCCAGAGATGATGTAATGTGCCTTTATTACTAGGCTTATCATGTATTATCTATATATAGCTTCCCCACAGACTATAGTCCACTCAAGAATGATGTTCTCATTATTTTTCTTCCTCCAGCTTCCAGAAAAGTTTGAACATATGGGGGTGGGAACTCTTAACAATACAGTTTTTCAAATTGTGGGTAACTGTTTATTAATGAGGCATAAAATCAATTTAGTGAATCAAGACCAACATTTTTTTCTTAAGATAAAAATAGAAAAGATCAGAGTGCTTCCCATGTACTAAGGTAAGTTTGTTTACAGAACTTTATTTTTTTCATCTGTAGTTGCATAATGTATGCTTTATATGTATATTTAGGTATATGCATCCAGGTTCATGCTCAGTTAAAAAGGCTAGTAACAAACAGATAAGCACTGTATGATTCCACTTACATGAGTTATCAAGAATAGTGAAATTCCTAGAGACACAAAGTAGAATGGTGGTGGCCAGAGGCTGAGGGAGGGGATATAGAGCCTCAGTTCTGCAAGATGAAAAAGTTCTGGAGAGTGATTGCCTAACAATGTGAATATATTTAATACTACTGAACTGTTCATTTAAAAATGCTAACATAGTAAATTTTATGTTATGGGTATTTTACCCCCAAATAAGATGTTTTACAAAAATGATAATTTATTTCGCTTTCAGGTAAAAAAAAAAAAATCCAAACTAGGCTTTGCAAAGCCATTAGGGTTCCCAGCTCCTTCCAACTTGTTGCTCTGTTGTGATTAGAATGATGCCCTTGTTAGCACTCTGTAAGACGGCTCACCAATAGGCTTTCCACCAGTAGGAAGCAAAAGGGGGAAGGAAGTGCATATCCTTTCTTTAGGAACCTGTTCCAAGGATTAAACATCACTTCTGCTTACATTCTATTAGCCAGAATTGAGTAATATGGTCACACTTAGTTACAATAGGACCTGGAAAATATATTCTTTTTTCTCGCTCTGTCACCCAGGCTGGAGTGCAGTGGCACCATCTCGGCTCACTGCAAGCTCTGCCTCCTGGGTTCATGCCATTCTCCTGCCTCAGCCTCCCGAGTAGCTGGGACTACAGGCGCCCGCCACCACGCCCGGCTAATTTTTTGTATTTTTAGTAGAGATGGGATTTCACCGTGTTAGCCAGGATGGTCTCGATCTCCTGACCTCGTGATCCGCCTGCGTTGGCCTCCCAAAGTGCTGGGATTACAAGCGTGAGGAAAATATATTCTTTAGCTGGGCAGTCAGGTCTCCAGCTAAAATCTCTATTACTCTAGAGAAAGAGAAAAGAGATAAGGCTGCTACAGTTTCTCTCTTTGGCTAGGTGAGCACTCAACCAATGAAAGAAACTGGGAGCAGTCCTATCTGGTCACACAAATCTCAAAACATCAGTTCATGTGAATGTCAAAACATCCTTAAGATGAAGGTAGATTTATCCTCACTAATCAAATAAGGAACTGAGGTTTAAAGAGTGTAAGTAACTTGCAGCATCAATGTTGTAGAGCAAGAGTTTGCAACCTGATGGGTCTTACCTCAGGGCCCACTTTCCACTCTTACATATCTACCTGAGAAATTAGAGTCTGTAGATCTGCTATGGGTTGAATACTTGGGCCCACCCCAGCCCAAATTTATATGTTGAAACCTTATTACCAGTGTGATGATATTAGGAGGTGGGGCCTTTGGGAGGTAATTAGCCTTCAGGAATGGGAGTAGTACTGTTATAAAAGAGACTCCAGAGAGCTGCCTCACTCCTTCTACTATGTAAGGACACACTGAGAAAGTGCCATTTGTATACCAGAAAGTGGGTCTTCACCAGACACCAAGTCCGCTGGGGTCTGATGTAATGAAGTTTAGCCATATTAATCCTGGTCATTCCATCCCATAGCCTAACCAGGCTCAAGGAGATTTACAGAGGTGGTAGTTTTCTGAATAAGCCTTTCAAAAGGTTAAGAACCATTTTATTTCTTGCAACCTGGTCACTAATTGAAATACAACAGATGACATCTTGGAGACCACTCATACCTCTTTATAATAAAGCATAAAAGTTTAAAAAATAATAGAACCCTTCCCTCTTTACCAGAAAAAGTACAAGCTGAGATTGACAGAGTGATTGGCCAGGGGCAGCAGCCGAGCACAGCCGCCCGGGAGTCCATGCCCTACACCAATGCTGTCATCCATGAGGTGCAGAGAATGGGCAACATCATCCCCCTGAACGTTCCCAGGGAAGTGACAGTTGATACCACTTTGGCTGGGTACCACCTGCCCAAGGTAATTAAGCAGATCTTCAAGCCCATCTTTTAGGGGGGTAGAAACTTGAACTTGAGAAGTGACATTTATTCTTGTCCTAAGGAATCATTTAAATGGAAGAAAAAGATATCTTATACCTGATATAATACTAGATTTTCTCCATGTGTAGTCTTCAACTAGATAAATAGGTATTGTGGGGAGGGGAGCAGGAAGGATTCCTACGTTAAATATGTTTAGATAAAGACTGGCTTTTCTTTCCTGTGGGGCCTCTCAGTGTTTTTACTATGCTAATGTGCATTGTGAGTCTGTGGGCACGTGGCAGGCAGCAGTTCTAGGTCAGACTTTATCACAGAACACTTTTCTTTGTTTTGGTAGAACATCTCACCAGACTAGGGATCTGCCAAACTTTGGGAAATTCTGCTTCATGAACCTGGGGTTCTAGAATGCTAAAATGTGAAAGGACATTTAAGACCACCTGGGACAACATCATATTAATGCTGGTGTTTTTAACATAATATCCCCACAGGTATTTTTCCAGTTATTTCTTATAGTCCCGTGATGTATAATTTATTAATTAATGTATGTATTTATTTATTTGAGATGGAGTCTCGCTCTGTTGCTTCCAAGTAGCTGGGACTACAAGCATGCGCCACTATGCCCAGCTAATTTTTGTATTTTTAGTAGAGACGGGGTTTCACCATGTTGGTTGGCCAGGATGGTCTGGATCTCTTGACCTCGTGATCCACCCACCTCGGCCTCCCAAAGTGCTGGGATTACAGGTGTGAGCCACTGCTTCTGACAGATGTATAATTTATTATCTTATAAGGAAGCCAATCTAAGCGTGTGCAATATTCATTATTGGGAAGGGAAAGAAAGGAGTGAACATGTATTAAGCAATGATTATGGGTTGTGGACAATGTGGTCTCTTTCAAAATGTCTTATTCAATTCTCAGAGTAAGTTTACTCAGAAGAAGCTTGTTATTTCCATGTTATGGATTGCGAAGTCAAGGCTCAGAAAAATTAGGTTTGCATGAGATCTCTCAACTATGAAGAGTTGGGATCTGGAAGCAGATCTGTTCTGTTTCTTTGTGAGACACCATGCTCCCTTCACAGGACTTGCTTTACATTGATTTTAAAGGCATCTCCCTATTATTTTTTCAATTGGTCTAAGTTAAATTCCCTGTACTCACAAGTGGAACTCTTTCTTTTTCTTTCAACTTTTGTTTTAGATTCAGGGAGTACATGTGTAGGCTCGTTACAAGGGTATATTGCACGATGCTGAAGTTTGGAGTATGATTGAACCATTACCCAGGTGACTGGCATAGTATCCAATTAGTAGTTTTTCAACCCTTGCCCCACTCTCTCCTCCAGTAATCCCCAGTGTCTATTGTTCCTATCTTTATGTCGATGTCTATCCGATGTTTACCTCCCATTATAAGTAAGAACATGCAGTATTTCATTTTCTGTTTCTGCGACAAACAGAATTCTGATGTCACTCCATTCGCCACTCTTAGGATCTCTGCAGACAACTATCCTGTGCCCTCTAGTGCCCTCTCCCCACATTGCACATTTTCAGTTCCTTTCCTTGCTTTCTAACCACTTTGGTCAGCCTCCGTGGATCGATTCCAGTCTGTCTAAGTACCTCTGAGTGTGTCATACCTGGGGAAAATCTCGAGAAGTAGAATCAGAAGAGCTTACCCATTGGGCACTACTTGGTTACTATCCCTGCAGAGCCAGGAAAAGCAGCTGTTACATTTACTATTTCCTTACTGATTGACCATTTAGTGGATAAAGGCTGAGGTCTAAATTCCCCAGGTGCTGTTTGCATTTTTCTAGCAATTTATTTAACTCAAGGAAACCAGCTTGACTTCTGCTGCTGCTGATTTTTGTCAGCTTTAAAAATCATCTTGGGAACTGACAAGTTGAAATAATTGTGTGTTACACAGTCTACGAGCTATGACTTTGACGTCAAATAGACCTAATTCAAATCATGGCTCTGCCTCCTCCCACTCTCTGACTCTGGGCCCATTATTTTACCTCTCAAAGCTTCAATTTCTTCATCTGAAAAATGCATTTAAACCTACTTAACAAGATCCACATGGAGGTAAAATGAGATCATGCATGTAGGGCATTTAACCCAGTACTTAGTACAGAAAGTGCTTAAAATAGCAATTATTGGCCGGGCATGGTGGCTCACACCCGTAATCTCAGCACTTTGGGAGGCTGAGGCGGGTGGATCACCTGAGGTCAGGAGTTCGAGATCAGCCTGGCCAACATGGTGAAAACCGTCTCTACTAAAAATATAAAAACTAGCCAGGCGTGGTGGTGGGCACCTGTAATCCTAGCTACTTGGGAGGCTGAGGCAGGAGAATTGCTTGAACCCAGGAGATGGAGGTTGCAGTGAGCCGACACACTGCACTCCAGCCTCAGTGACAGAGTGAGAGTCTGTATTAAAAAAAAAAGTTATTACTAATATTGGCAATCATTGATATTAATTCCTTGAAGTAATATTATATTAATATGTTAATATTTGAATGAATTCAACAAACACTACATACCTGAAATGCTCAGGTCTGGCAAAACAACCCTGAGAAAAGTAATCATGCAAGTACATATTTAGAAACGTGATAACTGCCCAAAGGAAAAAACTCACTGTGGTCTGTAAAAACAGACTAGCAGGAGTGGTCAGGGAAGGCTTCCAAAAGGAAGTGATGTTTGAGCTGAGGATTAGCTTCAAGAGTTAGCTTGATGACAAAGTGGGGAGGAGGAACATTCCTGGCAAGGCAAATAGCATTTAAAAAGGATGCTGAATTAAGTAGGAAAATGGCATGTTTGAGAAACTGAAAGAAGAGCCCTGTAGTGGGAGTGCAGGCAGAGGGGGAGAGTAGTGCAGACCAGGACCAGGTGAAGAGTCTTTGCCCTGAGAGCAATGGGTAACTATTGAAGTGTGTCAAGTCCTAGGTATGAGCAGTGGGGGCTGTGGAGGTGGGGAATGACATGACTAAATCATGCTAGAAGCTCACTCTCTTCCAGAGTGTGAAGCAGATTGAAAGGGGTGACAGGATTTGGGGCACAGTTAGGAAACTATAACAGTGGTCCAGGCAAGCCAGGAAGAAGTCTGGACTAAGTGAGCATTGGTGGACATGGAATGGAGGTGAAAGTAAAATTGACCAGTCTCACTGATGGGTTGGATAACGACAGAGTAAAGGAAAAGCTCCCTCTGGGAACTCCTGTGTTTCTTAGCATGTACCTGGATGGACAGGGGCTCCTTGCATGGGTCTACCTGATTCTATTACTAAACCTACCATGGGGAGTGGGGTGCCATGTACTAGACATTGGAGGAAAGAGAATGGTGAAACCAAGATGAATGAGATGTCTTTTACCTTTGTAGAGCTGCCATCGTTATAGCTTCACTGAGCAGCTGGGCTGGTTTTGGTACAGTGCAGACTGACTGTTGGATTATTCTCTCATCAGTGCATTCATGCCCCCTCCTTCCAAGCCCTACTGAAACTGACCTGTCCCTGTAAGGAAGCTCGATCCTGCAGTCAAGAGTAGCCAGACATCCTTGTTAAAATTCCCAGCAGGGAAATCCAATCTAATTTGAAAGCTGTCCCAGACAAAGAGAAGGGTCCTGGGTTGGGGGACACAGGAGACTGTGTACCACAATTGGGGAGGGTGGGGCAGTATGTTCAGGCCCCCGGCAAGGAAGCCGGAGGATGACCACCCCTCTGCATAGGTGTGCTTTTTCATGGGTCAAGCCTTGCCTGAGTCTCTGCTGCTTTCTCTAGGGTACCATGATCCTGACCAATTTGACGGCGCTGCACAGGGACCCCACAGAGTGGGCCACCCCTGACACATTCAATCCGGACCATTTTCTGGAGAATGGACAGTTTAAGAAAAGGGAAGCCTTTATGCCTTTCTCAATAGGTAAGTTGTAGTAAACAGGTGTGTGGGAGTCCAGGGCCCCTCTCCCAGCCCTCCCCTGCTCTCTCCTGTTTTCCCTTGTTTTCATTGGAATGTCTCCAGACAGCCTGGCCAGTGCGACTCACTCCATCTTGCTGTAGGGGGCAGCCCTGGGATTTCCAAGGCTGGGCATTGCTTCAGCCTGCCCTTACTTCCTAAGCCCTCCATTCATTGCCTCTGCTAGAGATTTCAGCTTTCCTGTGTTCTGTCCTCTGGAAAACTGGTGACAGAGATCCAGACTCCACCACCAGCTCACAAAGAGGATTAGGTGCTTCCATTTTTTTTCTTTTTTTGATACGAAGTTTCACTCTTATTGCACAAGGCTGGAATGCAATGCCATGATCTCAGCTCACTGCAACCTCCACCTCCCAGGTTCAAGCGATTCTCCTGCCTCAGCCTCCCTAGTAGCTGGGATTACAGGCATGCACCACCATGCCAGGCTAATTTTTTGTATGTTTAGTAGAGACGAGGTTTCACCATGTTGGCCAGGCTGGTCTCGAACTCCTGACCTCAGGTGATCCACCCGCCTCGGCCTCCCAAAGCCAAAGTGCTGGGATACAGGTGTGAGCCACCACACCCGGTCGGGTGCTGCCATCCTTACTAAATGTTAAAATGTCCTCAGTTCTTTTTAAGGGCTGCCCACTCACACAGAAATAGAGCTGATTTATAATGAGATAGAGAGGGACAAGGGGAAGGAGAAACTTATTTGCCACATGGGCATCAGTCAGTGGCTTAACTTGATTGGATTCTACTCTCTAAGTACTCCCTTGAAAAGGTTCTTTGGCCTTTGTAAATTTTAATTCATTTTTTAAAATCTAATTAATACATTTATATAATATGTAACTTGAAAATTAAGAAAGAAGAGGCAGTGAAAACTCTCTTTTTTTCTCTTGTTTTTAAGATAGCCAGGTCCAAAAATATATTTTTAACTCACGACATTGAACAATCAATAACAAAACTTCTTAATATGTTCCAGGTTTTGAGTTAGATATGTTGCATAGATTATTTCAAATAATTTCACAATTCTTTAATTCCATCAATATTTATTGAGCATCTATTATGTGTCAAGCATTCAGCCCTGGTGATATGACAATGAATGAGTGAAACAGAAACCAAAACAAAACAAAACTGCTCCCATGGTGCATATGTTCTAGTGTAATCATATAAAGTTTATATTACTATAACCACTTTAGTGATGAGGAAACTGAGGCTTAACCAAGTATAGAAACTAAAGTCATAAAACTCATCTGGCAGAGGTAGGATCAATGTCAACCAGATTAATCAAAAACTAAAGTGGGTGTTCTTGCTAACACTATCTACTGAAAATAACTAAATACTACACAGACCCACACTGTGGAATGCACGATAGTTTGCTTATTGTTAATTTAAAATATGTATTGATGTTCCGAGACAAGATCATTTTGCTGAGAATGACACTGAGGCTCAGAAAGGGCAGAAACGGAATGACCCATGTTGGTGTGACTCCAAAGCCCATGCTCTCCCCCTGTGCTGTGTTGCCTTAGGTGTCTCTGGGCTGATTCTGATGATCGATGCTGTCTTTGTCTTTCTTCATCTAATTCTGTCACCTCCGCTCACACTGGACAATTCACTTAGAATATGAAAGCTGATATAAGACATAGGACTATCTTCCAGTCTTCCTGTCTACAAGAGTTTGAAATTTTGTATTATAGCACAAAGTTTCGGCTGTTATGTTCCAGTTATTATAATTAATTATTCCTGTTCTTTGGCTCTTGCACAACATCCATGTGGAAATGCTAGAAATGTGACCTCTGCATTCCACAAAAAATGCTTCACCTAATGCCAGCTGCAACCGTGATGAGAGGAATCTTATTAGAAGTCCGTGGTTTTAAAAGGAAAAGGGATCCTCTGGGCTAAGTGATGCCTGGATACCTTTTCTTCACATCACAGAAGCCTCTTTCTCATAGTTCCTTCATGTCTCCTGTTTTAAAAAAATTATCTTATCTGAATTAGCAGTAGTCTTTTTAAAAACTATACATGGTGACTCACTGCTGCTTTGCTATTGAGAGGTGTATTGCACCCTCTTAGAGACTTCATTTGCAAGAAAATTGTCTAATTTAATCATTACAACAGCCCAGTTATTAATAGTTAGGCAGGAAATGGATAGGTATCTCCTTTTAATTTAAGATAACTAAAAATAAGAGAGAGTTCTTTCTTATCCAAGATCATATGCTCAAGGAATTTGCAGAACTGGTCCTAAGACTCAAGATTTTATACTTCTAGTCTAGTGTTCTCTCTAGTACGACTAGAATGTAGCTTACTTCCCCATTTAAAGGCCTAAGATTCACTAATTTCATAACATATGCATCAGTTAGCATATTGCTACATAACAAACAGTCCAAAACTCTGCAGCTTAAAACAGTAAGCATGAATTATTGCTCACAAGTCTATAAGTCAGATATGTGGCTGTGCCCATCTTGGCTCGGCCCCCTGGATATCTCTGATCTTGGCCAGTGGTCAACAGGCTGATGGCTGATATAGGATATCTTCACCTGGGACAGTGGGGCCCTTCTCACATTATCCCTCATCCTCCAGCAAGCTGTCCTGGCTTAGTCACATGGTGGTGATAAGGTCAAAAGAGGGAGAATGGAAGCACACAGGCCTCTTAAGGTCCAGACTGGGAACTGACACACCATCACTTCCATTGCATTATGTTTTCCAACACCAATCATAAGGCCAGCCCCAGTTTAAGGGGAGGGGATATTACTACAATTTTTGATGGGAAGAGCTATGACATCGCATTGCAAATGATGTGGATCCAAGGAGAGGGGAAAATTGAGGCTGCTTTGTTCTTACCATCTCTCTTTCTGACTGAGAAGAATGAAATTCATAGAAGGCAAAAAATTTATCTGGGATGTCCCAAAGCAGATGTGATAGGATGAGGACCATTTAAATGGATCAGGAGATAGAAATCTGAA
The DNA here is from genome assembly GCF_000001405.40 of Homo sapiens. Lineage (NCBI taxonomy): Eukaryota > Metazoa > Chordata > Mammalia > Primates > Hominidae > Homo > Homo sapiens. The sequence continues at coordinate 59,897,971 of NC_000001.11, read as the reverse complement.
GAATCCAAAGGGTTGACAAAACATCAACACAACTGTCTGTTTTTTTCATCACATGCCCATCTTTTGGCATGCAGTTGCTTTTCCTTGCTGTTCCTTTACTCTTGGTAAAGAGTCTTCTAGAGGACTCTTCCGAAGTCCTCACTTTAGAAGATGTAACAGCTTCTAAAGTGTGCATAATCAAGACAGGTTTCAAAGTTTTTATTGCAAATTTATATTTACTTTTCCTCATTTAAATTCTTCCTGTTTGATCCATCAAAGCAGCAAGCAGCTTTATGAAATACATGAGCCCAGTTCCTCTCTTTCCAGTTAAAATCATTAGATTCTAGGAGATAGGGCTGGAAAGAACTTTGCCAAAATTGTAAGTCAGTTCTCTCATTTTACTACTGAGGTAACTGGCCTGGTTGGTTAGTGATAGTCAGTTTGTGGAAGCACCAGGGAGGGGAGCCAAGTATCCTTTCTTCCAGGCCAAAGCTTTGACACCTAACAGTCCTAGTTTCCATGCTTTTAAAAGCAAATTCATATCTGCCATTGCATTGGGATCCTTGCCTAGCCGTGTAACATGGTTAGGAGAGAAGTTATTTCATGTATGTGACAAATGAGATAAGTTTAGTTTTGCGAGAATGAATGGTTTATTAATAGTCACACAGTTGGTTACTGATGAAGCCAGTTCTTTAACCCTGGTTCCTGACTTGCTAGGTCCAGTTTGTCATGATATATGGATTCTTTTAGGATAATCTTGGGTATTTACAATAAACTGACTTGGTATCATTTTAGCATGTTGCTAATTGTACTATTTGTGATGGATAAAGAGATAAAGGTGAGGGGAACCGAGATGAATTAGACACACACTGTTGGGAAAACAGGCACAAATAATATAACGACATAACCATGAAGCATGTTTGCCTTTACTAAGCATTTTTGCATATATGATCTAACTTTATTTCCTTAACAACCTGTTACAGACAAAGGACAAAACTTAGGCATGCATACATTTCCACGAATATTAAATTACATGGGAAAATATAAAGCAGTAAAAGCAGCAAATAGAATTGACTATAGGGAATAATATCTGTTATGATGTACAGATAATCTCCACAAGGACAATGAGGAAATATGTTAAAATGTTGACAATGGTTTTGTCTAGATTATGGGATTACAAACATTTTATGGTTTTGTCTTTATAACTTTCTTTTTCATGCTTTTTAAAATTATTGCTGTGAATAGGTACTACTTAGGGAGAAAGTAAGCTACTAAAAATACACACAATAGAGATGGTGGTAGTGACTTGTGTGGGGTAATGTAGCCCAGGTGGGGTGAGGAGGACATTCACATAGGGGAGGGGGTGGTGGAAGCTGAGTGCTGGCCTCAGAGCACAAATGGTATGAGGTGGAGTCTGCACAGGGTGGCTGTGGCAGTGATGAGAGGTAAGTTATATACAAGGGATACTGATCCAATAAGTAAATATATTGAGGATAATGAGAGGAAGTTGCAAATAAAGAAAGGGAGAAAATCGAACTTTGTGATGTTGGATTGGAATCTGATGTAATCTACAATGAACTCAGATTTTCAATAGGTGAATCAATAAATGTAGAAATGTAGATGTAAATATGGGTATATATATTTGGTGTATATATATATATATACTTGGTGTGTATATATATATATATTTTATATATGTACACACACACACTTTTGGACATATACCCACATTATATACATACATATATTTCTTAGCTCTGCCCACTGATATAAGCTAGGGGCAACAACATCTGGAGAGCAATGAGCATGCCTAATGCCCAGATCTTGATTTCTACATATTATTATCCACTAAAAGAAACCAGGACTTTTGGAAAAAAATGGCTGATTCCAGGGCTGGGGAAGGGAAAGTATTATAAACCTGGAATAGATTGTTGTGCCCAAAGTCAGGAAATATCAGCTTGATTGGGCATCTAATGGTCAAATCTGGAATATTTTGAGCATCAGAACAAGTAATGATAGTAACAGATTATAACCCTTTGAATAAAAACAGGAATCCCATGCATTTAACTGATATCAATAAATGAGTGAATAAATAAATGGGGAGGGGAGCAAGCATTTCCCTTAGTAAAGTGTTAACTAATAAATGTGGAAGAAATGACAGAATTTTAAAAATCGCGATTTGGTAGCCATCAGCAATTAATAATATGGTCAAGAGATATACCTAATGCTAGATGACGAGTTAGTGGGTGCAGCGCACCAGCATGGCACATGTATACATATGTAACTAACCTGCACATTGTGCACATGTACCCTAAAACTTAAAGTATAATAATAATAAATAAAAATAAAAATAAATCAAAAAAATATATATGGTCAAGAAATAGCAATGGAAAAGAATGGATCACAGCTTAATGAGAATGGTTTGTTGACATAGTCTCAAAGTACTTATTAGTTACAGAGAAAAAGAATAATTTTACAAGAGAACTTGGTAGACACCACCTTAATCAAGTGATTACCAATAATGTAACACATCACAATTGTATAGCACTTGATAGTATAAAATGAGAAGAATACAGTATCACTTTGGTGATATTCCTACCCAAAATGGAAAACTCCACAGCCTGAATCCAATCATGAGGAAGCATGAGAGGCATTTACAAAACAACTGGTCTGTAATCTTTAAAAAGGCCAAAGCCGTGAAAGTTGTATAAAGAGTGAGGACTTATTCCAGACTGAAGAACTAAGGCGACATGACAGCTAAATGCAATCCATGATCATGTACTGGCTGTACTGGACCCTTTTCTAATGAAGGACTTTGGGACAACTGGTAACCCTGAATGGGACCTCGGGAAGATGTTGGTCATGCATCAGTGTTAATTTCCTGGCTTGGATGGTTGCATTTTGACTATGTTGGAGAATGTCTTTCTTTTTAGAAAATACATACTGAAGATTTCATGGGTAATGTAGACAATTTACTTCCAAACAACTTAGAAGAGCCAAGTTCTTTGTCTATCTCTGCAAGTTTTTTGTACATTTGAAATTATTTCAGAATAAAAGGCTTGTTATGGAAAGTATCACAGTAAAGAATTGTAATATACAGAAAGCTGTTTGAGTAATGCTACCACCCAAAAGATTTTCTTTAGAGGTCATCTTTTAAATTGTATTCTCCTGTTTTTTGAGAATTAACCAGATCAAGTTAATAATAAGCAATTGTACAGTTATGTTTATTATTACCTAGGTGACATTTTAAAATACTTTGTTTTGAGGTATAAATTATTAAATTATTTAGCTTATTTGGATTCAGCATGTAGCTCACACAATATATAAAGTTCTCATCTTAAACACATATTCGTTTTCACTAATATGCACAATGTACATTTTCACTGATTCCTAGAGAGGTTGTTTAATTTGCCCCAATCACGTGGTTAGGAGGTGGGAGAAGCTGAATTGAATCTCTGCCCTTCTGCCTTCAGTTCACCCACACATAACAGGGAGTGGGACAAGGTCAGGGCAATGCTAGGTGTCAGCTGTGGAGACCAGGACCCAGCCTTGGGCCACACTTCAGAAGAAATGCCTGCAAAGGGAAAGGGCCACTGTGCATAAGAAGAACCACTGAAGGAGGAAGGCCAAAGCAGTCGCAATACAGAGGGCCACCCATGCCAGTAGGTCCCCCATGATTAAGGAGGAAAAGTGGCACAGGGAAAAGATGACTTATACCTTAGGAACTCTGCTCTGACATTTATTTCCTTATATTTTCAACAATTTTTTTAAGGATTAAAAAAGTGAACATATTTGGTTGTTTTTGTTGTCTTTTTTTGTCACGTTTGTTAAATGATTTTTTTAAAGCTCTTAGGCTAAACATCCCCTTTCTAGCTCAGCCCACGCCTTCCGCTTCTATGGTCCTACACCCTGCAACTTCATTCTGGAAGCTCGCCTGCCGGACCCCTGATGGCATTTGACTTCGTGTTCCTGGACTTCTGCTTTCTATGCATTGATGAACCCAAGTGGTTATCAGACTTAAATAAGCTGCTGGCCATAACACCCTGGGGCCTACAGGCCCTTCCTCTGCTCCATTTTTTTGGGGATATGATTGAGGATAGCAATCTCTGCTAGGCACAAATGCCACCTGAGAAGATAACCCGTCTTTTGATTTTGTCTTACAGGAAAGCGGGCATGCCTCGGAGAACAGTTGGCCAGGACTGAGCTGTTTATTTTCTTCACTTCCCTTATGCAAAAATTTACCTTCAGGCCCCCAAACAATGAGAAGCTGAGCCTGAAGTTTAGAATGGGTATCACCATTTCCCCAGTCAGTCACCGCCTCTGCGCTGTTCCTCAGGTGTAATATTGTTAAGAAAGAAAGGGGCAAGGAAAGTAAGAAGACATGGCACGTGTTCTGAAACCACTGGTGTCTGCTCAGATGTGTTGGGACAAAATGAAAGTGACTTTCAAGAAAGATCAGAGGAATTTGACTCAGAGAAAACTAGATCCAAATCCCAGCTCTACTGTCTCGTCCGAATTAGCCTTGGGAAAATCATTTATATGCTAAATAATTTACCTTTTTATCTAGGAGATGAAAAGAGGATAATGTTTCCTTCCATAAAGAAAGTTCTTGTAAGAATCAAAAGAAATGGTGAGCTTTAAGTGGTTTGTAAACCATAAAACACATCATAAAAGTTCTATCTATAGTGTGCCTCCTTCCTGCTTCCTTTGTGAGATATGTGTTTGCTTCTGACCTGTTGAGAAGCTCAAGTCAAAGTGGTGCAAAATAGTTGATAAGAGTTAAAAGTGGGCCCTAGGAGCAGCCACAGAAGTGAGCTATGAAGACTCCCCAGTTTGGTAGCACTGTGCATGCGTTATCTTGTTTCTGTCTCAGACTGATCCTCTGAGAAGTCAGCAGGGCAGGTTTTATTCCTCATTTAGAGACAGGGAAAGCAGGTGTCATTGAAACAGTTTCTGTAGTTTACATAAGCACACACCTAAGGCCAAGTGGAATGTGACCACAATTAACCAACCTGGGAAACAGGTTTCAGGAACAAATGTGGAAATATTTTTCATCCTTAACAATACCTTCTTGCCTTTAATCCTCCATCAGACACTTATTCCCATGTTGTTTCACACTGGCTTTAACGATGGTGGGTGTGATCTTTTCTTGCAACTAGACTGTAAGCTTTTTGTGGCTATTACCAGCCTAAACTCCCTGGGCCCTGTTTTTTGTTTTTTTTTTTTGTTTTTTTGTTTTTTTTTTTTGAGGTAGTGTCTTGCTCCGTTGCCCAGGCTGGAGTGCAGTGGTGTGATCCACTTCCTGGGTTCCAGTGATTCACCTGCCTCAGCTTCCCTAGTAGCTGGGATTATAGGCACATGCCACCATACCTCGCTAATTTTTGTATTTTTAGTAGAGATGGGGTTTCACCATTTTGGCCAGGCTGGTCTAGAACTCCAGACTCAGGTGATCCACCCACCTCGGCCTCCATAAGTGCTGGGATTACAGGCATGAGCCACTGTGCCTGGCCGACCTTGGTATTTTATAGCAGGAAAACAGAAATGCCAAAATCCTGCTCACTCACTCTAGGTGTGGCTGCTGAAGGAAGATAAGGATTATGAAATAGAAGGCCAGGTAACACTGATAGTACACGAAGTTTTGACCCCAATACCAATGCAAACAAATGAACTCCCAGGGAACCTGGGCTAAGCCTTATAAAAAGATCCTTTTTCCTAAGGTGGTGTCTTAGTCTGTTTTCTGTTGCTGTAATAGAATACCTGAGACTGGGTATTTATAAAGAAAAGGAGTTTATTTGTCTCACATTTCTGTAGGCTGGGATGTCCAAGGGCATGGTGGCAGCTTCTGGTGAGGGCTTCCATACTGTGTCATCACATGGCAGAAAAGCAGAAGGACAAGCAGGTGCATGCAAAAGACAGAAAGCAGGAGGTGCCAGGCTCACTTTATATCAGCCCACTGTCACAACAATGAACCCACTGCCATAACAATGCCATCCATCCATTCACGAGGGCCATGCCCTCACAACCCAATCACCTTTCATTAGGCCCCATGTTCCAACACTGCAACATTGGGGACCAAGTTTCAAAATAAGTTTTGGAGAGGACAAACACCCAAACCATAGAAAGCAGTTAGACCTAAATAATTTAAATAGCTTAAAACAAAATGGGCCATGAAATCACGGGGCTCTTTCTTCCTGCTGTTTGGGATTCAGAGAAAAGCCAATTCAATTGACGCTGTGAGAAAGGGAAACAGAAAAGGATGGGAGGAATGTTTGACTGCTGCTAATCTAGCTGGGGAGCCAAGAAAAGAGTATGTCTGGAAGGCATGGTTGGGTTTTTAATGTGTGGGAGGAGGTTTTGTTTCTTCCCTAGTAAAAGAAAGAATAGAAGTGAGAGCCCCACCTATGCCCATTTTTTTTTTTTTTTTTGGTAACCCACCAGAAATTTGCATCTCTAGAAAACAGGCCATGTGGTATTCTGAGAATAAAACCAATCAAATCAGGCCCTGAACTTGAACTTCTCAAACATCCAGGACTTCCATTTTTCCCCAATCAGATCACCCAAGTAGGAGACTCAAATGGACACTGGCCAAAATACATCATGTGTCTCAGTTTCCTCATTTGTAAAATGAAGGACTTTGTTGAAGTCATCTCTGAGTTCCATTTCTACTCTGCTGTGCATTTTCTGTGATTCTAGATGGGCAGTACATACCTGTTACTTGGGGGAATAAGTGTAAAACCACTGGGAACTCATCCTGACCTGATAAATGCAATGGAACCCAGGGCCAAATAGGATGTGAGCACAATTAACCAGAAACCTTGGGGAATAGATGACTGTGAGTAACTGAATTTTCTGGCCATATAAAATATCTTTTTTCTCAAAGCCCATGGAGAGGCTCTAAAATATGAGCCCCCATTTTGTCCAAGCACTTCCTGTCCCACACAAAGATTTTGTTCTATATGCACATTTGTAATTCTCTTTTTCCCCCATCTATTTTGGAAGCTCCAGGGCCCCTGACCCCCTTCTCTTGTATCAGGGGGTCTGATGACATATGGTGTGCAAGCAACATAACATGATCTGTGGTATTGTGGAGGAAGCATGGATTTACCAAGAGGCACTCAGGCTGTGAATCTTCTCTCCACTACTCTCCTACAAAGAGATGCAGACACATGCATGCTGCAGTGTAAATTTAAAACCAGGTTGGAGGTTGAAGGGCTTAAAGCAGAGGAAGAGCAGGACACACAGGATTCCCTGAGTTGTTAGGGAAGTGTTCCTGGGTCAGGCATAGTGGGGCTGCATGCACCCAGGAGAGGTCCAGGAGGGAGACTGACCTCACAGTGCCTGATATGGTTTGGCTGTGTCCCCATCCAAATCTCATCTTGAATTTTAGCTCCCACAAATCCTATGTGTTGTGGGAGGGACCTGGTGGGAGGTAATTGAATCATGGGGGCAGGTCTTTCTCATGCTACTCTCATGATAGTGAATAAGTCTCAGGTGATCTGATGGGTTTATAAAGGGGAGTTTCCCTGCACAAGTTCTCTTCTCTTGCCTGCTGCCATATGAGATGTGCCTTTCACCTTCCACTACAATTGTGAGGCTTCCCCAGCCCCTTAGAACTGTGTGAGTCCATGAAACCTCTTCTTTTGTAAATTGCCCATTCTCAGGAATGTCTTTGTCAGCAGTATGAAAATGGATTAATACAGTAAATTGCTACCAGTAGAGTGGGGTGCTGCTGAAAAAATACCCAAAAATGTGGAAGTAAATTTCGAACTAGGTAACAGGCAGATGTGGAAACATTTTGGAGGGCTCAGAAGACAGGAAAATGTGGGACAGTTTGAAACCTTCTAGAGACTTGTTGAATGGCTTTGACCAAAGTGCTGATAATGATATGGACAATGAATTCCAGGCTGAGGTGGTCTCAGATGGAGATGAGGAACTTGTTTGGAACTGGAGAAAAGGTGACTCTTGTTATGTTTTAGCAACGAGACTGGCAGCATTTTGCCCCTGCCATAGAGATTCGTGGAACTTTGAACTTGAGAGAGATGATTTAGGATATCTGGCGGAAGAAATTTCTAAGCAGCAAAGCATTCAAGATGTAACTTGAGTGCTGTTACAGGCATTCAGTTTTATAAGGGAAGCAGAGCATAAAAGTTTGGAAAATTTCCAGTCTGACAATGTGACAGAAATGAAAATCCCATTTTCTGAGGAGAAATTCAATTGACTGCAGAAATTTGCATAAGTAACAAGGAGCTGACAATGGGGAAAATGTCTCTAGGGACTGTCAGAGGTCTTCACAGCAGTCCCTCCCATCACAGGCCTGGAGGCATAGGAAGAAAAGATGGTTTCCTGGGCTGGGCCCAGGGTACCTCTGCTATGTGCAGCCTAGGGACTTGGTGCCCTGAATTCCAGCTGCTCCAGCCATGACTGAAAGGGGTCAAGGTACAGCTCAGGCCATGGCTTCAGAGGGTGCAAGCCCCAAATCTTCACAGCTTCCACATGGAGTTGAGCCTGTGGGTGCACAGAAGTCAAGAACTGAGGTTTGGGAACCTCTGCCTAGATTTCACAGGATGTATGGAAATACCTGGATGCCCAGGCAGAAGTTTGCTGCAAAAGTGGAGTGCTCATGGAGAACCTCTGCCAGGGCAGTGTGGAAGAGCAATGTGGGGTTGAAGCCCCCACAGAGAATCTCCACTGGGGCACTGGCTAGTGGATCTGTGAGAAGAGGGCCACTGTCCTCCAGACCCCAGAATGGTAGATCCACTGACAGCTTGCACCGTGTGCCTGGAAAAGCTGCAGGCACTCAATGCCAACCTGTGAAAGCAGCCAAGAAGGAAGCTATTCCCTGCAAAGCCACAGGGGTGGAGCTGCCCAAGACCATGGGAACCCACCTCTTGCATTAGTATGACCTGGATGTAAGACATGGAGTCAAGGGAGATCATTTTGTAGCTTTAAGATTTGACTGCTCTGCTGGACTTTGGACTGGCGTGGGGCTTATAGCCACTTTGTTTTGGCCAATTTCTCCCATTTGGAACATCGGTATTTACTCCGTGCCTGTACCTGCATTGTACCTAGGAAGTAACTAACTTGCTTTTCATTTTACAGGCTCATAGGCAGAAGGGACTTGCCTTGTCTTAAATGAGACTTTGGACTGTGGACTTTTGAGTTAATGCTGAAATGAGTTAAGACTTTGAAGGACTGTTGGGAAGGCATGATTGGTTTTGAAATGTGAGGATGTGAGATTTTGGAGGGGCTGGGGCAGAATGATATGGTTTGGCTGTGTCCCCACCCAAATCTCATCTTGAATAGTAGCTCCCACAATTTCTACGTGTTGTGGGAGCGGCCGAGTGTGAGACAATTGAATTATGGGGGTGGGTCTTTCCTGTGCTATTCTTTTGATAGTGAGTTCTCACAAGATCTGATTATTTCATAAAGGGGAGTTTCCCTGCACAAGCTCTCTTCTCTTGTCTGCCGCCATGTGAGATGTGCCTTTCGCCTTCTGCCATGATTGTGAGACCTCCCCAGCCACTTGGAACTGTGAGTCCATTAAACTTCTTTCTTTTTGTAAATTGCACATTCCTAGGAATGTCTTTATCAGCAGCATGAAAATGGACTAATACAGTGCCCTACATATTTATAGACAGGAGGCAGGGCTGACTAGGTGACTAAGTAGCAAGGACAGCTTCCTGGGTGAAGAAGCGGCTTTGTTAGAATGGGGAAACTTTGGACACCCCTAGTGTCAAGCTGTACATCCCTTGAGCTCAATCAAGCCTGCTGAGCCAAGTTTTTTCTAAGCCATCAAAAGGAAAGAGATAGGGTATTAGGTATGAGTGTGCAGGGTTATCCTGATTTGTCACTCCACAGCCCCTTACTGTGACTTTGAGCAAGATATTTAAACCTTCAAGCCTCCAATTTCTTCCTCTAAAACAGTACCTCACTACGTGGTAATAAGGGTAAATATGAAAACATGAAATTTTGTCTGTGTAACAGAATGAAGAGGAATAAGGCTCATTAGAGTGCAAGACAAAAGTGGCTTTATTTCTACCCCACCCTGCCACCACAGTCTGTAAACTATGTCTGTTTTGCCTCTGAATCAAATTTCAGGCAAGTCTCATTACATTTCTGATATGACAAACGTCCATGTCCTCACACTCCTTCATGTGTCATTTTGGTCCTTACAATTTGCAGTCCAATAAATATACAATTTATATAACTATTGGGGGAAATTCAGCCAGATATTGGGCGAAATTCACCCCCGATATTTCACGTAGGTTCTTTTCTATTTTCCTTAAGTGTCTGCCAGTCTGAGAAATAAAGGGACAGAGTACAAAAGAGAGAAATTTTAAAGCTGGGTGTCCGGGGGAGACATCACATGTCGGCAGGTTCCGTGATGCCCCACAAGCCACAAAACCAGCAAGTTTTTATTAGTGATTTCAAAAGGGGAGGGAGTGTACGAATAGGGTGTGGGTCACAGAGATCACGTGCTTCACAAGGTAATAGAATATCACAAGGCAAATGGAGGCAGAGCGAGATCACAGGACCACAGGACTGGGGCGAAATTAAGATTGCTAAGGAAGTTTCGGGCACGCATTGTCATTGATAACATCTTATCAGGAGACAGGGTTTGAGAGCAGAGAACTGGTCTGACCAAAAATTTATTAGGCAGGAATTTCCTTGTCCTAATAAGCCTGGGAGTGCTACAGGAGACTGGGGCTTATTTCATCCCTACAGCCCAACCATAAAAGATGGCTGCCCCCTGAAGCGGCCATTTTAAAGGCCTACCCTCAGGGGTGTATTCTCTTTCTCAGGGATGTTCCTTGCTGAGAAAAAGAATTCAGTGATATTTCTCCCATTTGCTTTTGAAAGAAGAGAAATATGGCTCTGTTCCGCCCGGCTCACCGGTGATCAGAATTTAAGGTTATCTCTCTTGTTTCCTGAACATTGCTGTTATCCTGTTCTTTTTTCAAGGTGCCCAGATTTCATATTGTTCAAACACACATGCTTTACAAACAATTTGTGCAGTTAACGCAATCATCACAAGGTCCTGAGGTGACATACATCCTCCTCAGCTTATGAAGATGATGGGATTAAGAGATTAAAGTAAAGACAGGCATAGGAAATCACAAGGGTATTGATTGGGGAAGTAATAAAGTGTCCATGAAATCTTCACAATTTATGTTCTTCTGCCATGGCTTCAGCCGGTCCCTCCATTCGGGGTCCCTGACTTCCCGCAACACATAACTCCATATGTTCACTGATTTAGCTTCCTTCAACTCAGTTTTAGAACTGGAAGTTTTCCAGGCTGGGTGGGCAGGGGTTCCCCAGCCCTTCTCTCTGGTCCAGTGCTCCCTCCTTCATGGGCATTCCTACCTCACCCACCACCCACCCCATCCTACCAGGGCCCTTCATGTGCAGCGCCTTTGACGTGGACAGTGGTTTTTCCTTAGCTTAACGTTGCTCTCCCACTCTGGGGCATCTGCCAGTGCAGCTCCTCTTCAGGATACGTTATCCCTCCAGGACTCCTCTTGTTGCGATCCAAGACAACCCCACGCTGGCTGTGCCACAGGGCCCACATGGAGTCCCACACCCTTGTCTCCGTGTGAGAAGCACTGCAGTCTCCTCCAACAGAGCCCCCACTCCTTAGCTACCACTGGAGCCTCACCCAACCTCTTGCCTAGAGGAATTTTCAGGCGTCTGTGTGCCACTGATTCTTGCCTCCCCAGAGAAATATAGAGCACAGGTAACTCCCTTTTGGCTTGAAGCCTCTCAGCTGGTGAGGGGAAACCATGTACCTCTCCTGCTTTGTGGGAGACGGGTGGGAGGTCAAGAGGATCTGCCTGTCAATGAAAACCAGAGCTGAACTGCATTTAAAGCAGTAAAAACAAATTTTAGTCAGGAACTATTGCAATAGGGGAAAGGAGATTTCAGTATAGAACTGGGCTCAATTCCAAATACAGTATGGATGACAAGTGGGTATTTATAGCCAAGAAGCTGGGTTGGGGATGGAAAACCTAAGAGGAAATTTGTGGGGTAAGGACAGATTCTGGCTAAATCCACTGGACAGGATTCTTGCTGAAGGCAAACCCGAGTGATCAGGTACCAAGGGTGGGGGATGAATATTTGGATCAGATATCGAGGGGTCAGGGGTCGCCTCTAAACTGACATGCTGCAACTGGGCCATTAGGCCCAACATGGACCGATGCCAAGGTCAATGCCTAGAGGGTTTAGAGGAGCTGAGTCTTTGTCACTCCTCACCACAGAAGCCTCTCTGCCTCTTCCATTAGTCCTCAATGTAGGCAATGGGCTGTAAGGGTGACAAAAACAGTTATCTGAGGCCCCTGTGGCAAGTCTCACATAGGATTTCAAGTGCCCTACTTTACAGCTGTGGGTTTAATAGCACTTGGCATGTGCTATTTGCAGTAACTGGGACTCCATGTGAAACTGAGAGATGAAGAACCCCATTTGGATATCCTGTTACAAATATAATATCCAGCCCACAGTGAGACCCTAATGAGTGATATTTCTCTTTCTGTGTTGAATGAAGGAGTGGATACACGACTCACAGGACACCTCAGGATCTTGCTGTGGCTCAGGGTCAGTGCTGTGAACAGCAAGAAGAGGACAGGGCTATAAATGTGGCAAACACTGGATCCTGCTTTGCTGGGCTGTGACACTCACTATGAAGGATTCCTTGCCACGTTTTTATTTTTACTCTATCACACATATACATGGGTGTTTCTGCCATTAACTATCTGAAAGTACAGTTCCAAGTACATCTGCAGTGGAAGATGCTCCTTCCTTTTATTCTGATTAGCTTTGAATGTATGAGAGTATCCTATAATATAGCTAATAATGTTTTCTCACTTGGTAAAATTGCATTGCTTTCCTCAGTACCCCCATATGCTGGTGGTATCTCCCTAACTGTGGAAAAACCAAACCTTATGAATTTCTTCTTCTACTTGGAAAGAGAAAATGGAGCTGTGCTTTTGGTACCAAGCCTCGCATTAATAGTCTTTTTAAGTCAATTCAACAAACACTTACTGAGCACATACTACGAATCAGATAGTGGTTAACGAAGGGAGATACAGAACCATCCCTTCTCAGAGCTCATTCCAGTGCTGATGAAAGTGAGAAATGGGGGATTATAAACGTAAAAATCAACTGACATTAGTGGTCCCCACTGGGTTATGAAAACCAAAGGAAACATTTCTGAAATACACATGGCTTCACAACATCATTTTTCACCACTGCCATCACTGCATAACCATCTTTGGGGGAAGGATATATGTTGACGAAGTCCCCCAGGCTGACTCCTCTCCATCTCACTTATTCTTGAAAACCACCACCATATATTGTGCCTTGAATTCTCCCCAGGTTTTCTCCCTTCTCCTCTCTTTTTCTTCCATCACAGAATGTCTTAATTTGCCTTCATTTTTGAATAAAAATTTCACCATATATAGAACTATAAATTAACAGGGTTTTTTTCTTATAGAACTTTGAAGATGTCATTTCATTGTTTCCTGGCTTATGTTGCTTCTGATGAAAGGGCCACAATCACTCACATCCTTGTTCCACTATTTATTAGGAGTCTTTTGTCTTACAGCTGTTTTTAAGATTCTTTTCTTTATCATTACTTGTCAGCAATTTGGTAATAATGTATCTTGGTATCGTTTACTTGGTGTTTATCTTTATTAAGCTTCTTGTATTTATGAGTTTATTGTTTTTAGAAAATTTGGATAAATTGTGGCCATTATTTCCTTAAATACTTCTTTTTCTTAACCCACTCCCTGCTCCCATATTTCTGGGATTTCAGTCATACATATGCGGCCCCCTTGATGTTGAATTACTGGCCACTGAGGTTCTGTTAATATTTTTCAGCGTTTCTTCTCTCTATGCTTTAGTTTGGATAGTTTCTGTTCAAGTTTCTGTCTTTAAGAAGTTCAACTGAGTTCACTCTTAGTTTCCTCTGCAGTGTTGAGTTTGTCATTAAGCCCACCCATTAATTTTTTTTATTTCATATATTTTATTTTTCTAGAAGTATCAATGCATCTTTTTAAAAATAGTTTCTATTTCTCTGTTATTTTTCTTTAGATCTTTGAATATACTTATACTATTCATTTAAAAGTCCCTGTCTGTTGTTTTTGTCTGTGTCTCTTAACTGAGTTTTTCTCCTTGTTACAGGTCACATATTTCCACTTCTTTATGTCTAGTAATTATTATGTAAGTTTTTCATTGTTGAGTGTTTTCATTGTCTTCCTTTACAGAGTATTAAGTTTTATTTTAATAGGCAGTTAATTTACTTGTAGGACACCTTAATCCTTTTGAAGCTCATTTTAAAGCTTTGTTAGAGTAGATTTAAAGTAGCCTCCATTCCAGGGCTCCTAAAGAGTGATTTTTTCGCAGTCTCTACTGACTGCCTGAGATATTCAATGAGTTATATCCACTCTCAATGAATATAGCTAATTCCAGCCCTGTAAAAGCTATGGTAATCTTATAAATTTGTTTAAGTTCCTTGTAGATTCTGGATATTAGAGCTTTGTCAGATGGATAGATTGTAAAAATTTTCTCCCATTCTATAGGTTGCCTTTTCATTCTGATGATAGTTTCTTTTGCTGTGCAGAAGCTCTTTAGTTTAATTAGATCCTATTTGTCAATTTTGGCTTTTGTTGCAATTCCTTTTGGTGTTTTAGTCATGAAGTCTTTGCCCATGCCTATGTCCTGAATGGTATTGCCTAGGTTTTCTTCTAGGGTTTTTATGGTTTCAGGTTTTACATTTAAGTCTTTAACTCATCTTGAGTTAATTTTTGTACAACGTGTAAAATAAAAAAACAACCCCATCAAAAATGGGTGAAGAATATGAACAGACACTTCTCAAAAGAAGACATTTATGCGGCCAACAAACATATGAAAAAACGCTCATCATCTCTGATCATTAGAGGAATGCAAATCAAAACCACAATGAGATACTATCTCACACCAGTTAGAATGATGATCATTAAAAAGTCAGGAAACAACAGATGCTGGTGAGGATGTGGAGAAATAGGAACGCTTTTACACTGTTCATGGGAGTGTAAATTAGTACCATTGTGGAAGACAGTGTGGTGATTCCTCAAGGATCTAGAGCCAGAAATACCACTTGACCCAGCAATCCCATTCCTAGGTAAATACCCAAAGGATTATAAATCATTCTACTATAAAGACACATGCACATGTGTGTTTACTGCAGCACTATTTACAATAGCAAAGACTTGGAACCAACCCAAATGCCCATCAATGACAGACTGGATAAAGAAAATGTGGCACATGTACACCATGGAATACTATACAGCCATAAAATAGAATGAGTTCATGTCCTTTGCAGGGACACGGATGAAGCTGGAAACCATCATTTTCAGCAAACTAACACAGGAACAGAAAACCAAACACTGCATGTTCTCACTCATAAGTGGGAGTTGAACAATGAGAACACATGGACACAGAGAGAGGAACATCACACACTGAGGCCTGTCGGGGGTTGCAGGGCAAGGGGAGGGAGAGGATTAGGACAAATACCTAATGCATGCAGGGCTTAAAACCTAGATGACTGGTTGATAGGTGCAGCAAACCACCATGGCACATGTACACCTATGTAACAAACCTGCATGTTCTGCACATGTATCCCAGACCTTAAAGTAACATAATAAAAAATAATTTTTAAAAAGCTATGGCAATCATTAAGCTTATAGCTCTCTGGTAGGTGTTTTCTCTCTAGTAGATGTCCTTTGCCCAACCTCATGGAGTCTCGCTCTACACCCGCAGAGGTTGGTATTCAGCTGATCTCTTTCAAGATTTCTGGAGCTCTTTCTTGCTGTTGCTTCCACCTTTCTCTATTCTACAAATTCTAGCCATGTCAGTCACCCTAAGGTCCAATTTATTTTCTCATCTTACCAAGATTACTGTGTTCTGATTGTTTCCCTGATTCTTGAAATGGAGTCTAGTAAATCGCTCCAGGGAGAAAGCCAGATATTGTAGAGCTCACTTCATTTGGTCCTCTCTGTTGGGAAACAGTTCTGCATTTTCAGCTTTCCAATATCTGGAAAAGTTTATTTACCTTGTCCACTTCTCTGGTCTTTCTTGTGGTAGAAGGGCTAGTCCAGTCCAGTTAACTGTCACAGCATGAAACAGAAGTCTCTCCACTCTGTTGTGTTTTTCATGGAACTTAAGTCTGGCTGAGAGTTATATATATCTGTAAAAAGAGGCTACAATAACTCCCTTCATTGTGTCTACAACCCTTGAAATGTGACTTTACAACTTCTCTCCTCACGAGCTAGCATCTACTCACAGTCTCCTTTACTTGGGGCTGGCCTGGTGGTGAAATGACTTTCCTGGCTGACCCCAGGGCTGAAGAGACTGTGTGTGCTTCTGCGTGCTCTTCTGGGACCCTCCTGCCACCATTTAAACAAGTCCACCTTACTCTGCTGCAGGATAAGAAACATGTGGCTTCATCATTGCCATCACATTGCCCTAGCTGATAGCTGGCCAGCCTCCAGAGCTGTGCATAAGGACTTGAGATGAGTTGGATCCAAGCAAATTTGGAAGTTGAATGCACTTGCATGAGTGAGCCCAGACAAGAACTGCCTGAGCCAGCCTAAATTTCCAACCTGAGATTTGTGAGTTAAATAAATGGTTACTGTTTTAAGCCACTCAGGTTTGAGGTGCATTTTCACACAGCAATAGTTAACTAATACACTACACTCCCTGAGGGCAAGAGCAGTATCTGTCTTGTTCAATTCTGAGTCCACAGTATTAAGAACAGTGCCTGCAACATGGTAGTGTTTAATAGTGAATTAATGAACAAAATCAGTGGATTCATTGTGGGTTGGTGTTAGGTGGGACCTATCACCAGAAGTCAGATCTCCGCCACTACCCCTCTGTCCTTGTCATCTCACCCCATGACCTATTTCACAGCCCTCATGCTAACTTCTATTACAATCCTTCAGAAATGCAGTGGAGGAGCACAGGCTCCTGTCTTACCTCACTCTTTCAGTCCCAGCTGGCTTTCTGGAGTGGTGCCACCTAGCCCATTTCCCCACGCTTGTTTCTCAACAACAGGCTGATGCCCTGGATGAAGATTTTGTACTTTCTGGGTCACACAGTTTTTGTGTATTCACCATGAGCTATTTGTTCTGCTCTGGAAAGCTAAGAACCTTTTCTTCTTTTGAAACAGACAAGGAATTAAGCTAAGCAAGAAGAAAGGGTCAAATGCAAAGGGTCACTTTCAGAGACTGGCTCTGTCATTGATGGTGTTGGTTATAACAATTAGGGTCAGAACAGAGGCTTCTCTTTGCCAAAATAATCTGAAGTCCAAAGACATCACAGGGCTCTGATGCACACAAAACAACATTAAAAGACTCAGCGGGGTAGCACTGGGAGTCAGATGAACTAGAGGTCGGATCTTTGTAGCTAAGCTGGCCTGAATTCCATTCCTGGTTTTTACCATTTATTACCTTTTGCTTGTGAATTAAACAGGTTACTTTACTTTCCTGAAATCATTTCCTAATCTGAAAAATAGAATAACACCTGCTGAGGTGGAATATATAACTGGTCAAAAGTCCACTGTCCCCCTCTGAGGTGCCTCTCCTTGTGGTGCTCCTTCCTGTGGGATGATTATGTATAACCACCTTCATGAATTCAGGAATGGCCGTGTGATTGGCTTTGATCAATAAAATGAGAGCAAAAGTTCCACGAGCCACTTCTAAGTGCTTGAAAGCTGGCTAGTATTGCAACATGTTTCCTCTCTGCCATGAGACCACCAGTGTTCTAGATAAGAGTCTGTCCAGTGTGACAAAGACAGGAAGCAGAGTCACAGCTTATTCAAGATGAACGTATGATGTCAGAAATAAACCTATTTTGTTATAAACTAAACTAAAATTTCAAAATTACTACAGCATAACTTACCCTATGCTGTCAGATACACCTGCATTGTATTTCTTGTGAAAACATGAGATCAAAGTGACATGATAATCATCAATTACAGTAGTAATGCTGTATGGTTATTTCAGAGAAGCATCCAGTTATGCTATTATACAATTTGGAGAACTTATTTCTAGACCTTTTTTTTCCCCAGGCAATTTGATCTTTTCCTCACTGTGTCCACAAAACAAGATATTCTCCCTGCTGACTACAGGATAAATTACAGATTCTTCAGTATGGCTGCTATGTTGTAAAACCCCAGGCTGCCATTCACTTGTAGTCTAGGTGAATGGTGCCCTCTGGCGTTGGATCACGTAGAGTAAGTTTGTCCACAAGCGGCCCAGGATGGCTTTGAATGCGGCCCAACACAAATTAGACAACTTTCTTGAAACATGAGATTCTTTCTTTCTTTCTTTCTTTTTTTTTTTTTTTTTTTTTTTTTTTAGCTCATCAGCTATCGTTGTTAGTATTAGTGTATTTTATGTGTGGCCAAAGACAATTTTTCTTCTTCCAACATGGCCTGGGGAAGTCAAAAGATTGAAAAGATTGGACACCCCTGATGTAGGGCCTGCATAGCCATATGTAAGGGCATGCTCCTTAGGTGGACATATGGTAATTTTTATGATGTGAAATCTATTCACCTTTTGAATTACATCTCTTAGTACTTCTCCTGCCAAAGTACTGAACTATTACTTCCCTAAATAGGCCAGATCCTTCATCATGTCTTTACAGAAGCTAGTTTTTCTGCAAGAAATGTTTAATTATACCTGGCAGACTCCTATTCATCCTGTAAAGGCCAGCCTAAACGTTAGCTCTCCAGTGACATTTTTCTTGACTCTTGGTTAGTTGCTCCTTCCTCCATTCCCTGAGAATTTAATTTAAAAGGTTTTATTTCCTATTTCCATATAATCTCCCAATTAAAATGAGCTTTTCAGAGGTGACTGTGTCTTGTTCACACACATTCAGTACCTGTTTCATGCATAGCAGATGCTCAGGAAATGTTTGTTGGACACACAGTGGAGGTGAGGGGTAGGGGAGAGCAAGCAGCCAAGTGACATTAATGCTGCAGTGTGCCATAAATTTTCCGTAGCCATGCAGCAAGCCATGAACCTCTATATTTCTTAATTTCACATTCTGGAAAAGGTGGGCTTTAAATACTGGTTACTGAGGTCACTCCTACTTTCAAAAATCTGACTTGTGGCGAGAACTTCTGAAATGGTAACTTAAGGAGCTCCAAAAATCCATTCCATAAAAGCACTGAGAACGTGAGCAAAAATAATCAAAATCAACATTTTCAGAATGCTGAAAATTAAAGTCTCAAAACAACCTGAGCATTTGTTTAAAAAAAGAAGAGCTGCTCTCAGTAAAAACAGGGAGCTCTGTTTTAACTTGCCCTATGCCGGTTCTCCTCTCCCCAGCTCTCAAGTATCCTTAAAAGCAACAGTCTCACAATTATGGTAGCTGTGAATACCCGTGATCAAGCAGCCACTGGAGGGAGCAGAATGGGTTTGGAGCACCCCAAAGGCCCCATTCCCAGAAAGTTGTCATTATATGACCTCTCTGGCAGTTCCCTGAAAAGCCCCATTCTCAGAACTTGTCTTTGTTTTACCTTACTAAACGCTGATTCTGTGCAAACCACACTACAGGACATTTGTTAAAAAAAAAAAATCAGTGACAATTGTGCAACATTACAGTAACCCAAGGTAGCAATACAAGTTGGAATTAAAACAGAGGATTAAAAGGATAAACTGGAAATAGAGATGCCCACCGGGGCTTCTAACACTCTAACATATGCCTAGGAATCTAGAAGACCATGCACATGTGAGGGCTACATGCATACCCAGGCAAAGACCTGGAAAGACTCGAATCTCTCATCTCTGGCTGACTGTGAGGGTCTGTGTAAGCAAGAAACTAAGGTTACAATAGAACTGTAAACTACCTGCTGGAGTGTTGAAGGTATAATGCAAAACACACGCAGAGCCCTTTGGGAAAGGCTGAGAGACTTATTTCAAAACATTCAAGGAAATCGCTGTCCAAAATTAGCTGGATACTTTGCTTAAAAAGCACAGAATTCAGTGGCTGCACATGATGAAGAATGGAATTTTTACAGAATTAGTTCAAGTCTCTAAACAAAAGGCAATAACAGTAACAATAATACACTGTGGGGCGGGGTCTGATTTCCAGAGTTTCCACATATTACTTATAATGCCAAATTTCCAATAAAAAATTATGAATCATGTGAAGAAACAGAAAACAATGGCTCATAGACAGGATAAAAAGAAGTTACTGGAAACAGTCCCTGAAGAAGCCCAGGCATTGGATTTACTAGACAAAAGCTTTAAGTATGTTCTATGAGCCTAAGAATTAATTATTGGATAAAGAATTAAGTTAAATATGAAAATGATTTTCCACTGAACAGAAAATCACAATAAGGAGTCAGAAATAGAAAACAGCAACTAACTAGAAATTCTAGATTTGAAAAGTACAATAACTGAAACAAAAAATTCACTAGAGGAACTCAGCAGCACATTTGAGCTGGCAGAGGAAGAACCAATACACTTGAAGATAAATCAATGAGATGATCTATTCTGAGGAGCAGAATCAAGAGAGAATGAAGAAAAATGGGCAGAGCCTTGGAGACATGTGGGACACCAAGTAAAAACGGGTGCATAATGAGAGTACCAGAGAAAAGGATAGAAAGAGGAAGAAAGTATGTTTCAAGAAATAATAGTCAAAAATTTCCCAAGTTTAATGAAAAGCATTAGTCTGCAGATCCAAACTCAACAAACTGCAAATAGAATAAATTTGAAGAAGTCAACACCTAGATCCACAACTCATCATCTTTTTGATAGTCAAGCTGTCAAAAGCCAAAGACAATGAGAGAAGCTTGAAAGTTCCATATCCCCTGGAACTTCAGAAGAATGTGAATTGCGTACATTCAAGCTAGATATCTAGAACAAAGCTGTACCCCACCTAGTTATATTGGAATCTGGGAAGCACAGTTTTGGTTTTCTCTTTTTTTCCTGGATAATAATGTAACAAGCTAAAATATGGGATTCCATCACTAAAGTTAAGAGGGGTAGAATGGATATTCAGGGATAAATAGCAGTCTCTAAAATTATATTACCCAGGAATGTCTTGTTTTTTTTGAGACAGAGTCTTACTCTATCACCCAGGCTGGAGTGCAGTGGCACAATCTCAGCTCACTGCAACCTCTGCCTCCCGGTTCAGGCGACTCTTGTGCCTCCGCCTCCCAAGTAGCTGGGACTACAGGCGCCTGCCACTGCACCTGGCTAATTTTTGTATTTTTAGTAGAGACGGGGTTTTGCCGTGTTGGCAAGGCTGTTCTCAAACTCCTGACCTCAAGTGACCTGCCTGCCTCGGCCTCCCAAAGTGCTGGAATTACAGGCATAGCCACCACGCCCGGCCCCAGAAATGTTTTGATTCCGTGTTAATGCAAGATGTCTAGGTTCCAGAGGTGAAAATGGAGACATAAAAAGACATATTCCCAAATCATTTAATATATCTTTTCATTCCCCAAAAAATTAAAAGGAAAAACAAAATTAGAAGAATGCAATTACTTTTTCTTTACAAACCTACATATTTTCACTCCTCTATTTAATGCAGCAAATAAACATGCATTTATGCCCACTAAAAACCCATCAAAATCAACAGACACAGAAGCATAAAGTTTATTTACTTAAATCATTTCACAACTATTATATTGATAATGGACAATCATTTATTTAAAATAATATCCTAAATACTTACAAAAATAAATCAAATATTGGTTTTATTTTTCAAGTGTCAAAGTCTTTGCCATAGAAAATAGAAAGGACCTTTTATAAGCTAAACATTACATTTGTGCTACATCATTTAATAACTCCACACTCTTTTATGGTTTGTGCTTTACAAATTTCCAAACTACTTCTTCACAATGTACAGGTGCACAATAAAAATGTATGCATACGTTCACATACACACATTTTTACATAGGAATGTTTCTCATTAAATACACATTTAGTGAACTTAACACAGACACTACTGTGGCCTAAAGGCCATCCCCAAGCCCCAGGGTCAGAAGTGCCCTAGAAAGAAATAGGTATAGATGTGGAAACATTATCTAACATTCAAATTAGCACTCTAATTATCAGAAATGATGACATAATGAGGAATACTCACTTTAATATTTCTAAAAAAGATGTCATTAATCTATACTAAATCATTTGACAGCCTTATTCATCGAAAAAATAAACTTCAAATTTTCCTCAATACATAAGTTAATCTCAACATAGACATCACTGCCATACGTACACACCCTTAACCTTAAAAAGAAAAGGAATTTTAATCTTAGAGCAAGTGCTTAACATTGAAGATCATTTGCAAATTGGTCTGTGGTTTTACTTTATAATCACTAGGACATTTAATTCCTTATCAAATAGACAAATGCTGAATATCTCTTCATTGGTATATGTACTCAAGCCTCCCTTATAACACAGATGTGTATAAATCATGGTTCAAGATGAAATGTTTATAATGCTTTACCACCCACAGGGTGTCAACTCACTACATTAACCAGATGTGGAAAAGAATCTCACTTCTGATCAGTTCCTGAATTTCTGTATGATTAATCACAATAATACAGAACTTTAAATTACATTAGTCTTATATAAATACTTACATATCAAACGTTTTGAATCCTACTTATCAACTAGAAAAGTGATAAATCAGAAATTTCCTTTTTCTCTATTAAGAAAAATGAATCTAGCCTTATGTCCTTATTCAGAAATTGCATGATTTAGAAGTTCCAAGTATAATGATCTGATCTGTGAAAACACTAATTTATTAAAGTTAATGTTTTACAATAAATTCCTTTAAAACGGAGTTTGAAGGGCTTGTAAAATCTCAATCATAAGCAAGTAGAAACACCAAAGGGGCAGATGTCTTCGCTGACTAAAATATGTCAAAATGCCATAATATTTAGAAAATGTTAAATACCATGCTAAAATATTTTCAAAGGCTTATTTTATTTTACCAGAAGTCACAGGCAAGCAGACACTACAAGAATATATGAAAATGAAACTCAACAATATAACTGTATCAAAATCTAAGAGGTAGTCAACAGAAGTAACCCTGATAGAACAACATATCCTGACAGGTGCTCCCTAATCTCGGAGATGCAAATGCAGTACGAAATTCTTGTATTTTCAGTAAAAAGTTACCAGGCAAGAATCTAAAAACCAGGTATCTAAAAAATAATAATACTGTAAATGGAACAATACTCACACTGTATTTGCAAAGAAAGTCTATGAATAAAATTTAGACCACAGCTCTACAGCATGCAAGCCAAATCTGGCCTACCGCCTGTCTTTGTAAATAAAGTTTTACTGAAATACAACTATGCCCATTTTGTTTATATATTGTGTATGGCTGCTTTAACTCTATAATGGCAGAGTTGAGTACTTGCAACAAAGATCATGTAGGCCACAAAGCCTAAGACATTTACTAAAGTATTTACTCTTTGTCCATTCACAGAAAGTTTGCAGACCCCTGGTCTAAACACACTGCTGATAGGTATGTATGTTGAACAGCACTGAAATGATTAACTATGGTTGTCACAGCATAAGGTATTCAACTGTATGGAATGTAAGATGCTAATTATGTCACAATTCAGTTCCTTTTTATATCTGAAATAGTCCTAACATTTTTCTTCTTTTTGTGGTCTAACATCTAATATCAAATAGTATTTCCAAGTTACTATAAAAAGATTATGGTACTATCCAATAGAACTTTCTGCAATGATGGAAATATTCTATAGCTGCCCTGTCCAATATGGTACCCACTAGCCACATGTGGCTATTGAGCATCTGAAATGTGGCTGGTGCAACCAAGAGACTGAGTTTATAATTAATTAAATTTAAATTGTCATATATGGCTCATGGCTATGATATACGACAGCACATATTTAACACAACTAAAATTCAAAAGTGCTAACTTTTAAAAATGACCCCAAAAGTTCAAAAGTAACACCTCTGAAAATAAGAGCTTTGGGCAGAAACGAACTGAATACCACAAACTGAGCCCAAGATAAACTCCTTAATAAGTAAACAAAATCAAACTGATCCCACCTTGTTTCATCACTGCAACATCCCTTTTCAATGAAGCAAAATTATTATATGATACAATTTTTCAGCAGAAGCTAAATACAACTTTATGCTTAAAAGCAATAACTGAAATCTTCATTAATTACCTTAAAAAGTATATAGACATTTCACAAAAAGTATATATATATATATATATATATATATATATATATATATAGCTTGCTTTCCATCAGAAAGTCACCTATTACAAATGTCAGTTTATTTCTTATGCTTAACATTTTAAACATGATGTCCAGAAGCCCTTATTTGCCATAGGTACAAATTAGAACTATGAGATTAGATTTTCAGAATATGCAAAATTTCCAATTAGTCAATTTTATTATTCCAAAGTCATTCCAATTGTCAGATCTTCCAAATGTTGTATCTTCCATGACATGACAAGGTAGAGGTACACATTCAATGGAAGAATTAGGGGACAGAAGTAAAGCCTTGTATATATTAAGTCAAAGAAATCACCCTTGCATAGTTCTCCATGTCCCTGCCTCAAGACTGTTTTCATATAAATCAACAAAAAACAAAAAAAGATTAAACAAATCCAATTAATGTTCTAAGATTAAGTATTACTGAATAGCTATTGAAAATTAATTAAGTTACTAATACAACTGAAAACATTTAACTAAAATATACAAGGCCAATTTGAAATTATAATACTCTCAAAAGACAAATGTTTGTTTGAAATGTGTGTATAACTGCATCTCCAATTATTCAAATGTGCTCCCTCAGAGAGATGGCTAATTCTATAATTTGTTTTTAAAGTCAACTGGCAAAATTAATTTGATGCATGTTGATTTTAAAATACCTGATATCCCGCATCATAAACTCTTTTTCAATCTGGTAGTTAGTTGAAAGGTACAAAATATTTTAAGGACACTTCTATTTTATGTGGTTTTTTTGTTTTGTTTTGTTTTTTTTGCAGTTTAATCAGATGTTGTAGCAGGGACTTTAACAGAGAGATTTCTTCTGGTGTTGGTGATGTGCCGTTGCTGCGCTAAGAAAGACCGCGCAGGAGTGCACGCACCAGTGTCACTGCAGGCACCACCGCCGCTCACAAGTCTAGATTCCATCCCCAGTTTCTGGAATGCTAGACTCTGAAAAAAAAAAACATATATTTTTTATTTAACATGACTAAACAGAGTTTGCCGAGTGCTTCTCACATAAAGACACTTAATCCTTAAAACCAACCTATAAAGCTAAGGCTTTCCTCATTTTTATAGAAAATAAGGGTTCAGAAGCTGATTAATCTATGAAATGGTAATGCTAGTAAGAAGGCACAAAATCCATTTTCTCTATTTAATCACTAAATTTAAAATTATTTAAAACAGTAACTTAAAAGAATGGCCTGGAATTAGACTTAATTATAAAAATTTTTGTGTTTGGGCCATCACCGTACCACCTATGAGCAGACATGTCACAACAGAATGGCTTAGATCAAAGGTTCTTGAAGGGTGGTCCCCGGATTAACAAGATTAGCATCCCTGGGAATTTGTTAAAAATACAAATTTAGGGGCCTTACCCAGACCTACTGAATCAGAAGTTCTGCCAGTGCGTCTAGCAATTTGTGTTTTAACAAGTCTTCTGAGGCAAGTTAATGTTTAAGAACCACCAGTATAGATTAAATTTACTATAGTCTATCTCAATATTGATACCTGATAAATTACCATATTTTGGCTGTTGAGTTTCTTATAAGGGAAGTCATTACTCTCCCACTAGACCACATAACACAATTTTACTGAACTTAGCATCACTAGTAACTAGTACAGTACATGGATATTAGATGCTCAACAAATATAGGCTGAAAAAAATGAATCAATCATGGACTACCTGGCTACAATATCTTCACTGATTTATGTATCAAGAGGTCATGGAAGAACAAATAAATAATACACAGTCACTGATCTCAACTAGGATGACTGACTCATGAGAGAAAGTTCTGAGAATACCTCACACATAATTTCCTTCAGGGCCCTTTAAGCAATATTTTACCCAACAGAAGAAAGGAAAGAGCTCAGATGAAAAGCATGGTGTCATGAAAGCATGAGCCATGTTTCAGGAAGAATAACTAGTGCTTTCTGGTGGAGCACAGCATTCACACATGGGAAGTTTATAAAGTGATATGCCTTTGTATAAATAAGAGATAAAAGTAGATAATAGCCTATTCTGGCTGACTAGAATAATGCAAAAGAACCATATACATCATGAAATGCTACTCTTGAAAATATCCTACTGATACTACCAATGACAAAATAAAACACATTTCAAACTATGCTATTTTCTCCTTGGTAGTACAAAGAGACAAATAGGAAGAGTAACCCCTGGATAAAAAAAATAAAGTAATAAATACAGTAAAGGACACACTGAGGCTTTAGAGGATGTTAAAATAAATACTGAGTAACTAGAAGCATTTAATTTTGCATTACACAGATCTTCATATTTCTTCAGAAACCTTTTATGGGCAAAAATTGAGTGTTTCAGCTCAAATAAGGCAATTTTAAAAAGGTTTATGAATTATTACACCTGTGCTTCAATACGTATCAGCTAAAGGCTGATGAGTCACAATATCAAGTTAGTGGATTAGAATCAACATTAAAGGAGAATATGACAAAATATCTGAGTGCAATACACAGGGTAACTTTTGTTTCAGTCATATACATAAACATGCTATGTCTTGGTTTATGGTATAAGATAAAATATATTTTCTTATGTTGTACTTGGTCAAAAAAAAGTTTGCTTAAACACCGTTCTCATCCAATCATTTGCTGAACTTCAGCTCACCTTATTATACCACGCAGAAACAATGAGTTTTTCTTCATAATCACGGAATTTTGCTACTTTGCATTCACTCTGGAAAAAAGATATGAGAACAATTAAAATCCCAGAAATTACCCCAAATTACTAAAGATAGAATAATTTCTTCACTATGTTCATTATTGAGAGAATCTAAAGATTGCACTTGTGAGGCACACAATGTAGTCAAATGTAAACTGAATCAAGCACAAATGCATGCCCAACACCTTTAGGAAAGAATAAGGTTTGTGACTAATAAACCTTTATTTCAAGAAATTTACAGGTAGAAGAGAATGATTTAAACATACATATACACAACTAGTGATTTTAAGGCTACTGCCCACCATATCTAGAGAAAAAAGTAACGAGTGGCTTAGGTAAACGAAACAGAGCTGCACCCGTGGAGGGGTCAAAACTAAGGAGAAAGAGGACATAGTCAAAAATAACTGGAAAAATCTTTTTAAGTTGCCTATAAAGTTTAATACAAATTTTTCTCTCTTAATTGTTGGTGGTCTGTGTACTAGATTCCATAGCCGTATTTATGTGCCATCACAGAGACTGACATACTTTTCTTGAGTACCAGATATAGTTTGGTTTATATAAGTACTATTATCTTGATACATAGGATGTTCATGATACAAAAAGTATATAAGAACCAAGCCCAAAAGAGAGGTGATGCCCTTCTTCAGACTCACATTCACTCCAGGCACAGAATTCCCAGAGGGATGGCAGATAGAACAGCCCCTGCTATTTACATTACATTTCTCCTTTTTACTTTTTGCAGTGTGTGTCTAGATGAATACGCACAAATTAAATGCCCATGTGCTGTGACTTAACCTAAGCTTTTCCTCAGAGTCTTATAGTTACAGGGACTATTTTCTCATCATATCTGTTGGGGATGTACATTTCAAACATCAATGATGGTGTATATTTTCACTGACTTTCACTGGGACATAAACAGAGCAACTTAGATGTCAGCGATTATCCAATCCCAGTCTCACCATTTTATAGATGAGAAGATGGTGAGCCAGAGAGGAGAAGTAACTATTTTAAGACAAGAAGTTACTAATAATGCTGCAACCCTGGCCTCTGATTTATGTAATATTTAATGTTAGGGGTACAGAGATAAAAGATAGGCTTTGCCCTCAAGACACGTCCACATGTACCAAAAAGAAAACCAATGCTGTTGTGGAATAAATTCATGAGTTTGAAGTACATGGACTCAGTGTGGAGAGTGAGACAGTATTAAACCTCCCCTAAGGAATACAGGGAAAGTTTAATAAAGAGATATTTGACTTAGAATTTCAAGAATAGCATTTCTTCAGACAAATCTCCCTACCCAGTGCTTTTGAGAACACACAACATAGCCTGGACAAGCACTGATAGCAAGGGCGTATCGGGTTGGTGTCGTACTATGGATGTAGGAAGAATGGTGTTGTACTATGGATGTAGGGAGGAGGGGGTGTTAAAGTCTTTAAGTCTTTAAATAAAAATATTTCTACCACAGTTCATACCTACTTGCTCAAATACCAAGAAAAAGGCACATAAATAGAGTGCATTTCTTTGAAATATAACATTCCTAGATGATTTAAAAAGAAACTGAATACAGCTAGGTGCGGTGGCTCACGTCTGTAATCCCAGCACTTTGGAAGGCTGAGGAGAGCAGATCACTTGAGGTGAGGAGTTCCAGACCAGCCTGGCCAACGTGGCAAAACCCTATCTCTACAAAAAATACAAAAATTAGTTGGGCGTGGTGGCATGCACCTGTAATCCCAGCTACTAGGGAGGCTGAGGCAAGAGAATTGCTTGAACCTGGGAGGCGGAGGTTGCAGTGAGCTGAGATTACGCCACTGCAACCCAGCCTGGGCGACAGAGCAAGACTCCATATCAAAAGAAAAAAAAAAAAGAAACTGAGTACCATTTATGAGAATTTCAAGGCCAGTATGTAGAATTCAATATGGCTCTGCAATTATGCATATGTTATTAAAAGGAAGTATATATTTACTTCAAGAATAGCATCAAATCTCACTACAGTATTAAATACAGTAGCTTTGTAAAACACTTTGCAAAGGAAACCAGAACGTGCTCAATTATAAATCTAAGAATACAGAATTCCATAGTGACATACTTACCTAAGGCTCATAAAAATAATATAACCACTAACACAAAAATATCTTTAAAATTTAAAGACTCAGCTAATTGATGAGAGCATGCCATTACTAATATAATTTTGCATGATTAATAACTAAGAATTCCACTTTAGTTCAGGAGTTCACTGGAATTCTGTGAGTACTTCCTTCTCCCAGAAATTCCACTATTAATAAGTTTGTTTAGGTTCAGGTGAGAAACGGCTGAAGACAAGAAAAATGTGATTGACTGAATCAACACAGTATCTTTTTTAAACGGTAAAGGTCAGGTTTATATCCCCCAGATGAAATCATATTTGCATAATTTTAAAAGAAACATTATAGCAGGTCTCTATTAGAAAGTCAGGGATAGCCATATAATGCCTGTTATTGACAAGAAGAGCTACAACTACAACGCTGCATATAAACAGGGTATATGAGCTACACACAGAGCATCTATTGGGCGGCCAGTGAGATGCTTTGTAATAAACACACTGGGTGCTAAAACATGACATTTTTAACTTCTTGTAAAACTTGATCATTAATGACAAATATATGACAGCAGTTAATTACCAGGATTCTACAAAATAACTAAAAGATGAGTAAATATAAAAGTTTTACCTCCAGAATCTCAATTCTTCTCTCTTTCTCTGCCAACTGCTTTCTTAGTAGCATTATTTCAGCTGATGCTGGATTTAACTTGGGATCCAAAGTTTTTATTACCTGTTTAAAGAAAAAAATACTATGTTCACTTTATATTTTAAAGTATTAAAACATATAGAACATATCTTACAAAAACTGTGTAAGTAAGGTGGAAAATAATCCACAAAGTCATCCAAGAGCTAACTGTAGCTTGTTTTACAATCCTAATTGGGATAACAAAAATAACTCATTCTATATACAAGAAACAGTACAAAAATTCAGTACAAAAATATAAATGTCCCCATTCCAAAAACAAATTTCCCTTCTCCAAGGCTCAGTACATGGAAATAGTTATTTAGCCTTTTCAATACTCAAACTTTAGGCATTAAAGTCTTGAAATAATCCTTTCTGTATTTATTTGACTTGAGAATTTTTAAAAAAATCAAAATGAATTCAATAACTCTAAGGAAACATTGATTTTATAAAGTAAGAACAACACACAGAAGAAATTCTTAGCAATAATCTTTTTTACTATTATTATCCAGTCAAGTGTAATTCAATATATAAGATCAATATAATAAATGCTGGTGATTTTATTTGCAAAAGGTAGGGTGCTGAATCGCATTTATGTTATTACTAAAAATTGAGTAAAAAGATATGTTTGACCAGAATGTAGTAAAGAGATTCAGCTAAACTATGGAGATAGCAATCTGTTAGAAAACCAATTCAGAAATGTCAAGAATATATTTCAAGCAAAAACCATAAATTTCAAACAGGGACATCTGCATGATGTAATTATAAAACTATTAAAAATATTTAAAATTATTTAATGAGTTAGGAAAACTTCATCTACATTTATAGAGGAAAAAGAAGAAGACTGGATGGTAAAATACCAAAATACTATTGTGGCTCCTTCATTCATCCAAAAATCATTTATTGAGTGACAACTGTGTGGTAGATACTGGCAGATGAGGATTCAGCAATTTATTGGAGACATGGTGCCTACCCTCATGGAATGCACACCATAAAAGCAGAATACATTGAATAATTTATATCAATTTAATTACAAAGAGCAAATCATAGTTTATTATCTCTAAGTGATAAATGGTTGTGATTTGTATATTTTCTGAATTTTCTACAAGGACATGTTATTACTTTAGCCAGTATCTTAACCATTATTTAAACCTCTTGCCCCAAATAAGGTAATGGGAAAAAAAATCATATTTATGAAAGCAAGCAACTGTCTTTTAAATGATATTAATCAATGGTGGCAAAAATGTGGTATTCATTGTCATGGTTTTGTTCAATTAGTTATAGTCCTCTTAAAATGTCATTTAGAAATACATATCAGGCATCTTATGGTCTTATCCTATGACCCAATACTTCCATTTCTAGGAAATAAGGTTAAGATAATAAACCAAAATAAAGAGAAAGCTTTCTGTATAATTATGTTGACTATAGTCTTATTTATAGGAGCAAAAAAGGAAAAGGAAATGAATACAGATTATTTCCAATAGTAGGATAATGCTTAAGTAAACTCTGTTATATCCCACACAACTAAGTATTATGTAGGCATTATTTTACTTTTGCAAAGTCTGTTCCATAAATGTAGTGTGGTCACATGCCTGCGCTCCAAAGTGGGAGTGAAAGTGATTTATGCTGTTTTCAGGCCTCGCCCATTACATATCTCCTATGCAATCTAGGCTGTCTTTCTTCATTTGACCTAGTTGGACAAGGTCAAGTGAACCTGGGATCCCTATGCTGAAGAAGGCAGAGCCTCTGTCAGCTTAGGACTCTGAATGACTACATGGAGAAGTGCCCCTTCCCCATTTATGATTGGACTCAATGTGACTATGAAGTAAACCTCTACCTTTTTAAACCTTGAGTGTGATGAACATTTGAAAAGCGTTTAACTATCTAATCTCAAACTAAATGCTACAACAATTTCAAATACATTTAAAAAGCTAAACTTTTACAAAAGATAAAATATCCATTTTGCTGTTTCTAGAAAAATTGTATTCTTAGAAAATTTGCAAAGATTCTAGCAAATAAGAATTCTGGGCTTATTTTGCCAAGAACTAAAGATTCCATACATTATAGCCATCACTCTCTCTGACATCACGACAGTCTGTCTAAACAGTCCCTATTAGCTATGGCCTATTTTATCTGACACTGATGAGTGAGACTAAGAGTATGAGAACTGATTGGGAAATACTACGGAAACCTGACAGGTAAGGCAATACAGTTAAGAGAGAAGTGATTAGATACAGATACAAGAATGGCAGAAAAATCCAGTGAAATGAGCCTTGCTAAAACACAGGCCACAAAGTCTTGAGCTCCGAAAGATAAGTCACTCACATTTCTGGCTTTCTCCAAGTACATTTTATATCTTTCCTCCATTGCTTTCATATCTTCATCTTTCTTCTGAAGAGCAGCTTCAAGTTCATTGATCTTTTGTACTATTAGTAAAAATAAAATGAAGCATAATCAGTTATTAATATTTACTACCTATTAAAATACTTCATCCTCACATAAAATTATATTTATAATATTTATTTTCTAAAGACGATAACTTAAAAGAAAAGCCTGTTATTTATTCTTTGTAGTGAATTCTTATCTAAAAGTTTTGAAATACAACCAACACATTCTCAATCATTTATTATTTGACCCTTAAAAATATCTACAATCTGCTTTATTTAGTTCTTTTTCTCCTTTCTATCAAGTATAAATAGCAAATATACCTTACAGTAAGCACAACCACAAGAAAAATAAAGCATTTCTACACAATGTTTTAAAGTTTATATCAATCTGATTTGAAATCATTTTTACCCACATTTCCAGATTAATCTTATTTTTTAATGTTTGATACTCCCATATATCCATCAATTCATTTTATTAGATTTTTTGCTTTAATAATATATCTTTTATTAATGACTTCAGCACTAAAAATTATCATAGTCCTTATTTACAATATATGTATCTACACATTGTGCAAAAACTTACACATAGACCTTGGATCCTTCAATAAAAAAGGGTAAGTCCTTAGATATACTGTTGTCTGATCCAAGTTTTCACAGATACCTACCATTTTGATTTATATCTGGCTGAAGATCTTCAATGAGTTCTTGTTTCTTCTGTAATTCTTCATGGACCTCTGTGAGTTTTTCCCTAAGTGGTAGAAAAAGCATGGAGACTGGTCTCTGCCATATAACATTTGTGGACCTTGGGCAAGTTGCTTTCTGACCCTTGGTTCCTCATCTGTGAAATGGGAATACTATCTGCATGACTGCAGGGGTTGTCATGAGGATGTAAACAGTCAGGCACACGGCAGGTGCCAAAAAGGTTAAATTATTTCCCTTGCCACCCTTGCTTCCTAAGAAAGTAAAATATTTTATAGGTTTAACATCCCATATAATCTAGTTGTGATAGTTAATCTGTTTTTTTAAACTTTTCAAATGATATTAACAATGGAAAGATGTAGGAGTTTGGAACGGGGGTAGTAGGGAGGCTGAATCTTTAGCATGCTTTTCACTTTTGCAGCAGGTGTATCAATTAGCATCAGGATATTTGCTTTTCTAGACAAAATCCGAAAAGGAGATTAACTTTAGAGGCTTTTACAACCCCTCCCTTCTCATATTTGAAAAGAAATATCAGTTTTACTTACATATGAGCTTCCAACTTCTGCTTTAATTTGCTGGACTATAAAATTTAAAAAAAATTGCTGTAAGATGACTATCTTGACAAAGGTCAATTTTCCAGACATCGAAATCTCTTTACCTCCTTTTGAAGGTGTACCAGGCAAAATTATAAATATTTTTAAAATTTGTATTTCCAATAACACACTTTAAGAAGCATAAACTTTTTAGGTTCTTTTTTTACTTCAAAAAGGAAAGGAAAAATAGAAAATGAAATATAAAAAGGTACAAAAACAGAAAGAAAAATGCCTCATGTTTCTGAATGTAATAAAAATTAAATCTGAACTTGAAAAACACCAAATGCAAGCTGAATGTGATATACTGAGGAGTATCAAACATTAAAATATTTTAAAAATCATTTATTCAGAATAAAAATTTTAAGATTTTGGGCCTCTTATGAGGAACAAACTTAAAGATCTAAAATAATTATCTTTATAATAAAATTTTATTATAGTTGTAAATACTTTAATAACTAACACCAAAATGAAGCAACTGAATATTGTTAAAAAGCAAAATTTTAAACATACAATTTCCTCTTTTAAAAAACAGTACTTTAAATTGCAATAGTCGTTCCGCATCTATTGTATAGGTGAAGTATTTAAAATATATAATCTGAAATACAAGTTGGATACCAATATATTAAAATAATAAAGACATTTATCTTTAAAACACTGCCAGCCAAAATGTGCTCCCTGCAAAATACCTCATTTTAAAAGTATTCTCTAGTATGGCTTAAAATAATATTTGTATTAGAGAAGTTACAATACCGTATATATGCACATATGAGATGCCGCCATGCATGAGACGATTTCTATTTTCCAAGCCCCCAGGGAAAAAAAAAAGAAAATAATATAAAGCACATAAAAGACAGAAAGAAAATGCAACTCTTTCAATTTTCCTTTTCATCTCTTTACTCTGCAAAGTTTCCTCCCCCATCAACACAGGTATAATCACCTAGCATTTTATCTAATCTCAATCAATCAAGATATCCCTAACACATATCTAGTCCTTTTTTCTTGTTATTTTTAATTAAGTACAACAATCCCTCAATCATTACTTCTTTTTCTCTTCACATAAAAAGATCAAACTGTAGAAAAGTTGCTAGGTATAGTCAGATTTTGGCTAAGTTTGATCTCTTTTAAATCCTCTTATCTCTGCTCTCACAGTAGCTGCTGTCAAAATCCATCAGAAAACGGTAAGGCCATGAATCATTAAGGAAGGAGAAAGAAATGAGTGATGCCTCCAAGGCTGCATTAAAGTTTCTGTCCTTCAGAGACGGGTATAATCCATTTTTGGCATGCTCTTTAGGTAGAAATCATTTTCCCATTCTCTCTTTTCCTATTAGAAGGTTTCCTCAATTCTGACTGCTAATTACTCTCATTTGGATTTTTCTCAGGCCAGCCCTGTTGGAATTCCAGCAGAACTATGAAGGCCTCAATTGTAGTATGCTCTCAATCAAGAATCATCATGAACTTTGGTATAGCTGCTAAATGATGTTGAATGATGATTAAGAATTATCACGAACTTTGGTATAGCTGTTGAAGCAGGACAGACAGAAATCACCTTCCAATGTAGATGATCAACTGACAGGCTCCAAGTTGGCAAAATCACTGCATCTATTATGCAGATATATACGGTATTTAAGGGTATTCTCAATGATAAGGGCTGTACTTTCCAATACAAGATTAATTTGGACATCATGATCTATTAAAGAAAAGCCATACACAGCAGAATTATTATAATTTCTAAGTTACTTACACTTTCGCCTTCAGACTTGGAACCTTGTTCCTGTAAAGATTTCTGGAGGTCCTCAATCTGCTGCTGCAATTCTCTAATACGCTCTTTGCTCAGCCTATTGTAAGATGGGTCATAAGCATTTACTTGTATTGAAAGTCAAAGCAGTTAAGGATCTACAAAGGTACATTCAGTTAGCAATTTAAGTAAAAAATATTTTTATAGCAATGACAAATGCGGAATAATTATCTGTGCCTAGGTACAATATGAAGTAGGGCAGGCTACTTCTAAGAAAATACTTTTTAAAAGAAAACTTTTTTCCTGAAAGTATATATGCCTACATTTAAAATTTTAAGGAACTTAAATGTCGGTGGCAAAAAATTTCTACACCGCACTCACTGGTAGAAAAATCAGAAAACCAGCTCAATTTTTCTACAGTTGTATTTTTAATGAATGAAAACTAGATTTCCATCTTCTGTTTCAGATTTCACAGCGTATTGGAAGAGGAAGGTCACCATTTTCCAATCATTTCCACAAGTTTTTTTAAATTTAAATTAAAGGGAGTGCCACTAGCAACTAACTCAGATTCTAATGTGGCAAAATCTCATTCTTTAAAACTGTGCTTAAGAGTTACTTCCACTGGAAGTTACTAGCAAGAGTTAGTATCTCCCTCTCCCTCTATGTGTATCCACACATACACACTCACCTGCCTGCTATAATATTCCACTGTTGCAGTTATCACATAATATAGCAATTATCTATTTACATGTCTGCTTTCCTATGTTAATTCCTTAAAAGCTTAAATGATTTCCCCAGTGCTAACAACTTGTATTGAACTGAATAAGATAGTAATATGTAATGGTCTCTTCAGAAAAGTGTTAACAACTGGTATTGAACTGAGTAAGATGATAATATTTAATGGTCTCTTCAGAAAAGTGCTAACAACTGGTATTGAACTGAATAAAATAGTAATATTTAATGGTCTCTTTAGAAAACTAAATTGTTATTCTTCTTTTAACCACCGTTTATGTAACCTTATACACACAAGTTTGAGAAAGGTAAGATTCAAGTATGTCTAAAATTTCTGTTGGTGTCTAGGATTCAATAAAGGTTAAATAAATCCAAATACCCTTATAGTAAGTACACCATTTATAACAGGGAAGTTACCATAGTAGTTAGGAGTAAAGACTCAGTAATCAGATTGACAGAGAGTTCATTATGGAGGATCCAGAACTACTAGGTGTATAACTTTAGGTATGTTATTTAACTTCTCTGTATCCATATTCCTTATCCATAGAAAAAGAGCTATTGGTTACTACATGGTTACTATTTCATAGAGTTATTATGAGGATTTACTGAGTTAATAGCAAAAAAGTACTTAGAAAAGCATATAATAAGTTTTGAGCACTTCATTGATACCACATAAGCACATCATTTGCTTTAAGCTCATTATCTGCAGTCTTCCTAACAACTTGTATTTACACCTGAAGACACTGAGTGTAAGTTTAAGTAACTTGTCCAGAAACAGTTAATAAGTTAAATTAGAAGTGGGATTTAAATTTGATTCCACAATCTAGATCTTATCTATGCACTAGACTTCAGTAGAAAGCCAAACTGTCATTTATTCATTTGTCAAACTTTCTGAATTGTGAACATATCTAAATGAAATTCAAGAATAAGTAGCCTGGTGGGCCAGACACAGTGGCTCATGTTTGTAATCCCAGCAACTTTGGAAGGCTGAGGCAGGTGGATTACATGAGGTCAGGAGTTCGAGACCAGCCCAGCCAACATGGTGAAGCCCCATCTCTACTAATAATACAAAAATTGGCCAGGCATGGTGGCTCACGCCTGTAATCCCAGCACTTTGGGAGGCCAGGGTGGGTGGATCATGAGGTCAGGAGATTGAGACGAGCCTGGTCAACATGGTGAAACCCCATCTCTACTAAAAATACAAAAAAAAATTAGCCAGGCGTAGTGGCGTGTGCCTATAGTCCCATCTACTTGGGAGGGTGAGGCAGGAGAATCGCTTGAACCCGTGAGGCGGAAGTTGCAGTGAGCCGAGATCGCGCTACTGCACTCTAGCCTGGGTGACAGAGCAAGACTCCGTCTCAAAAAAAAAAAAAAGAAAGAGAAGAAAACAAATACAAAAACTATCCAAGCATGGTGGTGCATGTCTCTAATTGCAGCTATTCAGGAGGCCGAGGCATGAGAATCACTTGAACTGGGAAGGTGGAAGCTACAATGAGCAAAGATCACGCCACTGTACTCCAGCCTGGGCGACAGAGGGAGACCCTGTCTCAAAAAGAATAAAAAGAATAAGTAGCCTGGTTAACCAAGAATGCTGAAATTAATGGATTATCCATATATTTTATAAATATAACTGAAATGAATCACCTGACTTCTTTCACAGAGAGAAGCTTATAGTGATGAAAGACTACTAACAAAAATATTAAACTATTTCTAGGTAATTCTAATTACTTTAGCTACAATAATATTTTCCATTTCTGTGAATCAAGATTTTATGGCTCGGTAATAAAATCACCAAGATTTTCAGTTACTAAGGAGCATATCACCTCTGCTCAGTTTCCAGTTCATTCATTTTACGGTGTTTCTGTTCTAGCTGCTCCTGAAGTTCCTCAATACGTTCATTCTCAGAGCCTTCTTGCTGTAAGCGAAGCATCTTATTTTCATGTTGCAGTCGAATAAACACCTCCCTGATGTTACAAAGCAAAATCTTTTTTAATTTTTAAAAATATGAGTCATTATATTCTTTAGTTAAAAAAAGGAAATTCCTGTCCACTCAATAGCTACCATTTTAAGATGCAAGCAGGACCAGCTAGCATAGCTGGTAGGGTATGAAACTCTTAAACTCCAACAAAAGCTTCTGAAAGTGTTTAAGAAAAAATTATGTAAACTGCAAGACTGTGCCTTTAAAAAAAAGCAGTCAAATTTTATAGGTACCATATAAGATTATGCTATAAATCATTAAATTGTTATTATGCCATTCCTGAAGAGATAATAGAAATTATATTACTTTGGTAATTTAGAAACTATTCGCTAAAGGAAACAAATAGTATATGCTTAGAAAACACATAAAAGAAAAGCAATAGATTTAAGAAACTATAGTTTGAGCAAAATTTTAATATATACCTTATAATGGCAATAAGAAAGTTTCTAGATCTTTTGTTTCTGAAAAAAATTTTATTAAAGATTTACATGTACTTTTAAAAAATGCAACTTTTTATTAATATTATTGATGTTAATATTATTTGTATTAAATAGGGAGGTAATACTCTCCCTTAGTTGTTCCCCTGCCAAATCCCATTCTTCAAAAGCAACTAATTTCAAGTAATCTCAATTTTTGTTCTTCTGAATGCCAATAGTATAACTCTTAAAAAAAAAGCTCATATGGCTATTTTTTAAATTACTAATTTTAAGTTAATGATTGACTCCCCACTAAGCAAGATAAGTAACTTTTCTCCCTTTATACATTTACCACTTCTCCCATCAAAGGCTTGTGAAATCATATTGATTTTTGTTTTCTAATAATTTCCTAACTTTAAAGTATATACTTAAATCTCCCTAGTTAAAGCAATTATAACATAGCACATGGGGGTCATGTCATATTATAAAAACTAAAATATGTTATTCAACGGGTTTGTGAAATTTTACTTCTGATAAAATTTTAAATTGTTGTGGTAGCAATAATAATATGATTTAGAAAGTTTAAGTAGATCAAACAGTAATTTTCAGCTCTATGAGTCATAAAATAAGTTTTTAAAGGCCAAGACATTTACAAAAAACAAAAAAATTATAATATTAAATATAATTCTATCAAATTATGAAACAAATTTACCTATATTCCACTGGCATAATCTCAGCAGCAAGATTCTCATAACTTTTTGTAGCAGATGCATCTAAAAAATAACAAAAAATAAATTAGCATTTCAGTATTTCAACTATTTTAAAAAACCCTCCCTCCTTCCCCCCCTCCCTCTCTTTGTTTTTCTTTCTTTCGATAGGGTCTCTCTCTGTCCAAAAACCCAATTCCCCGCTCCCCTCCCCTCCCCTCCCTCCTCCTCTCCTTTCCTTTCCTTCCTTTCCCTCCCTCCCGTGCTCCTTCCTTCCTTCCTTCCTTCCCTCCTTCTTTCTTTCCTTTCTCTCTTTCTCTCTTTTTCTCTTTCACACCAAGCCTGGAGTGCAGTGGTACAATCATAGCTCACTGCAACTTCAAACTCCTAGGCTCAAGTGATCCTCCCGCCTCAGCCTCCCAGAGCTAGGACTATAGGCATGCGCCACCATGACAGGTTAAGTTTTTATTTTTTGTTGAATGGAGTCCCACTATGCTGCCCAGGCTGAAACTTTTCTAAATCTAACAAAATTAACCTGTTTGGTTTAGGTGGTCCTGTTGTACTTGTGAACATCGAAGCTCTTCATTTGTTTCTTTCAAAGTATCACGCTGCTCAATTAGTCTCTGAAAAGAATTGTTGATATCAGCAAAGTATTTAATTCTGCCTATAAACAATGTACTTTATGCTTACAATTTATCTTAACTAGTTTAATAATTGTTGCTTAATTTTAAGTGACAATGTTTTAGTTTTAAGAAGCTCATTTTCTATTCAGTTACATAAATAGTATGTGTCTTTATACATGGTTTTGACTTTCCCATCAGATAGCTTATCTTTGAACAAAATGAATGCAATTATGTAACAGAGGACAGATATGCAACGGGTAATAAAAAAGCATGGACTTTGGAGGCATAAAGACCATGGTTTGAATACCAATTTCACCACTTCCTAGCTATATTGTCTTAGGCAACTTATATAACTCTTTGGCTTTAGTATCCATAACTTCAAAATAGGAATACTGATACATAAACCCTTGCAAAGGTGTTCTGAATAACAAAGGTGGTATTAGTCAAGGATCTAGAATATAGGTTGGTGTGTAAGAGACGCTGGAGACTAGTTACTTTTTACCACTGTTGTGAAACTCAACTGG
Organism: Homo sapiens; assembly: GCF_000001405.40. Taxonomy (NCBI): domain Eukaryota; kingdom Metazoa; phylum Chordata; class Mammalia; order Primates; family Hominidae; genus Homo; species Homo sapiens. The sequence continues at coordinate 59,857,903 of NC_000001.11, read as the reverse complement.
AAGAAGTGGTAAGTAGTATCCTGGAGATACACATTGGCGGAAAAACACCATTTCCCAAGGACAGCAAGCTGGTACTTCATATCACTGACTATTTTATTTTACAGCCTACACCAATGACAAACTTCTAGGTTACGAACAGAACGTTCATGTTTAAATCATTTTCCCAGAACTTGAAAAGTACTACTGAATATAAAATCATGTGTTAAATGCTGTTATGTTCCAAGTCAATAAACAAAGCCCTAATTAGTCCATTACGTGTTTCAAATCAATTTAGCAGTAAACTGGTAACTGATTCAAGGGGTCCGTAGGTGCCTTAAGGATCTCTGAACCCTAAAGTTGGAAATCTAGCAGGAGCAGGCACAAAGACCTCTGTAAATCTGTTCCTCCATTAACGTAATGCACACACTAGCACATTTGTCATTATCAACTATTTCAGAATTCTGGGAATAAACCAAAGGCCTACAACAGTCTGGTGAGCATTTATTAAAGTAAACCTGCTAAACCTTGGTTAGAACAGTAAGCTTTTTGCTCTTTTAACTTTTCTAACTATGATTCCCGTCTCCCCAGCTCTGCAGTAACCTTGAAAACAAGCAGCCTTTCAATTGCTGTAGCTGTGAAAACCAGCAGCTCTAGCAGCCACCAGAATGGGCACAGACTGGATGGATATGGGGCTCCCTTAAAAAGCCCCATCCACAGAGAATTGTCACTGTTTAACCTGTCTTGCAGCTTCCTAAATCCCATTTGTAGGGACTCTTCATGATTTGACCTGAGTCACTGCTTGCTCTGCAGGAAATATTTCCGAGACATTTGGCAAATAGAATCATCAGCAACTGTTTGCCACCACAGGTACTGAAGGCTGTGATAATGGCTATGGTACACAAGAGCCTGGCCAAAAATTTGCAAGAAAGATCTGAGAAATAAGATGCCCATAGGAATCTTTAAAAAGCTCTGACATGTTCCCGGAGATCTCGAAGGTCAGCCAAGTACAGGGCTGTGCACATGCCCAGAAAAGACATGAGAGGGCCCGCATTGTCTCAG